>NC_000009.12:61785368-62149738 GCF_000001405.40 Homo sapiens | reverse complement strand
TGTTGAGAATTCCTGGTACATTGTATATAGAAAAATAATTAATACTTCCTAGTAGGCATTTAATATCTTATAGATATTATAGTAGAGGTTTTGAATACTCATTTATGTCTCACAATATTCAAATAATATATTTAAAAATAGCAGCTATAATTTATTGCCCGTGTGCCCAGACAGTGGACAGTGTACCAAGAAGCACTGTAATCAATATTTTATATGAATAATCTGATTTATTTTTCTCACTAAACTCCATGAAATATTTTATTCACTTTATTTTGAAGAAGAGGGATGAAACAGTTGCAAAGTAAAACTTTAGGAAGCATCTATTTGTTTATAAATGTATCACAAAGATATTCAGCCCACACTCAGCAGAAGTTTGAACCACTGGGGGACAAGATGAGAAGATCTTTCATTTTGAGACGTGTCCAGGAGCATTTCCCTGGACTGTGAGAAGAACCATGCTGCCTGTCTGTGCTGGGGAGGCCAGAGTTTGTCTGAACCATGAACTTGCCAGGTGCAGGCCTAGGGCTACACTCAGAGCACTCTCCAGACAGGAGAGAGAGCAGCCCTGCTCTGCCTGAACTCTGCCCAGCAGCATAGTCCAGCTGTCCCAAGAGTGCAGCTCTCAACAGTTATTCCTCCTAATGCTGTCACTGCTTTTCCAAGTGTTGGTCCTTTGGAAATTAGTTCCTGCTGTCTTATACACTTGAAGGCACATGATTTTATTTCTATAAAGAGAGGCAAAGTATAGAGTTTATACCTAGTTAAGTTGGCTTTTTCTCCAATTAATTTCACTTAAACTTTATTTTGTACTAGCTTCGTATTAAAATAAATAACTGTTTCTGGAATTTTTCACACTCAGAAAAAAATGGCATTCATATTAGAAATAACATTAGAGTATTTTGATTTAAAATAGTTTGAAACTACATTTTATTAAAATATTTGAATCCTTTAAGGCACAGCCTAGCACCTTAATAAAAAAATTGAATATCTCCCAATATTGCTGGTTATGCAACATAAATGAATAAAAGCTTACTGTAAGAAAAAAAATTCAACTTTTAGATTCAGGGGATACATGTGCAGATTTGTTACATGGGTATATTGTGGGACTCTGAGGTTTGTGTACAAATGATCTTATTACTCAGGTAGTGAGCATAGTACCCAATAGGTAGCTTTTCAACCCTTACCCTCCCTCCTTCTCTCCCCCTTCTAGGAGTCCCAGTGTCTTTTGTTCCCATCTTTATGCTCATGTGCACCCAATGGTTTGCTCCCATTTATATGTGAGAACGTGGTATTTAGTTTTCTGTTGCTTTGTTAATTCACTTAGGGTAATGGCCTCCAGCTGCATCCAGGCAGCTGCAAAAGACATGATTTTTTTTTTTTTTTTTTTTTGGACGGAGTCTTGCTCTGTCGCCCAGGATGGAGTACAGTGGTGTGATCTCAGCTCACTGCAAGCTCTGCCTCCCAGGTTCATGCCATTCTCCTGCCTCAGCCTCCTGAGTAGCTGGGACTACAGGCACCCACCACCATGCCCGGGCTAATTTTTTTGTATTTTTTAGTAGAGACGAGGTTTCACCGTGTTAGCCAGGATGGTCTCGATCTCCTGACCTTGTGATCCACCCGCCTTGGGCTCCCAAAGTGCTGGGACTACAGGTGTGAGCCACCACACCAGGCCGATTTTGTTCTTTTTTATGGTTGCATAATATTCCATGGTGTATATGTACCACATTTTCTTAATTCAATCCACTGTTTATGGGCACCTAGTTTAAACCAAAACAGCATGGTACTGGTACAAAAACAGATACATAGACCAATGGAACCGAAGAGAGAACCTAGAAATAAATCCACATACCTACCACCATCTGATCTTTGACAAAGTTGATGAAAATAAGCAATGAGGAAAAGACTCCCTATTCAATAAATAGTGCTGGGATAACTGGTTAGCCATATGCAGAAGAATGAAACTGGACCCCTACATTTTACCATATACAAAAATTAACTCAAGATGGTTTAAAGATTTAAATGTAAGACCTCAAACTATAAAAATCCTAGAAGAAACTTTAGAAAATATCATCCTGGGCTGGGTGCGGTGGCTCATGCCTGTAATCCCAGCACTTTGGGAGGCCAAGGCGGGCGGATCACGAGGTCAGGAGACCGAGACCATACTGACTAACACGGTGAAACCCCATCTCTACTAAAAACATAAAAACAAAATTAGCCAGGCATGGCGGCGGGCTCCTGTAGTCCCAGCTACTCGGGAGGCTGAGGTGGGAGAATGGCATGAACCCGGGAGGCGGAGCTTGCAGTGAGCCGAGATCGCGCCACTGCACTCCAGCCTGGGTGACAGAGGGAGACTCTGTCTCAAAAAAAAAAAATAAATAAAAAATAAAAATAACTAAAAATAGAACCACCATTGAACTCAGTAGTCTCACTACTGGATGTCTACCCAAAGAAAAAGAAATTGTTTTATAAAAAAGACACCTGCACTGGTTCGTTCATCACAGCACTATTTACAATAGCAAATACATGAAAACCTGCCATGTTTGTTTTATGTTTTTGGAATCAGAAACACCAATCAGTCAGGGCCCTTTCTCTGCACTGTTTCTAATCATCCATCCCCATCATGGCAATACAGCCTCATCTGTCCCCAGTAACCTCCAGTTTTCACAGAGCTTCTTTTCCCATGTATCCCCTCTCATGAGAGGCTCAGCGTTAAATTCAAATGCTCTGTGTTACTGCCCACCTCCTTTGAGAGGGAAGATAGCATGAGCTCATTGAATCCTCTTCTGCGGGGTGGCCCAAAACCTGAAAATATTACGGAATATCCATAATAGGTGATTTATTGATACACCATTCCAGTTCGTGATATTACATGGCATGAGATACGTAATGGTGTTGATCTGCAATAGCAACAAAAAGTCCAAGATACTGTGCAAAACTACAGTCACCATGGTGCCTTAAGACACACCTTCATCAACCCCTCAGATGTTCCCCATTGAGACATTGCCTCAGATGATTGGTGCCTCTGATTTTCATTGAATAAACCCGCACTTTTTGCATATTCCAGAGAAAGTAATCACGAGGGTTCCGAGCTGAGGAGCATGCAGCCCACTCCTCAGGGCTACATTGTCCATCTCAGTTTTGGAAATTACCAACCATCTGGTTCCTCCCTCCCTTGAAGGAACGGGTGGTATATCTTCTGCGGGAAGCACTCCAGGAGGTGTCCCTTAGCTCATCAACAATGAGTGTTATTGCAACTTAATATGTGAAATATATTAAACACTTGTTTATTTTTCCAAACTTTTGTCCACCCTGTGTTAAGTAGAATGCCCATCTGATCAATGAAGTTCAATCATGATTTTCCAAGTAAATGAAAGACTCAGTGAGTTAGTTCAGCAGTCAGCCAATTCATCAGAAGGCAAGGTCTGTGTTTCTTCCATAAAAGTTAGACCTAAGGGGTAACAGAACTGGACCCATTCATTAGTGAGTTTTATGAAACTGTTTTCATTATGTGTGGTGATGACCACCTCACTTGCTACCTCACAGGTTTTACATACGGCAGCAACAAATGCAGCACCACACTTTTCTCTACTGGTTTTTAACGTGGGTTTCCTGAATGAGTAGTGATAGCACCACACGGGAATTTGTTATAAATGTAAATTCTCAGGCTCCCCTGAGACCTACTGAATTAGGAACTCTAGAACTGGGGCCCAGCAATCTGTATTTTAGTAAGTCCTCCTGTTAATTCCGACATACTCTGAAGTTTAAAAGCCATTGTCTCACATCTCCCCTAGACAGATATTAGTGGAGAATCTTAGTTTTACACTTGGCTGCCCTCACACGGAGCTACAGTGTGATGACTGTCATAAGCAGTGGATTCACAGGCTACTGACCCATTAGGAAGTGCTCCATTTAATCTGAAAGCAAAGCTGAATACGTGAGCACACATTACACAGGAATTTATGCCCTGCAGCATGAACAACAACAACCAAAAACAAACCTAACTTCAAATGTTTAAGTCATTGGCAATTTAGCTGACTGTATGTTCTGAGGAATCAGGCCATGAGTGAGTAAAATATAATCATAAAATATTTGATAAAATATCCAATCTCTATCTTAAAAGCAATGAAATTCTGATATTTTAGGGGAGTTTTGTTTGTTTTTTCAAATAACCAAGTATAGATTGTTTGGATACAGACCTTTCGTAATACAAAATAGTTCATTCATTTTTGAATATTTCTGCTTATTTATTGCCAAATAAAAATTGCATACATTTATCATGTAAGACATGTGGTATTGGAATATGTATACATTTTGAAATGGCTAAATTGAGCTAATTGACATATGCATTACATCACATAATTTTCTGTGGTGAGAAGACTTAAAATCTACTGTCTTGGCAATTTTCATCAGTATAATTTTTTATATTAACTATAATATAGTCACCATGTTGTACAACAGATCTCTTGAACTTATTCCTCCTCTCTAACCTAAATTGTGTATCTTTTTTTTTTTTTTTTTTTTTTTTGAGAGAGAGTCTCGCTCTTTCACCCAGGCTGGAGTGCAATGGCGTGATCTCAGCTCACTTCAACCTCTGCCTCCCAAGTTCCCACCATTCTCCCACCTCAGCCTCCCAAGTAGCTGGGACTACAGGCACCTACCACCATGCCTGGCTAATTTTGTTTTTGTATTTTTAGTAGAGACGGGGTTTCACTGTGTTAGCCAGGATGGTCTCGATCTCCTGACCTTATGATCCGCCTGCCTCGGCCTCTCAAAGTGCTAGGATTACAGGCGTGAGCCACCGTGCCCAGCCTAAAATGGCTAAGTCTTTAGGAGAGGAAGAGTGAATAGTCATTCCTCCTTTCATCTCATATTTTAAACAATACTTTCCTTCCTTAAGTTAAAAACAAATCTTTTCCCCCTTAAGTTAAAGATTTAGCAGCTGTCGTGGTTAGGACACAGGGTGATTGATGTGTGAGAGGAGATGAGTGGGAAGACTCAGGGTGGGGCCGACTCTTTTCCAGACTGTGTGCAGGTAGAAATGCCATCAGTCATCGCTTCCTCTGGACAGACTAATTTTTGTCTGTCTCTTCATAGATGCCCATGAGGTTACTCAAAGCCCCATATCGGATTTCCCTGCCCAGGACCTCTGTTTCCAGGACTCTTCAGCCCACATCTCTGACCCACCGTTGCCCTTGCACCGGGTTTGTAATGCTGATCACTTCCAATCAGCAAACTGTAGTGCTTGAGGGCCTCCTGTCCTCTGCCCTTGAGTCAGTCGTTTCCATCTCAAAAATAATCACAAGGGAACTGAGACACACAGCCAGTGTCTTATGACATCATTTTCCCCCTTCCTTCCTGTTTCCCCACCGGGAACAGGCCAATATAGTTGCTGCTTATTAAAAGTTTGTGGGAAGAAAAATAAACGCAGACGGTAGTTTCCCTAAATCCTAAATGTTTCTACAGACTCTCTTTGAATTATCAGTTTGGGAAGAGCGTTTAGAAGCTGGACCTGGAACTTTCCAGGAAGCTGGCTTAAACCATCCTTACCTGTCTGTCCACTACTAGAGCAGCCTCCAGAACATCTGCTTCAGAGGCCAGGAGCGCTCTGCGCAGCGGTGCAATCTTCAGGTTGTTGGCCCAGGAAATCTTCCAGGACTCGCCATTCCCATTCTTCAAACGCCTTCAGGCAGTGGCTGCATATTGTTCCCACTCAACTTGCCCTCCTATCTTGGAAATATATTTTCATTTTCTTATGCTTTTATTTAATTGTCTGTGTTCACGCTGTTTTACCTCAGTACGTAGCTGCAAACCTTGTAGAACGATACCATATAAAATAGTTAACATCCTCTTGGCAGCACTCTCAACCTCTCCATCTCACTGAGAAACAAGTTGACATACCAGGTTGGAGATCAACACAAACTAACCAAGAAGCTACACTGTTCTAAATTAAATGTTCATCACACTTTAACCGAGATTGCTACCTAAGTAACTTTAATTGCTGAAGTTGCCTTCATGGAAAGCCCTCAGGTAACAGCAATTATAAAGGACACATTTATGACCAGGTAAGAGTCTATCCACATCAGCAGAGAACACAATGACTGTTGTTTAAGTACTTCAGTGTAACAGAAACAGGACACACACTGATGCATGCATTAAAATGCTTATCATCCATGACCTGTGACGGTATCTGATTTGGGCAGCTACATTTGGGGATTGGAGGGTAGGTGACTCAACCAATATGTGGCTTAATCGAGGCACGATAGAGTAGAGAAACACCCTGAAAGGCCAGAGTGAAGTGAATCAAAAGACGTTCTGTGATTTTGGGGGCACCAGGATTCTCCCATGGTCCCTGGCTTCACTTTGACACTGAAGTCCAATGGTTCTGATATTCCCAGAACATCTGTTGCAGCAGTTAGAATCACCTATCTTAGTTCTCCCTAATCCACAGCATGTGCCTGCTGAATTAACTGCTGTTGACATCGAAGTGCTTATTTCAAAAGACTCTTCTGTGTGCAAAGTTCAATCAGAAAAACACAGCGTAGACTTCTGCCTTCCTTCACCAACCTCAGTCTAAGGATAGGTTATTTCTGATCGAAAAATCTCCTCAGACTTGTGACTCCTCCAGTGTAAACAAATGTTGCTGTTCCTTTAGGACAAATGATGGATTGACTTTATGTTTGATGCTATCGGGCCAGAAAATACTTGCTTGTAAATGTGACATTCAAGGTGTTATCTTGGTCAGCCTATGGATAAGATGGGGACAGAAGGCGTACCAGGCTTTCCTCTTTTCTACAGATCCTTTTTGCTAGAGCTATTCCTTTTCCTTGGGATCCTGGCAGTTCACCATCACCATTTAGTTTTCTAGAAAATCCATTAATTATCACAAATATTATTTACTTTCTCAGGGTTATGCTAGAATATTGTTTAAATCTGTAACAAAAGAAACTCAGGCTCCTTGTGACGCTTACATGTGTAACAGAGGAGTTTTGTAAAAAAATCAATCTGTAGGCATTGATCAGAAATGCAATATGCTACAAAGTTTACCTCTACTGTCTGATACCCTATCATTAATCTACAACAGGATTGTTTAAAAACTGTTACAAACTATTAGTACCCCATTCTGTAATCTCCCTCTCTCTGTCTCTGTCTCTTTCTCTCTCTCTCTCTCTCCCTGCTAACCCCATGACATTTATTCAGTAATGACAGCCACAATCACCCTTGGTTCTTTTGGCTGCAGTTTAAAATCAACCGTGACTGAAGGCAGGATTATTTAGCAGGAGAAACGTTGGCCTAGAAAATGTGTGTATCCAGATATTTAACTTCCTAATGTTTTCCATTCATTAACAAAACTTATATACATTATTTGCCACAACCTATTAGTTTTTGCAGTCTGAGAAATAGAGACAAGAGTTATATGATCAAATCCCGACTGCCAGGACTTGAATAAGTTATTTAGAACCTCAAGTTAGTTTGTTTCTTTTAAATTTTTGTAGAATTAGCTGACTTTCGGGTTGCCCGTGCACATTAGAACAAAGGAGTATAAAATTGGCAGAGGAAAGAATAGAACATGAGGCAGCACTGTCTCATTCTTATTTACTCAGGGCACAGCCCAGTGACTTTAGGCACTCAATAATCATTTTGTGTATAAATGAATCAATATTTGTGGTTAACACTTTATAAATGTCAACTGTTATTATCGTTTAATACATCATTGAATGTCTTATTACTCTTAATAGAATTTCAAGAAAGATACAATTAAGTTAAATCAGGATTTATTTGGGATAAGCTAAGAATTATTATTATTATTATTTGAGACATAGTCTCGCTCTGTCGCCCAGGCTGGAGTGCAGTGGCACGATCTCAGTTCCCTGCAAGCTCCGTCTCCTGGGTTCATGCCATTCTCCCGCCTCAGCCTCGTGAGGAGCTGGGACTACAGGCACCCGCCAGCACGCCCGGCTAATTTTGTTTTTGTATTTTTAGTAGAGACAGGGTTTCACTGGGTTAGCCAGGATGGTCTTGATCTCCTGACCTTGTGATCCACCCGCCTTGGCCTCCCAAAGTGCTGGGATTACAGGTGTGAGCCACCGCGCCCGGCCATTATTGGCCTTAATTTACAATCATGGATATACCATAAAAAGAGTATTAGTGTTTTAGAAGTACTGTATCCATTTGAAGAATGACGGGTGACTAAATGGTCATGGGTCTTCCTCCTCATGTCTTGCTGTGTGCTGTTCCGACTCTCCTGCAATATGGATCAGACTCTGAGCCTATCGTATGGTGAGACTCCCAGGTGGATGCTATGTCTAAATACGATGGGTGGTTATGTGTGCACAACCTATGGCATGTACACCACCATACAATATCTGTTACCCCTTAGCCTCCACAATGACGTAACCCATCCACATTAAGCAAAAGTCTCTCTTCATCTTTTATTTTTCTAATTTCCCTCTTTCCTATTTCTCTCCTTCAGTACAGCTTTTCCCTTTGATGCATTGTATTTTTCTCCTGCTATACCTTAGGACAGCTAGTGGTATTTTTGGATGCTATTTACCCAAACATGGAGTATCTTAGGGTTAGGAATGTTTTAGGGTCTTGGTCTATATTTAATATAATCATGTGATAAATATATATCTAGTATCAAAATGGGTAGAAGCATTGAGGTTACAAAGCTTGAATCTTACATAGTATTTGATGACCTCAGTGTCGAAGAGAACAGGCAAACGAGTAAGTTGGTGGCCCCAGCATGTCGGGTAAGGGCTGGAATTCTGAGAGTAGTGAGGAAACCCAGAGGAGCAGGTGTGCAGAGTGATGAACCTCAGTAAACATGTGGTTAGCAGCGAGCTAGCACTCATTTTATTTTGAAAGAGATTTTCCTATCATGCCTTTCCCCCAGATAAAATTATTCAATGGCTCCCCACTAGTAAAAGAAAAACTTCAGCCAAATTAAATTTGAAGGAGTTTAATTGAGCAATGAATGATTCTCAAAATTAGGCAGCCTTCCCAGCCAGACTAGGCTCCCAGACTCCAGCTCAGCCACATGTTGGAAGAAGATTTATGGACAGAAAAAGGAAAGTGAAGTACAGAAAATGGAAGTGAGGCATAGAAACAGCCGGATTGGTTACAGCTTGGCATTTACCTTATTTGAACATGGCTCGAACAGTTGGCTACATTTGATTGGCCAAAACTCGTTGATTGGCACTAGGGTAGGCTACATTCTGCTTACACTTCACTTGTTACAGTTCACAATGTACAGAAAAACCTTTAGGCCAAACTTAAATATGTAAGGAGGCAGCTTTAGATGAAACTTGATTTAATACCATGTTCCCTTGAGTAAATTTTAAAATGTATTTCTTTTCAATGTTATCCAATGTCATCTTCCACGTGCTCCCCTTCCCCTGACATCCTCCCAGTCACATCTACTGCCTGCTGCTACCCACAGCCAAATATCCCTCTGTATGGGCCTTCACATATGCTTCTTATCTGCGAGTCCTGACCCTTTAGCTCATACCTAAAGGGACCTTTCCTCACATTTATGTAGATGGAATGCTGCAAATCTCGGGTTAAATGCTACTTCTCCAGGAAGCTGGCTTTTATGCCCCCATAGTGATTTCTCCATAGAGAAATGTTTACTTCTCCTTACCATTTGTGCCAGAAAATGTGAGACTCACTAGAACAACCCTGAAACAATGGGTTTGGAAAGAGGAAGAATTAAATTAAAAGGCCAACAATGAGGAAACTTTGATTTTTGGGGGGCCACAGGGTCACCCCGATATAAAATTGCATCTGCGTTGTGATCAGTTTCTAAAGGTAAAAGCCACCCATGGAATTCGGAAATAGTGATAGACCCAGCCAATGGAATTGAGAAACAGTGATAGACCCAGCCAATGGAATTCAGAAATAGTGATAGACCAGCTTCTAAAGAGTTGATCTATTGGATGTACAGGGAAGTGCAAAAAAAAAAAAAAAAAAAAAAAAGGAAAAAGTGAAATATATAATCCCTTGGTTCTTGTTATAATAGCTAAACTGAGAGAAAAAAAGGGTGCTGACACCAACCTCAGATTTTGGTCAGTCTGAGATATGGCCACTAGTCTCAAAGCCATCCTCGAAGGGAAAAAATATGCTGCAATATGCTCTGAAACATCTGGTCATCGAAAAAAGAGTCCAGGTAAGACAGGAAAAATCAAGAAACCACTGAAACCAGGGGTGCAGCATGACGAAGTTATATCAACAGTTTATGGAAGAACCTTTACTGAAATAAATGTAGGAGTAATTAATTCAGAGTCAAGTTTCTTTGGTTTTTGAATACTGCAGAATAGAAAAGCATGTTTGGGTTGATACAAGATCCACAGCTCACTATGGAACAATCATAGATCACCACACATGATCCAGACACATAGCAGGTTATTCCCTAGGGAACAATTAGCCTACTAGGCTAAATAAAAGACAGTACAAAGTTGTTTACCATGAGGAGGACTATCCTATTTCCCCTATAAATGCCCATTGGAACATCCCAGGTGAAGGGGCTGGTATGTTTTGTGTGCAAGCCATGCTGGATTGGCTTTATGATGCTCAGGATATTCATCCACTGTTTGTTTCCCTTATGCAGGGCATGGTTAATGCTATGGTTAAGGGGCCCCCTTTGTATAATCACTCAGTGTAGCTTTATTGCTGCAAAATCAAGCAACAGTCCAAAGAGCCCTATGGATTTGCTATCTCTGCTTCCCCTTATGTGTCTTAGAGATACACACAACAACAACAAAACATAATTAACAAGAAAATGGAGAGAGAAGAGAATCAAGAGATTCATTTTAGCAGGGTGGAAAACTTTAGATGACAACAAATTGAATAAATAAAGTAAACGTTAATGGTGTTGAAACAAAGGTCTGAATGCAGTGCTATGGAAGGTTGCAGGGACCAGCAGGAACCATTGCTGATCCCCCTTTGGTCGGTTTCCCCATTACAGGGCCCTACACAAGTCTATTTGTGTCAGTTTGGAGTAATTTTAAAGGCCAGAAAACAAAGATTCCAATGAGGAACCCAGCCTGGAATCACCTGGACAATGGTCAGGCAGATTAATCAAGATAAAGTTTATGGAGGGGCCAGAGTCCCATAGCTGAACCCCTTGCCGTTTGAGTGGCAATTACTAGCTTGTGATCAGACTTTAATTGAAATGGACTCTATAACTGAAGGACACAAATTAATCTTGAAACCTAAAATATGATCATGGCTTGAGTGATAGTGAAGAAAGGCTTTAATAGGAAGGACAATAAACAGAAAATTTTCGTAGTCAAATGGAATTGGTTTATGGGGACATGCTACCAGGGTGTTTTAGTCCCTTTCTGCTGCTATAACAAACTACCTGAGACTGGGTAATTTATAAAGAACAGAACGGGCCTTTGCGGCTTTGCCTCGTGGAAATGATTTTTCACAGTTCTGTGGACCAGGAAGTCTAAGATCAAGGCTAGTGGAGTTTGTGCCTGGTGAGGACCCATTCCTCATAGTTGGTGGCATCTAGGTGTCCACACATGGCAGAAGGTGAAAGACCAAAGGCCTCAGCTAGATCCCCCCAGTCCTTTTTGTTCTGTTTTGTTTTTGAGTCTCACTCTGTTGCCCAGGCCGGAGTGCATTGACATGATTTTGGCTCACTGCAAGCTCCGCCTACTGGGTTCACACCATTCTCCTGCCTCAGCCTCCCAAGTAGCTGGGACTACAGGCACCCGCCACCATGCCTGGCTAATTTTTTTGTATTTTTGTAGAGACAGGGTTTCACTGTGTTAGCCAGGTTGGTCTCCATCCCCTGACCTTGTGATCCGCCCGCCTCGGCCTCCTAAAGTGCTGGGATTACAGGTGTGAGCCACTGTGCCTAGACACCCAGCCCTTTTATAAGATGCTAGTCCATTCTTGAGGACAAAGCTCTCATGACTTAGCCACTTTCTAAAAGGTCCCACCTCTTAATACCACCACAATGGGGATTAAATGTCAACATATGAACTTCAAGGGACATCCAGATCATAGCACAGGTCAATGTAAATTTATCCAGCGTGTTCACAGGCAGAGCGACTCTTTTTCCCCTAGGATGGACTTTGGGACCACCTGGGGGTTATGCAGAGGGCAATGGAAAACTGGCCTATGGAGGGCTTGCCTTGTGGAAATGATTACAGGAATTTGAGGGGTGCATTGAAGTGGGACATGCCAATGCCTATCAGAAACCCCCCTTCTAGGATTAGGAGGTACTTGGAGCCAGCAAGAGGATATCCTGGTGTGCTCGCTTGAGATGGCCACTGGGTTCACGTAATGAGTGAATATTGTGAGGCTGCAGCAGCCCAGAGATGGGCTGAATTACATTTATTCCTTTGTACCTTCTGAGGCACAAAATGCTCGTAAAGATTCTTCTTTTTGTTAACAAGAGAGACACAGACTATAGATGGCTATGGAGCAGAGAAGCTGGGAGGAAGGCCCTGTAAGCCGAATGGATGACATTAGTCCTGGGGGGTGGACGAAGGGGTATAGACAGGAACGAGACACTTGCTCGAGACTTGGCTTTGCTTACCAAGAAACAGATGCAAATGATCAGAGACAACGGAACAGATTATTCTGCACCAATTTGAATGAACAAGTCATATTTTCTTAGTTCAGGAAACACTTTTGTCCTAACAGTAATGGTTTGATAGAGAATTGAAATGGACAATTAAAACATTGGTCATCGGCTGGGTGCAGTGGCTCATGCCTATAATCCTGGTACTTTGGGAGGCCAAAGCAGGCGGATCACCTGAGGTCGGGAGTTCGAGACCAGCCTGACCAACATGGAGAAACCCCGTCTCTACGAAAAATACAAAATTAGGGCTGGGCACGGTGGCTCAAGCCTGTAATCCCAGCATTTTGGGAGGCAGAGGCGGGAGGATCACGAGGTCAAGAGATCGAAACCATCCTGGCTAACACAGTGAAACCCCGTCTCTACCAAAAATACAAAAAAATTAGCCAGGCGTGGTGGCGGGCACCTGAAGTCCCAGCTACTCCGGACGTTGAGGCAGGAGAATGGCATGAACCCGGGAGGTGGAGCTTGCAGTGAGCCGAGATCGAGCCACTCTGCACTTCAGCCTGGGCAACAGAGTGAGACTCTATCTCAAAAAAAAAAAAAAAAAAATTAGCTAGATGTGGTGGCACATGCTTGTAATCCCAGCTACTCCGGAGGCTGAGGCAGGAGAATTGCTTGAACCTGGGAGGCAGATGTTGCAGTGAGCCAAGATCGTGCCGTTGCACTCCAGCCTGGGTAACAAGAACAAAACTCCATCTCAAAAAAAAGTAAAATAAAATAAAATAAAAAATTTGGTCATCTAAAATGGGGATAAAAATAGGCATGAAGGGCTGCCTTATATGTTTTCTTGAGTGTGTGCTCACATTCAAAATGAGGGCGCCAAGCGGGTGGTCCCACTAGATAGATTCCTCCACTTTTCTGAGAGTCCTAAGGAAGAGGTAGGGCAAATGTTGTGATGAGTATACAATTCTTCTTACAAAGGAGTTGTGATTACAGCTTTCTTTCTTCCCCACATCACCTCAAATTTCTTTTACCTACCTGCTATGGTGGTCTCGGGCCCAGGGCTGCAAAATACCAGAAGGAGGGATAATTCCTAAGTAAAAGCTGTAACTGTGCTTCCTAAGGACCAGATGGGGTAGATTGTGTCTTTACCCCATCTGGCAAGACTGAGGTTGACAGGAAATGCAGATGTATTGCTTAGTGGTTGACACGCCCCCTAGTTCTGTACCTCATCCTATATGAATGGGAGTCCACTGAGTGGAAGGCACTCGCTAAACTTGTATTGCTGCCAGGAATCTAGACCAGCACAATGGCTGAACCTAATGTGCTTTCTAAATGTGGAAAAGCTTAGAAACTCATAACTGGTGAGAAGAAGAAACACTAGTAGATTATAACAATGAATGTCTGGGTTACACAATGAGGAAAATTCAATATTATATTAATACTTTAAGAGGGGCTGAAGGCAAGAGATGATATTGTCTCTTAGCTCAGCGATTCCAGATGCTGGAAAGAGTGAAGCCATATATTGCTGAAAGCACTCCTGCTTGTGGAACTTGAGAGAATTGAACAGAAGCTGCGAACGTGAGTGATGTCACCCTGGGAGACATTTTGGTTACACCATATGATGATGGGCTGTACTAATTATTAATGACTGAATGAGATTCTAGTAATATGTCAATATTTGTTACTCTTATTTTTCAGATTATTTTACCATATTGAAATATGGTCAAACACTGGCATAATCGGTAAAATTATAATACTGGTAATGACAGTCAAATATACTGGGAAATTGAGTTAAAAGCTTTTTATTCGTACTCTACAGTAGCTCCTCCACATTTTAGACATATAAAAGAACCATAGTCAAAAGCCACAGGGTCACCTGTTGTGTAATGAAGAATTAGACTGGCCTTTGTCCCTGGCCCCTGGAAGACTCTCAAACTCTTGGGAATTCCTGAGTAATAGGAGTGTCATTGTTATTCATGAGCTCCTCGGATCACACCTGAATTTGTGCTTAAGAAAAAGGTAAGCTGTGCCAAAAAGAGCAGCCAAGTGATTGGAGAGTCGGGCTTTGAGACACCAGATGTTAAGTTTGACCTCCAATCTCTGAGGGGTGGGGCTAGAGATTCAGTTAAAATATGTGGCCAATGATTAAGTCAATCCTGCCTTTGTGACACAGTCTCAGTAACAACTGGGGACGCCGAAGCTCAGGGAAGCTTCCTGGCTGGTAAACATGTGGATATCCTGAGAGGATGACAGGTTCAGATTCCGCACGGAGGGGCATGGAGTCTCTGTGTGTGGACCCTCCCAGACTTTGCCAAATGTGTTTCTTCCTTGGCAGGTCCCAATTTTTATTACTTATAATAAAACTAAGCATAAGTATTTCCTGAGTCCTTTGAGTTGTTCTAGCAAATTATCAAACTCGAAAGGGTCATGGTGATGCCCACATTTCTAGCCAGTTGTTCAGCAGTGCAAGAGGACTGGGGACACCAGAAGTATGGCTGGTGTCTGAAGGAAGGTCAGTCCCTTAAATCTGTGGCACCTGTAGCTAACTCCAGGTGGTAAGCATCAGAACTGTGTTGCAGTGTTCGAACTACCATTTGACATAGTTTTCCCATTATGTTACAACTTCTCATTGCAATCCCTGTAAGCTCCTTGAGGGCAGGGATTATATTTTACACTTCTTTGCCTTGAATGTAGTAAAAATTTAACAAGTGGATTAATAGTAGGTTAAAAGGCATTTTCCAAGAAAAAGACTTGTTTTGCTAATTATTTAGTTATAGAATGCTCTTATTTGTTCTAAAGACAAGGAATAGCCAAACTGAGGCCCGGGAGGTAAGGAGATGGGCTTGGAAGGTTGCTAGGCCTCTAGTTCTGGCAACCCAGTGTAAAATCCCAGGTCTAAAATGCGCTAGCTGAAGGACCTTGGGCAGGTTATTGCATCTTTTTACACCTCAGGTTGCTCATTTACAAAATGGAATAAATACTAATTTTAGGCCATTTTGTGGTGACTATGAAATGCAAGTTCTTAACATAATGCCTAGTTTTATGCTGAATAAGGATTAGCTCATACTAATGGTTAAAAGAAAAAATTGACTCAGGGAAATATGAAGATTGATATTTTTTTAAATGGGGGTTGGTGGTTTGGAAACCAATAAGCACTGTTAGTCTTTCTATTTCTTTTTAATTGAATAAGCAGTAAGCCAAAACAACTATGACTTGCTTGATGTTTTAAAATGCTTCTATTATGTAGACCAAACTTAAAACTGTAAGAAAAGCTGTTTGAGACACCATCCTAAAGAATCACACAATTAAAATTCTAGTTTCTCAGATGCTAATGTTTTTTATTATTTTATTATTTTAACCCATCAAGTCTATGAAGAAAGACAAGAAAACTGTAAAACAAATCGAACAGCAAATTAAAAAGAAAGTGGTGAAAATTTACAGTTGAGAAAACAGTGCCCACTCCTGACATATACTCCAGAATAGCTTTATTCTCTCTTCCAATATTTGCATCTTAATTTGTAAACAAAATTATTCATGCAGCTGTCCATTGACATTCCAGAACTTTAAAGGTAGGATGCAAATTAGGATCCAAATTAGGATGTAAAGTCCGTGAACCACTCAAACAAGTTGCAGTGAGATTACACTCCTACCTGGTGATTATTCCTGATTCATCAGAAGAGGCAGTATCTGTTCATTTCAAAACTAACTTGACACTGATTCCTTCCAGGTGCTTAAAAAGTCAGTTTCCAAAGCAATTAAACATGAACAAAGTGCATCAGAACTTCATCTCAGTAATTCATCATAGTAACATAAATTTTTTTCATGCAAAATTATAAAATGGGGATTGGAAATTGGATGCCAAATATTGTTTGAGAAGTCATTTTTGATAGCCACATGAGCAGATGGCTGCTAACAGTTGCAAGCAGGGAACCAGGAGCCAGGCAGTCTGCGTTTAAGTCCAGCTCTGCTGCGTACTAGCCCGGCTCCCTCTGTGTCTGTCTTTCAGTGCCTCAGTGTTCTCACCTGTAAATCAGAATCAAAACAGGACCTCCCGCACAGGGCTGTGGTGAGGATTAAATGGATTATTCCATGTCATCAGTATAATGCATGGCACCAAGGAGGCCTCAGGAGATGTTTTGATCATGATCCTGCATATTTATCTCTAAAAGATGAAGACAACTGTTTCAGAAATTACCATGAGATAGACTATTACATTTTCAAATTCCTAAGGTGAAGAATTGAATAGAAAGGCTAGAAAAGTACAGTGAAGCCTTTGTGGACAGAGAGGGTTTACTTCCTCAAGCATTTGTAGGCCCCCAGTCCTGCTGTCATTCGTTTTTTCCCACAAGCAGAAATGTAATTGCCTATCTCCAGTGATAAATAAAGGGTGCTGAGCACCAACCCACTGTGCAGTCTGAGGACTTTCTTCAATGTCACAGGGCTGAGCTTCTAGGATGTCCATAGGAACGAGGCACACACAGGGCTGGAGGGTGTGATGGCTGACTCCCTGTTTTCATGAGCTGCAGGGAGGGTGGGATCTGGACCTGGGCCTCAGACCCAGCGTCACCCTCTCTGCTGCTTTTGGGGCCCAGAGTGCATCAGAGAGAAGACAAAGTCCTGTCCCTCCCTGAGCGATGTGGATACACCATCCAGAACTTTGTAGTTTTTTGTTGTTTTTGTTTGTTTTGTTTATTTTTTTGAGACAAAGTCTCACTCTGTCACCCAGGCTGGAGAGCAGTGGCACGATCTTGGCTCACTGCAACCGCTGCTTCCTAGGTTCAAGCAATTATCCTGCCTCCATCTCTGGAGTAGTTTGGATTACAGGCACCCACCACCATGCCTAGCTAATTTTTTCTATTTTTAGTAGAAATGGGGTTTTATCATGTTGGCCAGACTGGTCTCGATCTCCTGACCTCAAGTGATCTGCCTGCCTCAGCCTCCCAAAGTGCTGGGATTACAGGCGTGAGCTACCGCGCTCAGCCCTCTCAAGAACTTTTGTAATAAGAATGGGTTGTGCATGAAAATAAGCTCCAGTTGTTTGTATCAGAGACTGACATTCACCTAACATATAATCGTTATACATGTGGATGTAAAAGTTATACTGATTATACTATTCACAATAGCCAAAAGGTGGAAACAACCCAAACTTATCCACTGATGAATAAGTGAACAAAGTGTGGTACATTGGCAAAATGAAATATTCTTCAGTCATTTAAAAAGAATGAAGTGTTGGGCCAGGTGCAGTGGCTCACACCTGTATTCCCAGCACATTGGGAAGCCGAGGTGGCTGGACCACCTAAGGTCAGGCGTTCCAGACCAGCCAGGCCAACATGGCCATACGTCGTCTGTACCAAAAATACAAAAAAAAATTAGCTGGGCGCAGTGGTGTGTACCTGTATTCCCAGCTACTAGGGAGGCTGAGGCAGGAGGATCGCTTGAACCTGGGAGGTGGAAGTTGCAGTGAGCTGAGATCACGCCACTGCACTCCAGCCTGGGCAACAAAGTAAGACTCTGTCTCCAAAATAATAATAATAATAATAATAATAAATAAAAACAAAAGAATGAAGTACTGATACAATGTAGATGAACCTCAGAAACATGATGTTTTATGAAAAAGCCAGGTACTGTATGGCCCCTTTACATGAAATATGCAGAATAGGTAAATGCATAGAGACAAGGGGCAGGCTAGTGGTTTCCCAAGGCTGAGGAAGAGGCAAAGGGAGGGATGGCTTTATGTGTATGGAGTTTCCTTGTAAGCTGATAACCATGTTTTGGAACTAAATAGAGGTAATGGTTGCCCAGCACCATGAATGTAGTAAATGCCACTGAACTGTACATGTTAAAATGGTTAATTTTATGTTGGGTAAATTTTACTTTGATTTTTTTAAAAACTGATTTTTATTTATTATTATTATTATTACTATTATTATTTTTTATTTATTTATTTTATTTTATTTTTTTGAGACGGTGTCTGGATCTGTCGCCCAGGCTGGAGTGCAGTGGTGCAATCTCAGCTCACTGCAAGCTCCGCCTCCTGGGTTCACGCCATTCTCCTGCCTCAGCCTCCCAAGTAGCTGGGACTACAGGCGCCCGCCACCACGCCTGGCTAATTTTTTTGGTATTTTTAGTAGAGACGGGATTTCATCGTGTTAGCCAGGATGGTCTCGATTTCCTGACCTCGTGATTCGCTCGCCTCGGCCTCCCAAAGTGCTGGGATTACAGGCGTGAGCCACCATGCCCGGCCTAAAAACTGATTTTTAAAAAATCAGGCTCGGTCTGTAAGAATGAGTTAATTCTTCCTGTGAGTGTCAAACGTCCCCTATTAGAGATAACAGGAGTCCTGCAGCTGCTTGGTGAGAAGTTAGACCCGCAGCTCTTCACATTCTTGTGCAGTTTTCAGAGGTCAGAAACATCTTTATCGCACCAAGAAGCCCCCTCACCACCACCACGAAAAATAAATATAAATGCCAGATAAAAAACAAAAAGCAGCTACTTGCCGGTGTCAGAGAGTGATCACAAAGGCCAGGAATGGAAGGGCCAAGAATCCAGGGAGAAGGGAAATGCGTTGAATTGTGTCAGCGTTCTCCCTGCACGTATTTGCTGCTTGTTCAGTATTGAAGGTCAGAGAGACCGAGCAGAATGCTTAGAAACTGTTGACAGTTTCCTAGGTCTGGGGAGATAAAAGTGGAGTTCAGGGCTATAGAGGCAGTGAGCGAAGGCTGGAGGCGCTCAGATCCTCCCGCGGGGAAGGGGTTCTGAGCTGCATCCTAAGGCACTCACCGTTGTCAGTCCGACGAAACTGCTGGAGAGAAGGTGAGGACAAGAGTTCTGAGGGTATTAACTGTGGCCCAAGAAAACTCACCAAGATCCTGGGGAAATCAGAACCTCCAAACAAGGAGGGCAGGCCCCGGGCCTCTGGTGTTGCAGTGGTGGGGGTCCCATGTGGGTACAAGGACAGCTGAACGGACCCGCTCTGTAGCCTCTCGGGCACAGGGTATGGTGAAATACACACCTCCCCATGGCACAGTGAACCCTGAGAGCACTATTTCTAGTCCCTAACGTCCACTCACCGCTGCATGGTTTGGGCTTTCACCTGACCACCTGTCCCTACAGCCTGCCTTTGCTCTCTGCCTTCTCCACCCTCTCCCCATAGCATTCCTTTCCCTGGCTTCCTTCCTCTGGGTTCAGGAGTCGCTGAAAGGCCTGGAATCCCACAAAGGGTCAATATCGTCGTGCCCACTTCAGGCAGGAAGAGATCCATGTTCGCTCCCCACATGATGATAGAAACAAAATCTGTCGGCTGGGCACGGTGGCTCACCCCTGTAATCCCAGCACTTTGGGAGGCCGAGGCGAGCGGATCACGAGATCAGGAGATCGAGACCATCCTGGCTAACATGGTGAAACCCCGTCTCTACTAAAAATTACAAAAAATTAGCCGGGCGTGGTGGCGGGCACCTGTAGTCCCAGCTACTCAGGAGGCTGAGGCAGGAGAATGGCCTGAACCCGGGAGGCGGAGCTTACAGTGAGCCGAGATCGCGCCACTGCACTCCAGCCTGGGAGACAGAGGGAGACTCCCTCCCAAAAAGGAAAAAAAAAGAAAGTCTGTCAGGAGGAGAATTCTGTCCCCTCTGAATGAGGGGAGCCTGGCAGGACCCTCTGCTGAACAGATGCCGAGGGCT
Source organism: Homo sapiens (assembly GCF_000001405.40). NCBI lineage: Eukaryota > Metazoa > Chordata > Mammalia > Primates > Hominidae > Homo > Homo sapiens. The sequence continues at coordinate 62,129,521 of NC_000009.12, read as the reverse complement.
TTCTAACCGCAGGCGTCTGTAGCAGGGTGGGAGCGTGTAGGTGCTTCGGGAGCACCCGAAGCAGCTACAAAGGCCCTGGCTGGTGGCTGGTGAGAGAATCCTACAACATCCAGGTGTCCTGAGCAAGGGTGTGCAGGCTGCGGGGAGGGAGCTATGAGTGTTGCTGAGGCCAACCTGGAATGTCTTCTTTGTGAGCACAGACTCCCACCTGGCGGTCCCCCAGGTGCCTGGCTGTCTGTTGGGAAGCCGTTCTCTGCCCCTCGCCCCACCCCCACCTCACCAGTTAGGAAACCTGGCAGGAATCTCCCCACGGATCCCTTCACACCTGCTTGGAAGGTTGGGGAGCAGGATGCTGACCCCTTTGTGTGGTTCCAGGCTATAATAGCTAATTAACCTGGTAAATAACAATTAATCTAGTGAACCTAAATTTGAATACCCTTTATATGAGTTTTCTTTTAATGTGTAGTATTTATCAAAAGAAATAATCTTCTTTAAATTGAACTGTGTGGGGTATCTGATATTTGTGCATACACACACACAAACACACACACACACATATATTGCATGTTCCATGGTACAGCATAGTACAGGAAACCAGGTGAATGGAGGGTCTGCTCTCAGCTGATGACTGGCAGACCAGCCACTGAGGAAGTGAGCAGGGCTGCCGGAGAGCCTGGGAAAGCACTGCATATGGGGAGGGGCGGGGAGGGAGAGGGCAAGGGAGGCTTTAGGGACAGGTGGCAGGAGATGGGGTGGGTGATGTGCGTGGAGTTTCCATCCACCTCTACCTATGAGCAAGAGCAGCCAGGAGAATGCCACACATGCCCCATGTCCTGGGCCTTGTGTGAATAACTCTGGATTCTGCTTCTCTGTAGGTTTTTTTTTCTCAGTTGAGTTTCTCACTAATTCTCTACTGTATTAGTCCATTTTCACACTGCTAATAAAGACATACCTGAGACTGGGCAATTTACAAAAGAAAGAGGTTTAATGGACTTATAGTTACAAGTGGCTGAGGAGGCCTTACAATCAGGGTGGAAGGCAAGGAGAAGCAAGTCATGTCTTACATGGATGGCAGCAGGCAGAGAGAGAGAGAGTTTATGGAAGGAAAATCCTCCTTATAAAGTCATCAGATCTCATGAAACTTTTTCACAATCACAAGAACAGCATGGGAAAGACCTGCCCCCATGATTCAATTACCTCCCACTGTGTGCCTCCCGCAACATGTGGGAATTCAAAATAAGATTTGGGTGGGACGAAGCCAAACCATATCATCTACCCCCACAGAAAAAGATGCATGAGGAAGGGAATCTCAGGAACAAGGAATTGATTCCAGTGTGAAACTTCCTCCTGGATGCACATGCAAAATCTTTAGTTTTGTGTTTCTTCAGGACACAGCTTGGGATCATCTGTGATGTCCTCCTTTCCCCGGCAAAGCGGATAATGCTGCCATGGGGCCAGGCCTGCCCTCATGCAGCTAGGGGTCACATCTGCCTGCACACAGCATGGGAGAGTGTGGAGGAGGAGGGACAGGACCCTATTTCCAGACAATTGTCTAACAGGAAGAGGATCATAAAATCCTAAGATTGGCTAATCAACCTCCCTGTTCTACAGATGAAGAAACTCACACTCCCAGGACAAGTGACCTCTCAGGACCACACAGAAAGAGAGTTGATGTAATAATTGTAGTAAGTGTTAGAACTAGCCAACTCTGATTATGGGCTGACTCATTTCATAGCACCTTATATAAATTATGCCTTTTAAATCTAGAAATTGGGTTCTGCTGTCATTATTCAGAATTTTAAAATGACAAAACTGAAGCCAAGTGAGATGAAATAATTTTCCTAATTTTCTGAACTCAGAAGTGGCAGAGCTGAGCGTTCCACCCAGGCAGCCTCGGCACTTTCAGCTTAGGGACCCAGCCATGTATTCAGTGCACCAGCACGCAAAGCCTGCCATTCCTGAAGGCTGTTTTTGAAAATGTGCAGGTTACTTCCTTGAGACCCACATTTGGCAGACCTGACCCTTCTCACCATAGTGTAATCAATGTTCAGCCCCCTTCTCCAATTTAAAGTGACAATTAGTAGGCTCTGTGAAGAATGAGGCATTTTCAGATGTTTTTGGAGAGAGGGGTCGTGATGCACTTATCTGGAGATTACTTGTCTAGGAAACTAACTACTGAAGTGTATGCAAATGAAACTGTTGCAGACACAACAAAACAGTATACAGTCAACAGCTAGACTATACTCAGCAAAGCACAATAAAAATCCAGTACACTTAGATTTGCCTAAACTTTAAATGAGTTTTCTTTGAATACCTAGTATTTATCCAAGGGAATTGTTTTTAAACTTAAATGTGTATACGTATCTTGTGTTTGTGTGCACACACACACAAACACCCCCCCACACACACATATTCCATGTTCCATAGTATAGTATAGGAAACAAGGGAACACATCAGCTTTTGCCATCTTCATGACAAGCCAGGAATTAAAACTAAGTAAATTAAATACTAATGAAATATAATCCTTTAATTTCTAAGCAAACATTACTTTGACTTTAATTTAATCAACAAGATTATTTAACGTTCATTGAAAAATCCATATTCCTGCATTTATACTCATGAAGCTTAACCAATTACAGAAGAATACAATACAAATAGTTTCTAAATGGACATAGAATTTAAATTCAGATTTTAATGAACTAACTTCTGGACATTGTAGAGTAGATAATGTAGTCAGAATTTTGCAAACGTTGGAGTGTATACTTAGTAATGGAGTTGATTAATAAATGTAAATGCAGTAAGATTGAGAATGGAATAGATTAAAACTTTATTTTATTCTTCTTGCCAGCTCTGTGGCTACATGGGTGTGAACCAGAACGAGGCAGAAGGGATCTATTTTTCTATTTAGTGCCAATGAGCCCCCATGGATCTATGCAGGGGCAGGGTGCTTTGTGCAGATGAAGGTAAAATCCCTCCCTGAGAGCAGGTCTGTGCTCAGGGGTGTTGGCTTCTCCATTCACAAGCGTCAGGTGGAGCTTGGGTGGAAACCACCTTGATTCTTCAGGGCAGCTGCTCTGGTTTGTTCCAGTTTTAGAGTTAGATTGTTTCCTTTAAGAGCCCTCTACCTCACAGTAACAGACTCTGGTATGGATTTGCATTAGTTGTTTATTTTGTTTTGTTTTTGCCCAAGTAAGAAATTGCACATTTTTCCTTGCACTCTAAAGTCAAAAAGCCGAAGTGGGAATCATTATAAATGCAACATCTGAGTTTCTGTTATAGCTCCTTGTTCTTGGAAATGTTTCATTTGCATCAAGGTCGTGCCAGACATGGTAATGAAGGCCCTGAACAGAGGGAGAACCATCAGGGACTGCTGTGTGAGCAAAGCGTGGACTTTCATCCTGAAAAATGAGTGCATCCGTAACAACATCCTCAAACATAGACGGCTCTGATTAGCGCTCCAGGAGCCCTCTCTCTAAAAACATCTGAAAATGCCTCCTTCTTCCCGGGGCTCACACGAATGGGGTAAGTCTCACGAAGGAGGGGCCTTGGTGCTCAGGAGGTGAAGCGTGCGCCGTTCTCCAGGTGTGCACGTGGGTCCGAGGAATCAGGAGCTCAGGCCGCACAGCCCCGCTGCTGCCGATCACTGCTCACAGCCCCTGAGCCCTGCTCAGAGGCAGCAGCATTTCCTACAAGGGGCAAGGTGCGGCAGTCACCAGGACACCCTGGCTCTTATTTGCAACAGCTGCTGCATTACCTAATAGCCACCCATGGCTTCACGAGGAGGGATGCTCACAGCCCCCTGCAGAGCAGCCGCCTTGTTCCAGCGCCACAGGGAAGCGTCTGCCTTGACTTCCACCCACGCAGTGTCCGCTTCCACACAATCACCCTGAACGGCAAAGGCTAAACACTTTGGTAATCCAAAACAGTAAACCCCAATTGTGCTACTCATAGTCCAATTTCTAAACTTTTACACTACAGCTGTTGAAAAATTCTAATGTTTATTTCACTGCCAGAATCAGCAGGGTAATGGATGTTTCAGCAATAAACATCATGAGCAACACATGAAATCTAATTAGCATCATTCCAATTTGCAACAGTTAAATAAATTATTACTCTGGGCTTTCTCCCCCCTAGATACCAATGCTTAGATTCCTGTAAAAATGTCAACTCTAGAAAAATCCTCTTTCCACTTCCAATTTTTTCTAATTCAATCTGTTTTCTAGTATTTCTTTAGAAACAAACTAATGAAATTCTCTATCACCCAGCTGTATTTACAACAGAGTAAGCTTTGTGACACCCTATACATGGAGTTTGCACAGCAGCAGTATCCATGGGAAAAAATAGTGGGACTGTGTCCCAGTGATCACAGACGAAGGATGCCAGGACACTCTGTCAAAGGAAACTCAGACCTCCACATAGGATGCTTGACTCAGGTCCCAGGTACTATCACCATGACTGTCCCCCACAATTTTCCCAGGAGGGAGGCACGAGTAGGAGAGAACAGCCCCTGTGATGTCAGGGCCAACCTGTCTCCAGCCTCCGTTCTGCTAAGTGACTCTAGAAGTTCCTCTCCCATCTCTGGCCCAACTGACCATGTGTCGGATGTCTGGGAAAAGGGAACACAGACTTGATGATGATTCCTGGTTCCGAGCTCATGTCACTGTGCTCCCAGGCTGTTGACACAAGCAGGAGCCCTGGGTTTCTTGGATTCTAGCACATAGTTAATAACACAAACCCTGACAGCCTAGGTTTGAGCTGGGGTTGGTTAGGGGTGGGCGGTGGTAGGGGAATAACTTGGGAAAGTTATTTAACCTGCCTGGGTCTAAATTTCCTTGTCGCAAAGTAGGGAAAATAGTTGTATTTACATGGCACGTCTGTGATGTGAATTAAATGTCTGGCACCTAGAACAGTGCCTGGCCCCCAGGATTTGGTGTGTAAAGAGTCCAGGTATTGGTACGAGTCCATGTCAACTGTCTTCCCTGATCCCCAAACCCAGCTGCACCCATTAGTAACTAAAATGAGGCGGGCAAAGGGGATGAGTGGTGAGTGGCAATGATTGCTAAAGATAGGTCCAGAGACTATATTTCTTAAGACATTCTGGGTCAGGAATAATTACATATAATCCAGCCAATAATTCCAAATCTATGTATTTATTTAATAAACTTTTATTTAGGGCACGAAGGTGTCAAATTTTGTCCCAGGCACTTTACATATATTTAATCATTTAGTCTCCTCACAACCCATGAGAAATAACCATACTGTACTATCATTATCTACAAAGAAACATGAAGTAAGACCCTAGAGAGAGCCTCCAGCAAAAGGACATCTGTGGTCATCATACATTTTTCAAAAAAAGTTCAATGACAAAAAACCAGTTTTATAAAGTGTATGTTGAACTGTGATAAACTAGCAGTGCATTTAAGAGTGAAACACTGGCGTTAAAAATGAAAGCATCCTTGGAAAACAATCCAGCCCACCTTTTTGTCTCTGTTTTGGTACAATTGTGTTTTTTGTAAACTTCACAGCAAACAACAATATTTTTACCTTTGCATCCTTCTGTCCTCCCTGAAAGCTAACTCTCTAGAGGGAGAGAAAACAATATGGGGTTTGATGCAAGGCAGTGCCTAGCGCCAGGGCAGAGGGATGCACGTGCCTTATAGGAGCCCTTAGGGGCAGCGGGCGGGGCAGCAGCACAGATGCATACTTGGCGCTGTTCGGAAGGAGGGATGTTCCAGGTGCTGGGCGAAGCAGAGGAGGCGCAGCCGTGGGGCAGGGCACAGTGAGGCTGGGCATGTGGTGGCCCATGGGCACCTTGGTAAACCTGCTTGGGGGCTTCTGAGCCTCCACTTGTTGAAAAACAGAAGAAAGCCAAGGGTTAAGCCAGTAGAGGAAGGAACCACAAAGGTGTTTTTGCATGGTTAAAACAAGGAGATGGTCGAAGTATGATTTCATGGATCTGTGGTTTATCCACATGCAAAGAGAATTTTTTTCTTAGGTTCAGAACACTAAAAGAAGATAACATTGTGAACAAATCTCCCAGGGAATCCACTCGAGAGATGAGGCACACTGACCACAGATGAGTGAGGTCCTCAATTATTAAAGTCTAGTTGCTCCATTAGGATGAAAGTCTCTGTGGGAAGTAACTTCTAATTAAAGCTGGAGGTGTTCCTTTATACTAGCAGTTCTTGAGGGAAACTGGGTTGGCCATCACAGTGGAGACTAGAGAAGGCTGGGGTGGTCCCTGGATACTAGAGGGAAGTTGGGGAGAAGTGGTGGACAGTGCAGCCCTGTCACAGCACAAGCTCCTGGTCATTGGAGAATGGCTGACAGAGGAAACCCTGCCATGACCTAAGCTCTTAAAGTGTCTGTCAAACTCTTAGGTTTATTAGACTTGAAGTCCAGTAGTCAAGCTCAGTAACTCATACCGGGTCTGATAAGCTGTGATGTCACATTCCCGAGGGGAGGAGAAGTAGCTCCAAGTTCTCATGTATGGGGTCTGATAAGACACCTTGTTCTCCAAGGGAGGGGAAAATACACTCCCAGTCCTTACTAAAGCAAGGCATATGTTGTCCAAAGGACCACCAGAATGGCTTGAGAGTAGAAAAAAGAGTTTTATCAGCAATATCAGTTTGCAAACCAGGGAGAGATCATCTCTGGTGAGAACCAACAGAGCTCTTGAGAGGTGAAGCCAGCTGGACTTCCTGGGTTGCGTGGGGACTTGGAGAACTTTTCTGTCTTACAAGAGGATTGTAAAACGCACCAATCAGTGCTCTGTAGCTAGGATTGTAAAACGCACCAATCAGCGCTCTGTGGCTAGCTAGAGGTGTCTAAAATGGACCAATCAGCACACTGTAAAATGGACCAATCTGTGCTCTGTAAAATGGACCAATCAGTTCTCTGTAAAATGGGCCAATCAACAGGACATGGGCGGGGACAAATAAGAGAATAAAAGCTGGTCACCCTAGCCAGCAGTGGCAACCTGATTAGGTCCCCATCCACACTGTGGAAGCTTTGGTCTTTCGCTTTTCACAGTAAATCTTGCTGCTGCTCATTCTTTGGGTCCGTGCCATCTTTAAGAGCTGTAACACTAGGCTGGGCACAGTGGCTCATGCCTGTAATCCCACCACTTTGGGAGGCGGAGGCAGGCGGATCACGACGTCAGGAGATTGAGACCATCCTGGCTAACACTGTGAAACCCCATCTCTACCAAAAATACAAAAAATTAGCCAGATGTGGTGGTGGGCACCTGTAGTCCCAGCTACTTGGGAGGCTGAGCAGGAGAATGGTGTGAACCTGGGAGGTAGAGCTTGCAGTGAGCCGAGATCACGCCAGATCACGCCACTGCACTCCAGCTTGGGCAACAGAGCAAGACTCCATCTCAAAAAAAAAAAAAAAAAAAAAAAAAAAAAACTAACACTCACCAGGAAGGTCCGCACCTTCATTCTTGAAGTCAGCGAAATGACGAACCCACCAGAAGGAACCAACTCCGGACACATCTTGGAGACCACGAAGGGACTATCGCCAAGTGGTGAGTACCACTGGAACCCTTTTGCTTGCTATTCTGTCCTATGTTTCCTTACAATTTGGGGGCTAAACACCAGGCACCTGTTGGCCAGTTAAAAGCGACTAGCACAGCCACCAGACTAAAGACACAGGTGTCAGGCTTTCTGGGAAAGGGCTCTCTAACAATCTCTGACTCTTCAGAGCTGGGAGCATTGGTTTGCCTGGAACCAGCTTCCGCTTTCCCTGTACTTCTGGGCTGAGCTGAGGGTCGATAGAGAGGAAAGCCATTCAGCTCCGGGGTCCCAACAAAAAGTTGGCTGACCCTGCAGCCATGAGCGGAACTCTCAAAGGCATGTCGCCCAAGCAAGACTCACCCATCTACCCTATCTATCCTGACCCTTGTCTCCTGGGTCCTAACGCCTGTCAGACAAACTTCCTCCTGTCTCTCTTCTCCGAGGCTAGTCCTGCTTCTAAAAACCACTCCCTGTCTCTGGTGCTTTTCTAGATTCTCCTATAAGAATGATTTCTAGTATAAATTTTGGGACTCTGTTCCTTTCTTTAGGCACCCAGGCTCACCAATCAGAAAGATATAATCTTTGCCCAAAGTCTTGTTGTGGGGTGGGGGACTATCTGGGATTTTAGGATCCCTCCTCAGACTAGCAGACCTAACAAAGGTGATTCCCGAAGCTAGGATATGGGTAGCCTCAGAAATTATATCCTTCCTATTCATATGATAAGTGAGGACAAAATGTGTTACTCTTCCAACCTGGGAGATTCCTTCCCTCCTTCAGGGTATAGCCCTCCACTCTGTTTTGGGGGCATATCATCTTTATAGGACAGGGGTAAAGTCCCAATACTAACAGGAGAAAACTCTTAGGACTCTAACAGGTTTTCGAGAATGCATCGGTAAGGGCCACTAAATCTGACATTTCTCGGTCCTCTTTGTGGTATAGGAGGAAAACTAGTGTTTCTGCTGCTGCTTCGGTGAGCGCAACTATTCTGGTCAGCAGGGTCCAGGGACCGTTTTGGGTTACGGGGCAGGGCTTTCGCTCTTCACAATAAATCTTGCAGCTGCTCACTCTTTGGGTCCATGCCACCTTTAATAGCTGTAAAACTCACCGTGAAGGTCCATGGCTTCATTCTTGAAGTCAGCGAGACCACAAACCCACTGGAAGGAACCAACCCTGAACACACTCTCTCTGAAGAACGAAGAGAAGGTTAGAGGTTTTATAAAAAGGAGAAATGTTATGTATTCCTCTTTGAGTAAGTTCATTGGCACTAGGAAGGGTTTGGGGAGCTGGCAAGCTCTGAATAATGAGCAAAGGTGGTGCGAAAAAGTAGTCACAGAATTGTAGCAAGTTATCTCAGAAGCTATGGATAAAACTGGTCTCAAAAGCAGTTCCAGTAGTCAGGCTTTCAGAGATTACATTCTTGGAGCAACATTTTGTAACATGAGTGCTTTATCTCCTGGCTTCTCAACTCTGTTTTAGTTGGATGTGATAAGAATCACATGCACATGTATATTTATTGCAGCACTATTTACAATAGCAAAGACTTGGAACCAACCCAAATGCCCATCAATGATAGACTGGATAAAGAAAATGTGGCACAAATACACCATGGAATACTATGCAGCCATAAAAAAATGGGTTCATGTGCTTTGCAGGGACATGGATGAAGCTGGAAGCCATCATTCTCAGCAAACTAACAGAGGAACAGAAAACCATGCTCTCACTCATAAGTGGGAGTTGAACAATGAGAACACATGGACACAGGGAGGGGAACATCACACACCAGGGCCTGTCCGGGGGTAAGGGAAAAAGGGAGGGAGAGCATTAGAACAAATACCTAATGCATGCAGGGCTTAAAACCTAGATGATGTGTTGGTAGGCGCAGCAAACCACCATGGGACATATAAGAAACCTGCACATTCTGCACATGTATACCAGAAGTTAAAGTAAAATTTAAAAAAGAAAAAGCTAGAAACTGATCTCAGGGCATCTAGAAACAAACAGACAAAAAAAGAATAACCCAATTTGTACAATCAACCTTCACACATGTATCATTCAGGTAGCAAACTATGTAAATGTTTGGAGTAATTTCATAGCTGCATAACCAAAGTAGAGCAGGAGGGCCCAGAAGGGCAGAAGACAGGAACAGGTAGGGACATGCCCAGGCAAAGCCCTGTGGCAGCTTAACAAGAGTTGGGGAACTGAATCCATGTGTGATACGCCTCAAGGAGAAACACTTTCTTTCTTTCTTTTCTTCTCTTTTTCTTTTCTTTTCTTTGTTGAGGCAGAGTCTCACTCTGTAGCCCAGACTGAAGTGCAGTGGTGAGATCACAGCTTACTGCAACCTCTGTTTCCTGGGTTCAAGCGATTTCCCTGCCTCAGCCTCCTGAGTAGCTGGGATTGCAGGCACACACCACCATTCCCAGCTAATTTTTTTTTTTTTTTTTTTTTTTTTTTTTTTTGAGACAGAGTCTTGCTCTGTCACCCAGCCTAGAGTGCAGTCACGTGACTTTGGCTCACTGCAACCTCCACCTCCTGGGTTCACGCCATTCTCCTACCTCAGCCTCCCAAGTAGCTGGGACTACAGGCACCCACCACCACACCTGGCTAATTTTTTCTATTTTTAGTAGAGATGGGGTTTCACTGTGTTAGCCAGGATGGTCTTGATCTTCTGACCTCGTGATCCGCCCGCCTCGGCCTCCCAAAGTGCTGGGATTACAGTCTTGAGCCACCGTGCCCAGCCGAAAATCTTCTTTATTAAAGTAGCTGTGTTAGTCTGTTGGGCCGCCTTAACAAACTACCAGAGACTGAGTGACTTAAACATCAGGAATTTATTCTCACATGATTCTGGAGGCCAGAAGTCTGAGACCATGATTTCAGCAAGGATGGTTTCTCCTGAGGCCTCTCTCCTTGGCTGGCAGGTGCCGTCTTCTCCCTGTGTCTTCACACGGGCTTCCCTCTCGGCATGTCTGTATCCTAATCTTTTCTTAGTAGGACACCAGTCCAGTTGGATTAAGGCTCACCAGATGACCTCATTTTAACTTAATTACCACTTCAAAGACCTTATCACCAAATATAGTCATAGTCTAGGGTACTGCAGGTAAGGGTTTCAACAAATGAATTTTGGGGTAGGAAAAAACTCATCCCATAATAGTGAGATAATTTTATTTGTAAAAAGGTAGTTATAGGTCAAGAAATGCACCTGGAAGTTAAACTTTTCTTTGGAAATAAGAACCCATTAAGAACCCAATTAGGCCCATACAGGCTAATTGCCTGATAAAGATCCACAAAATTATTGTCTAAATAAATGCCTTCACACTTCTCCAATGCTTTACCACAAAAACTCAACATTTTGTGAATTTGGAGTGATTGGGTTCACAGCAAACTTTCCAGCTATATGTGAATTTTTTTGTTACTGATGCCTTATTTAGTAGATTGACCCAGCAGGACTTAATCATTGTTTAAAATGCTTTTTAAAAAAGTGATCAAAATGTATGTCATGGTGTTATAGGCGGTCGGGGGAACGCCATCATTATGCTGTTCCCAAGCTTGTGTCTTTTTAAAATTATTATTATTTCAATAGCTTTAGGGGTACAAATGGGTTTTGGCTGCATGGATGAATGGTATAGTGGGTGAAGTCTGAGATTTTAGTGCCCTGGGCACCTGAGTAGTGTTAATTATACCCAATATGTAGTTTTTAAAATCCCACATCCCTCTCCCACCCTTCCTGCTTCTGAGTCTCCAATGTCCATCATAACACTTTATGCCTTTGTCTACCCATAGCCAAGCCTGCAGCTTAAAGGAGTTTCCATGAGATAGGAAAACAGCATGTTCTGATTATTTCTCAAACTCCAAGACAGAGGTACAGATGTGGTAACCTGGATCTGGAGAAAAAATTCCATTAGTTTTGTTCCAGTGGTTTCTGTCCTCTATGCCAGTTGAAATCTAAGAAAAAACAGTTATTCCATCCTAATGAGTTAAGAATGCTTATTAGAAAATGTATTAATGAGCATGGAATTTAGTAAATATTTGGGGTTTGAAAATGATCTTATATATAATGACATTTAAAAGACTTTCCTACCAAAAATAAATCACATGGATGTACTAAGTAATCTGGAATGAAAGTAACACATATTATTTTTCATTTCAATAGATTCGGGTTAACATTTTGGTCACATTTTTCTCTAATTAGCATTTGAGTGTTAATGTGAGCTTTCCATAAATAGGTGCAAGTTACTTTAACTTTTCCATTGGTTCCCCATGAGAGATCATTGTTGTTCTTATATATGGATCTATTGAGCCCTATACTGTATGTGACACTAAAGCCCTGGGTCTCAGACTTCCTGCTCACGTTAAATATTTACTCTTCTTAGTAAGAGGAGTAAACAAAAATCACAGATGAAAAGCACTTTGAAGGACTCAGAAGATGTTAGAGCAAACTTTCTTTCCCTGTCCTCCTGTTTTCCATGTGGACGCTTCCCTAGTGTAATACTGGCCATCCCTTTCCCTCCAATAGGAGTGAATTCTCTGATTAATCAGTAACAAGGATCTGGCATCCATCTGTTGACATACCTTGACTCAGTGCAGTTAAGGATTTATGAATGAAACACCTCATACATGTTTAGTCACCCTCCCTGTTAGCCAGCAAGCAAGGCAGCATCCTCTCTCGAAGCTGGCTGCCTTCAGAGGGTCTGTTCTGTAAACCAAGGCTGTTTCTCGGACCAACTATCCCAAAACTAGGACGTGCCGAATAAGTAGAAAGAAGTATTTGTCTTATGTTTTAGTCAGAAGTTTCAGATACCAGGATAAAATCACTTTTGTCAGACCTGGATAAAATAAAGTCAGGATAGTATGAAGGAGAGATGGCTCATGCTCACATATGGGAGATAAAAACTGCTTTCAGGGACTTTCTAAAAACCCCACAAGAAACCTTTTTGCATCCTTCATGCATCTCCTGTTTTGACAAGGTTTATCACTAGATATTCTTTAGTACTGCAGTAATTCAGATAAGATATCTCAGAACACTCGCCCAGTAATGACATCTCCACCAGTGAACTGACAACAGCTCTCTGGAACCAATGAATTCTATTTCTAAGCTACTTCTATAAAACTCTCTGTTTTTGCTAATGAAAGCTTCCCTTTGCCCTTCTCTCACAGATACATTAGTGGTTTACCATGCCATGCATTCCAGTTATAATAATTGATTCTTACCCCTGAGTAAACTCAATATACCATAGAAATAAATTTTCTCTAGTGTCTTTTTTTAGGTTGACAACAGAGATGTATAGTAAGATATTTATGAGAAATTGGCTCACGTGCTTATGGAGTTTGAGAAGTCTCACCATCTGCTTTCTGTAAGCTGCAGGCCCAGGAAAACTGATGGTCTGGTTGTAGTCCAGACTCAAAACTCTCATAACCTGGGGAGTCAATGATGTAAGTCTCCATCTGAGTCAGAAGCTGGAGAACCAGTAGCACCAATGTCTGAGGGCAGGAGAAGGTGCAGGTGAGAGCAGGAGCTGGTGTCTCAGCTCAGGGAGAGAGCAGATTTTTCCTTCCTCCATCTTTTTGTTCTCTTCAGGATCTCAACAGATTGGATGGTGCCCACACGTATTGCTGAGGGTGATCTTGACTCAGTCTACCTAAACGTTAATATCTTCCAGGAACACCCTCATAGATGCACCCAAAAATAATGTCCTACTAGTTTATCTGGTCATCCGTTGGCCCAGCCAAGTTGATACATAAAATTAACCATCACAACCTAGCATTCCAACCTCATTCTTTCATCCAGCAATACTATCAAAGGTGATAGACTCTCCTACATCTGTTCCATTCCATTAACCCTAAAACCCCAACAGAAGTCTCCATAACTATGATACTGAGTTAGAAGGCAACAGCCTGTGACTTACTGGGCTGTGTCCTTTGGTGCCAATTTGTGCTGTAACCATATCAAGTCATCTGATGCTCAGAAAGAATGCTTTAGGCATACCTCAACTCAAAGTTCAGTTCTGAACATGGGATAAAGCAAGATGAATTAACATAGATTGTAAGAGCACTTCTTTTGAGAGGCCAAGGCAGGCAGATCACGAGATCAGAAGATCGAGACCATCCTGGCTAACACGGTGAAACCCTGTCTCTACTAAAAACACAAAAAATTAGCTGGGTGTGGTGGCGGGCGCCTGTAGTCCCAGCTACTCAGGAGGCCGAAGCAGGAGAATGGCATGAACCCAGGAGGCGGAGGTTGCAGTGAGCCGAGATCACACCGCTGCACTCCAGCCTGGGCGACAGAGAGAGACTCCGTCTCAAAAAAAAAAAAAGAAAGAAAAGAAAATGAGGCTTTAGCCCCGACATTTATTCTTTTTTTTTTTTTAATCATACTTTAAGTTTTAGGGTACATGTGCACATTGTGCAGGTTAGTTACATATGTATACATGTGCCATGCTGGTGCGCTGCACCCACTAACCCGTCATCTAGCATTAGGTATATCTCCCGATGCTATCCCTCCCCCCTCCCCCCACCCCACAACAGTCCCCAGAGTGTGATATTCCCCTTCCTGTGTCCATGTGATCTCATTGTTCAATTCCCACCTATGAGTGAGAATATGCGGTGTTTGGTTTTTTGTTCTTGCGATAGTTTACTGAAAATGATGATTTCCAATTTCATCCATGTCCCTACAAAGGACATGAACTCATCATTTTTTATGGCTGCATAGTATTCCATGGTGTATATGTGCCTGAAAGGTCGGGTTACTCTCTAAGGGTAGCCCATCAGACTAGACATTTATTCTTTCATCTCATTTGCTGAGAATGCACGAAGTCCCAGGTCCTGTCCTAGGTGCTGACATCAAACAGTGAACAAGCAAAAGTCCCTGCATCCATGAGGTTTCCATTCAAGTGAAGGAGTCAGGCAATAAATAAATAAATATGTACAAAATTGTGACAATTTTATGTATTAACCTGACTGGGCCACAGGATGCTCAGATATCTGGTTAAACATTATTTCTGGCTGTGTCTGTGAGGGTGTTTCCGAAAGAGATTTGTATTTAAATTGGCAGACCGAGTAAAGCAGATGGCCTCCCCAATAGTGAGCGGACATCTTCAAACCCATTCAGGGCTGAAAGTGAACAAAAAGGTCGAGGAAGCCTGAATTCTCTCGCTGCCTGATTGCTTAAGCTCAGACATTGTCCTTCCACTGCCCTCAGACTGGGACTTATCATCCCACACCCCTATTTTTTAGGCCTTTGGACTAGGACTAAACTAAGCCACTGGCTTTCCTGGGTCTCCAGCTTGTAGACAGCAGATTGTGGGACTTAGCCTTCATGAGTTCATGAGCCAATGCCTTGTAATAAATCTCATTTTACACACACATGCACACACACACACACACACACACACACACACATCCTTATTGGTTCATTTTCTCTGGAGAAGCCAAATTTAAAAAATAACATCAGACAGTATTAAGTGGGGACAGAAATCCAAATAAAGTGACAGACAGGTCATCATGTGAAATCTGGAGGGAAAGTATTCCCAGCTGAAGAAACACCAAGTACAAAGGCCCTGAGGTACAGGCAAGAGTGGCATGTCTACTGTTTTGCTACCTTGGTAAAACAAAATAAGAAAAAACAACAAAAACAAAATCACACACACACACACACACACACACACACTACAATAATTTGGAATGGAAGAGAAAATATTAGACACCATGAAGGTAACTTTCTACTCTAGCCAAACCCAAGGCTGTCCAGCTACAATTTACCATACTCTAGAACCATTAAGAGGAGAGAAGAAATTGACTTTTAATACTGGTATCTATTAATTAGTGAGCACCTACCATGTACCACAGCGTGAGGCTATTTACATATACAATTGTATATGTACAATACATACGCATATACAATTAGGTCCTTGCGGCCATCAAGTGCCGTAGGAGTTACAATTTCCATTTCATTCTTGAGAATTCCAGAGCTTGTCCTGTTTCCTAATATCAAATTATATACCCTTTGCTGTTTTCAAGGACATATGCTACAGATACATCCTGGCACAATTTGAATTTGGAATAATTATTGTTTTCCTCTTTTATCTAATCTGAGACTAGGCTAAGTGTGACAGAAAGCCATTTCTCTCATACTGCTATAATGTTTGCTTGTATTATAAGTTTTCTGTGTTTTAGTGATGTATTAGAGTGCTGTTCTACAGGGATAGTCAATAAATCCACACATAGTGTGCCATGTGAATCATCATATTGCTTTTTGAAAATCTGTTCTCAAATAGGAGAAAATATAGATATGTGCTAATAATGGTGCATCAATTATTCATTCTTAAAATACACATTAGCTAGGTTTAAAGTTCTATTCTTATGTATAAAATGTCAGAAAGATTAAGAGCTCAGGTTGCAATTCCTGAGAATAACCTCTATTCTAATTTTCCTACACTAAGAAAAATTTTCTCTTAGTGGTTGCATTAGTTTCCTACTCCTGCTGATAAACTACCACAAACTTAATGCGTTAAACAAAAATGTATTATCTTACATTCTGCAAGTTATCAGACCAAAGTAGGTATCACCAGGCTGCAATGAAAGTGTTGGAGGAGCTGCATTTCTTTCTGGAGACTCCAGGGGAGAATGTTGTCTTCCTGACTTTTCCAGATTCTAGAAGCTGCTCACATTTCTATGGCTCATGGCCCTCTGCCATCTTCAAAGCCAGCAATGGCCAACTGAGTCTTTCTAACGTCAACTCCCCCTGACTCTTCCATTTTTCAGGACCCTAGTGATTACATTGGATGCACCTGGGTAACCAAGCTCATTGACCTATTTTAACATTAGTGATTAGCTACCTTTACTCCACCTGCAACCTTACTTCCCCTTGGCCATGTCAGGTAACATTCATAGATCCCAGGGCTTAAGGGCATGGGCATCTTTTGGGGGCCATTATTTTGTCTACCACAGTGATTTTCATTCAAATTTATTCAATTAAATTTTGCTTGTCATCATGGCCTGATTAAACAGAGGTATTTTGATGGACTGCTGTGACTAGAGAGGTGCTATAATCTTCCCCACAAGTTTCCTTTATTTCCAGTATACACAACAGATTTCCATTGATTCTAAGGTAAAAATGCACAATTTGATTTAATTGCTCAGATTTGAACTGTAGCATGGTAGTCTCTTAAAAAGTTTTTTAAATAGCATAGAATTTGGGAGGGGGTTATGCTTGAAGACTGCAATGTCCATATACTTCAGGGTCTCCGAAGAGAATGACTTCACTGCTCATAAATCAGCATCTTTCTATTGATTTAGTATCACTGTGAGTTTGGTAGAGTTGGGCAGCTTGCTGATAGTTATTTGTTTTCAACTTTGCCGAGTATAACAATTTCTTATCTATTTCAGCGGTTCCCAGCAATGCCTAAAACAGCTTTACAGTTTCTAAGTCATGTTTCAATAAAAACAGTCCCAGGGCCCTGAAGTTATAAACTGATTGTAAAAGACAAGCAGTACATGGAAGCAAGAGGAAACATTAACAACAAAAACAACAGCAACAAAACCTGCGTCCTTTCTCCTCTCAATCTTCTGTTCTTTTCTCCCCTCTATGGCATTGTCTCCTATCAAATGGGCCATTGTTGTGGTGGCAAGGTGACCAACTGGTGGCCTAGAAGGCTTCTCGTCCTTTCAGAACCTTTTCACCTTGTGTAGAACCTGGTTGCCTTGATTATCTATGTAGATCTTTGCACAATTTATGCATTCATGGGCCATCTAGAATTAATGACTGACTAGATGCTTTTGTTTTTGAACAAATGTATTAGTCCTTCCACAGCATCGTGTAGTTGTTTCTGCTCCTTGGAAATGATCATAGGCTACTTTCAAATTCTCACAGATTTTTTTTTATTTGTTGTACAAATTTATGGGGCACATCTGCAATTTTGTTACCTGCATAGATTGTGTAGTGGTCAAGTCAGGGCTTTTAGGGTATCCATCAACCAAAATAACGTACATTGTACCCATCAACTAATTTCTCATCATCCACTCCTCTCATTCCACCCTCAGCATTCCAAGCCTCCATTATCTGTCATCCCACTCTCTACATCCATCTATACAGGTTACTTAGCTCCCATTTATGGGTGAGAACATGTGATATTTGACTTTCTTCCCCTGGCTTGTTTCACTTAAGATAATGAACTCTAGTTTCATTCCAGTTGCTACAAAAGACACCTCACAGAATTTTGTTTCTTTGTTTGTTTGTTTTGAGATGGAGTCTCTCCCTGTCGCCCAAGTTGGAGTGCTGTGGCGTGATCTCGGCTCACTGCAACCTCCACCTCCCAGGTTCAAGTGATTCTCCGCCTCAGCCTCCCAAGTAGCTGGGATTACAAGCATGCACCAACATGCCCAGCTAATTTTTGTATTTTTAGTACAGATTCGGTTTCACCATGTTGGCCAGGAGGGACAGAATTTTAAATGCTTATACATACACATATACCTCTTTATATTTGCCTACACAGAACTAACAAACCTTTGTGAAATGTAACCTACAGGAGATATGATCATATCCAATGCTGGACATGATGCAGATGCAATATACAAATCCATGAGGTAGACCCAGGTATTTCAGATCCTGACCTCGATCTCAGGTTTACTTATTAGACCACAGACCAAAGACTCCCACTGATGTCCCCACAGATTTCACCACCTATTTCTCTTGTCCCACACAGTCTACTCCAAAGTCACCCTCCTCTAGTCCTGTAGGGGATATTCACCTGAGATACTTCAGTGACCCTGCTCACCCTGGAAAATCAGGTGACAGGAATCATCAGTTAAGCCTGTGGACAGTGAGCATCTGTTGGCCTGGATGGTGTGGTGGGTGGAAGGCAGGACCTAATAGGGGCTTTTTATGGTTCCAGCTCCAAACCTCTGATCATGCCAGTCCATGCTGCAGGCTCCCATTCTATTTACGGTCAGGGCCACACGATTTACACTTACTGTCTCAGGTGCTTCTTATAACACTGTCTCCTCCAATTTTTGATAAGCCAATGCTTTTTTGATGGCCCCCCAAAATGCCTTTATCCTAGGCATTTTGATGTTCCCCAAAATGCCTAGGATAAAGTAGTACACAGGATATTATTTGACACCTGTTTTAGAATATATGGCATAATTCTGTTTCAACCTTTGCAACTGATATTCACACACACAAGATGAACTGATGAGCGTTTGGCCTCTCTCGAAACTACAGCTTGGACAACTAGGCTCTTCCTATGAGAGACTTTAAAACTCCTCCCGTGGTTAACAGCAGCTATGCTTATTAGGGCCAGAATGACTTATCTTCTTTTGATCACTCATGCTTGGAGCCTCAGCCTTGTCAGGCAAATTGTAGTAGAGCTGCGGGGCTTCCTCTTTTCATAGTAGAGGTTGGAACCCTGCAATCAATTCAGCAACATTTCTGAGATTTAATTTGCTATGTCTCAAGTGAAATCACTGAATCTATTATTACTACAAAGCATTGTAGTCTAGTCTCGCTTTTCAAATGCATTATAAATGTGAACACGGCCATTTAATTCCCATTCTACCTAATATATAATGGTTCTGACTTTTCACTGTTTAGTAGAAACTGATGTCTGTAGTGGTCTCTTCTACAGAAGAGTCTTCATAGTGACTTTAGTTCTCAGATTTCTGGGAAATGCCATGAAAAGACTTCTGAATATGCCACATTATCTTCTTCCTTGGATTTGATGCATTCTATAAAAGATAATTTTTCATATCCTTATAAAACAAGGATTATATATATTATATTCAAATTCATAGCTTTTAGATGTATTATCCAGCAGAAATATATAAAATAACCACCTCTGTCTATAATCAGAATGGTAGGAGCATAATTGATATTTTCTCTAGGTGAAAAATTTCCTGAGAGCACGCCTTTGGAACACTGGCACTGCTAATGCTGTTTGTAGTGGTCGGTCCTTCCCATTAGCTTGTTTTTCCCCTTAATTTATCTTCTCACTCAACCAATTTACATATTTGCAATCTCTATAAATAACTGAGCAGTAGCAATTTTATCAAATTTTTTAATTTAAAAAAGCTTTCACCTCTGTCAGCTTACTTACACTACTGCAGGCTTTTCTAATTCTTGCCCTGTTTTGTAGAAAAATGCATTTAGGCAAAATACCTTTAATCTTCTGATTAGTCATACATTGAATACGCTCAAAAACAAAAGGTAGTGAGACGAAGCATCCTGAAACAGGGTAATTTTCAAAAGTAGAAGAGAAAGCTGCACTTCCTAGACTTTTGTATTATTAGACTATCTCACAGTCTCACCTCCACACAGCAGTGAACAAACTACATTATTGCTTTTAACAAAGAAATGGACTTCTTAAGAGACTTCCAAGAATTTTTTCCTTTGTTAGTGGAAACTCACAGTCAAAATATGAATTAACTTACTCCATTAAATCAAATGACTTGAGTTAATAGGATGACTGAGTCTAGAGGAAAAACAGAAAAAATAAGCATAACAGTATTATTATTATTATGTTATCAATAATGGGAAAGGATTATTGTCATTCCTGTAGGGTAAAAAATGGCTACATAAATAATAAAGAAGAATTCTTAATTCACGTGAAATTGTAATTAATAATATGCACATGATTTTTCTTTTTAGTATTATTTGCACTGGAAGAAGAAATGGCTATCCCAACAATAAATTCTAATTATATAATTCATCAAAATATCAATGGGATTGTTGTGGTTCATATAGATTTGGATTATAACTTTTAAAAATGTAATGAAGTTACTATGCTTGTACTATGTTTCAGACACTGCGCAATGAATAAAACATTCCCTCTAAACTCAAGATACATACAGAATTGTGGATTTAATAAGCAGCACAGTGGAATTAAAATATACAAAAGGAAAAGGAACCAACACACATGTGGGAAATCAAGTATTGAAATTTAGTTGATTTTTCTTATCTCTGTACTTTTGTAAACCCGCAACACCTAGCGCAGCATTAAGTCGGCCTTAGGTAGTGAGCTCTCCCTCCCTTATTCCAGATGCCACTCTCTCCAAATGGGGAAAAGCTTTCCACTTACAGAAGGACCAGTCTTGAGTCAGGAGTAGCCATGCACTCCTGTGAGAATCACCAACTAGATGCAAATACGTATTGACTGACTTGGGATGCCATATGAGGTAAGTGAAATTAGATGCCTGTTGTGGAAGCCCAACTCACAATTTTTATTCATGTGGCCCTGAGGAAATCATTAAGCCTCAGTATCTCTTTTTTTTTTTTTTTTTTTTTGAGACGGAGTCTCGCTCTGTCACCCAGGCTGGAGTGCAGTGGTATGATCTCGACTCACTGCAAGCTCCGCCTCCCGGGTTCACGCCATTCTCCTGCCTCAAGCCTCCCGAGTAGCTGGGACTACAGGTGCCCGCCACTATACCCAGCTAATTTCTTTTTGTATTTTAGTAGAGACAGGGTTTCACCGTGTTACCCAAGATGGTCTTGATCTCCTGACCTCGTGATCCGCCCGCCTGGGCCTCCCAAAGTGCTGGGATTACAGGCGTGAGCCACCACACCCGGCCTTTTAACTTTATTTTAGGTTCAGGGGTACATGTGTAGGTTTGGTATATAGGGTTTGGCATGTCATGGTGTATTGCTGTACAGATTATTTCATCACTCAGGTACTGAGCCTAGTACCCAATAGCTGTTTTTCCTGATTCTCTCCCTCCTCCCACCCTCCACCCTCAAGTATGACCCAGTGTCTGTTCCCCACTATGTGTCCATGTGTTCTCATCATTTAGCTCCCACTTTTAAGTGAGAACATGTGGATTTGGTTTTCTGTTCCTGTGTTACTTTGCTAAGGATAATGGCCTCCAGCCCCATCCATGTACCTGCAAAGAATGTGATCACATTCTTTTTTATGGTTGCATAGTATTCCGTGATGCATATGTACCATGTTTTCTTTATCCAGTCTATCACTGATGGGTATTTAGGTTGATTCCATGTCTTTGCTATTGTGAATAGTGCTGCAAAGAACATATGTGTGCATGGGTCTTTATGATATAATGAATTATATTCACTTTGGTATATACCCAGGAATGGGATTGCTGGGTTAGATGGTTGTTCTGTTTTTAGCCCTTTGAGGTATCACCACACTGCTTTCCACACTGGTTAAAAGAACTTACACTGCCACCAACAGTGTGTAAGTGGCTCTCAGCGTGGCTGTTGTTGGTTTATAAGAATGCTAGTGATTTTTTGTACATTGATTTTGTATCCTGAAACATTGCTGAAGTTGTTTATCAGATTAAGGAGCTTTGTGGCAAAAACTATGGGGTTTTCTAGATACAGAATCATGTCATCTGCAAACAGGGATAGCTTGACCTCCTCTCTTCCTATTGGATACCCTTTATTACTTTATCTTGCCTAATTGCCCGGTCCAGGACTTCCAATACTATGTTGAATAGGAATGGTGAGAGAGGGCATGCTTGTCTTGTACCAGTTTTCAAGGGTAATGCTTCCAGCTTTTTCCCATTCAGTATGATGTTGTCTGTGTGGGTTTGTCATAGATGGCTCTTATTATTTTGAGGTATGTTCCTTCAATACCTAATTTACTGAGAGTTCTTAACATGAAAGGATATTGAATTTTATTTGAAAGCCCTTTCTACATCTATTGAGACAATCATGGTTTTTGTCTTTAGTTCTGTTTATGTGATGAATCACATTTATTGATCTGTGTATGTTGAATCAGCCTTGAATCTCAGGGATAAAGCCTACTCAATTATGGTGGATTAGCTTTTTAATGTGGTGCTGGAATTGGTTTGCTAGTATTTTGTGGATAATTTTTGTATCAAAGTTCATCAAGAATACTGGCCTGAAGTTTTCTTTTTTGTTGTGGCTTTGCCAGGTTTTAGTATCAGCATGATGCTGGCCTCATAGAATGAATTGGAAAGGAGTCCCTCCTCCTCAATTTTTTGGAATAGTTTCAGTAGAAATAATACCAGTTCTCTGTATATCTGGCAGAATTCAGCTATGAATCTGTCTGGTCCCAGGCTGTTTTTGGTTGGTAGGTTATTTATTACTGACTCAGTTTCAAAGTTCATTATTGATCTACTCAGGGATACAATTTCTTCCTGGTTCAGTCTTGGGGAGGATGTATGTGTCAAGAAATGTATCAATTTGTTCTGGATTTTCTAGTTTGTGTGCACAGAGGCAGTCATAGTAGTCTCTGATGGTAATCTGTATTTCTGTGGGGCCAGTGGTAACATCCCCTTTGTTGTTTCTAAATGTGTTTGTTTGGGTCTCTCTCTTTTCTTCTTTATTAGTCTGGCTAGCACTCTATCTATTTTATTTACTTTTTCAAAAAACCAGCTCCTGCCTTCATTGATCTTTTGAATGGTTTTTTTGTGTCCCATTCTTCAGTTCAGCTCTGATTTTGGTTATTTCTTGTCTTCTTCTAGTTTTAGGGTTGGTTTGCTCTTGCTTCTCTAGTTATTTTAGTTGTGATGTTAGGTTGTTAATTTGAGATCTTTCTAACGTTTTGATGTAAGTGTTTAGCGCTATAAATTTCCTTGTTAACACTGCCTTAGCTGTGTCCCAGAGATTCTGGTATGTTGTATCTCAGTTCTTATTAGTTTTAACGAACTTCTTGATTTCTTCCTTAATTTTACTATATACCCAAAAGTCATTCAGGAGCAGGTTGCTTAATTGCCATATAATTGTATGGTTTCGAGTAATTTTCTTAGTCATGAATTCTATTTTTAATGCACTGTGGTCTGAGAGACTGGTTAATATGATTCTGATTCTTTTGCATTTGCTGAGGAGTGTTTTGTGTTCAACTGTGTGGTCAATTTTAGAATACGTGCCATGCGGTGATAAGAATGTATATTCTATTATTCTTGAGTGGAGACTTTTGTGTATGTCTATCAAGTCTATTTGGTTCAGTGTTAGTTCAGGTCCTGAATATCTTTGTCAATTTTCTGCTTCAATGATCTAATACTGTCAGTGGAATGTTTCCTTCTCCCATTATTACTGTGTGGTATTCTAAGTCTCTTTGAACATCTCTGAGAACATGCTTCATGAATATGGATGCTCCTTAGTTGGGTGCATATATGTTTAAGTTAGTTAGATCTTCTTGTTGAATTGAACCATTTACCATTATGTAATGCCCTTTTTTGTCTTTTTTGATCTTTGTTGGTTTAAAGTCTGTTTTGCCTGAAAGTAGGATTTTTACTCCTGCTTTTTCTCTTTTCCATTTGCTTGGTAGATTTTCCTCCATTCCTCTATTTTGAGTCTATAAGTGTCATTGCATGTGAGATGGGTCTCTTGAAGACAGCATACCATTGAGTCTTGCTTCTTTATCCAGCTTGCCACATTGCATCTCTTAATGGGGCATTTAGCCCATTTACATTCAAGTTTAACATTGATATGTGTGAATTTGATTCTGTCATGTCATTAGCTGGTTCTTATGCAGACTTCTTTGTGTGGTTGCTTTATCAAATCACTGGTCTGTGTACTTATGTGTGTTTTTGTAGTGGCTGGTGATGATATTTCCTTTTTGTATTTATTGCCTTTTTCAGGAATTTCTGTAAGGAAGATCTGGTGGTAACAAATTCCCTCATCGTTTGCTTGTCTGAAAAGGATCTTGGTTCTCCTTTGTTTATGAAGCTTAGTTTGGCCAAATATGAAATTCTTGGTTGGAATTTCTTTTCTTTAAGAATGCTGAATATAGTCCCCCAATCTCTTCTGGCTTCTAGAGTTTCTTTTGAGAGATCCCCTGTTATCTCATGGACTTCCCTTTGTAGGTGACCTGTCCTTTCTCCCTAGCTGCCTTTAACACTTTTTCTTTCATTTCAACCTTGGAGAATCTGATGATTATGTGTCTTGGAGATGATCTTCTTTTGAAGTATCTTGCAGTGGTTCTCTGCATTTCCTGAATTTTAATGTTGGCTTCTCTAGCTAGGTTTAGGAAGTTCTCATGGATGATATCCTGGAATATGTTTTCCAAGTCGCTTCCATTTTCCCCATGTCTTTCAGGGATGCCAATGAGTAGTAGATTTGGTCTATTTACATCACCCCATATTTCTCCAGAGGTTTTGTTTGCTTTTTTTTATTCTTTTTTCTTCATTCTTATCTGACTGTCTTATTTCAGAAAGCCAGTCTTTAAGCTCTGCAATTATTTTCTAAGCTTGGTCTATTCTGCCATTAATACTTGTGATTGCATTATGAAATTCTTGTAGTGTGTTTTTCATCTTTATCAAGTTGGTCATCTTCTTCTCTATACTGGCTATTTTGTCTGTCAGCTCCTATATCAGCTTTTGTGTGTGTGATTCTTATCTTCCTTAGATTGGGTTTCATTGTATTCCTGAATCTTGATGATCTTCATTCATATCCATATCCTGAATCGTATTTCTGTCATTTCAGCTATCTCAGCCTGGTTAAGAACTTTTACTTGAAAACTAGTGTGGTTGTTTGGTGGAATGAAGCACCTTGACTTTTTGAGTTGCCAGAGTTTTTGCACTGGTTCTTTCTCATCTTTGTGGACTGATGTTCCTTCAGTCTTTGAGGTTGCTGACCTTGGATGGGTTTTCTTTCATTTATCCTATTTGATGACCTTGGGGTTTGATTGTGGTTTAAGGTGAGTTCAGTCAACTGGCTTCATTTCTGGAATATTTTAGAGGGCCAAGGCTCAGCTCAGGACTCCTGGACTGCATATTCTAACTCTGGGGGCTGGGATTAGGCCTGGCTTTGCTCTTTGGCTCCTCAAGGGGAAACTGCTGTTTTTGAGGGTCTGAGGTGCTCCCAGACCACAGGTCACAACACTCCAATAAGTGATACCAGCCAAAGCACTTCATAGGGTGGTGACAGTGGGATCCAGCCTCATTTGCATGTGCCAGCAGCAGTGGCAGTGGCAGTGTGGTGGAGTTTGTGTTCATCAGCTGTGGCAGAGTGCTAGCAGTTGCTGGGATGTTGGCCTCCATGTGGAGCAGTGGTGGCACCATGGCTTGGGGATAGAAGGCCCCTGCCAATAATTGTGTGTGTATCCACACTGGTGGTGGTGTTAGCATGGCAGTAGGGCACTGGTGGACACAGGACTGTATTGCCCTCTGTGCACATTCACACAGGTGGCAGTGCCACTCAGGGCAGGGGTGAGTTTGCTGTTCTCCATGTCCAATTTTGCACTGGCAGCAGTGTTGGCACAGGGGCAGGGTGCTGGTGGAGGGAAGGCTCATAGGCTCCATGCCCACCAATCTCCAGTGACAATAGCAATGTTGCAGTGGGGAGGTGGGAGTGGGCAGAGTGCATTAATGCCAACAGCAGTGGCATGGCCAGGTTTATGTGCACAGGTGCAGTGGTGGGGAAGGGAAGGCAAGGTCTGCCCACACACACACAAACCGGCAAAGCAATGTTTGGGTTGGCCATGGGCTACTGCCTGCAGGCAAAGCAACACAGGAGAGGCTACAGTTGAGGGAGTTTGCAGATGGTGTGTATTCACAGGGATCACTCTGCTAGAGCACTCTGCCAGTTAATTGTAGTCCACCAGCACAGGACCTATGGTTCAATCCCCCAGGAGGTACCTGGGGCCTGCACTGCAAGCAGGCATGGCCAGGATGGGCCCCAGGGAAGGCTAGCAGAACCATGGGGTTCTCAGCTCAGACCAGCCTAGTCTGATGGGCAAGACTGCCCTGCAGAGTTAAGGTCCCACAGATCTCACAGGGCTGAAGTTTCCTATGGGAGCAAGCTGAGCCTCGGGGGATGGGTATCCCTGGTGATGCTCCACTACAGAATTTCCCACACCAAACCCTCTGGGCTCTGCACAGTCTGGGGTTCTGCCACTAATACGTCTCCAAGCTGCTCTCCCTGCCAACTCAAGTGTCCACGGTGCTCAAGGGGTCTCCTCCTGCTGCAATTCCAGAGGCCCATGGTGAGAGCAATTTGCCTATTAAACTCACCCCTTTCGCAAGAGTCACTGGAAGCCAGGAAGGAGTCCTGGTGTGCAGTAGCCCCATGCAGGGTTCCCAGCTTCCTCCCCCTTCAGCCCAGCACCTGTGTCTTCCCTCCATCCACTCTCAATACCTTCTCTCTGAAGATCTGCTAGAAGCGTGCCAGTCTTCCCAATGTCCCAGACCCTCAGTGGGAGATGTTCCTCCTGGCTGCGTCTAGTCAGCCATCTTGGAGCAGCTCTGCATTCACCATTTCTGTTCATATCCCATTGCCAGAATCTAGTCACAAGGCTGCACTTAATGATAAAGGATGTGGGAAATGCAATCTTTAACTGGGTGGCTCTATGCCTACTTAAAACTTAGAGGTTCCATGACCAAAGGAAACAGAAGAGGGTGAACACTGGTCTATAACAAGCAATCGGTCACATCTACTTTTCACACAGTGCTGTGCATATGCAGATATGAGTAAGGATGGGGGTTATTAAGCACTTGTATTTCACCAATGCACAGCTCTGACTTCTTTCTAGTTCCTATCTTGGGACCCCGGCAGGCGTTATTTCTCTGGGAACTCTTTTGCCATTTCTGCTTTGTTGGTGGTCTCCTGCAGTGCCACTGCCTCTGTGAGGTCAGCTTCATGATGGGCTCATGAGATGATGCTTACAGTCATTCCATGATCCACACTAGCAAGTTCACCAGCTAATCAGTGACTCTTAGTTTTGCATCTTTCAATGTGTATCACTGCAGGACTGTCTTTCATCAAGTTCTTAATTCTATTTATCTTTTTTTTTTACTCAAGCAAAACATAATAAAAGAGCAAAGCCATTTACTGTTAAATGATAGAAAGCTACCTTGTGCCATCAATCAGACTTAGATCCTGTTTCTTTGGCCAGGAGCCAAGGCATAACAATTATAGTTTATTTTTTAAAGTCATCGTTATAAGGTGCATCTGTTGCCCATGATATCCAGTGATAAGGCACTCATAAATCTTGAAAGGCATTGGGGAGGCAAACTCAGCATGTGCCTTCTCATAACTGATGTGAAGGTAATTACTTTCAGTGAGATGTGTTTGTGAGCCTGTGAGCTCAAGAGATTATCTTTCTTCTGAAACCAAGAAGAATGGCAACACTTGATTCTAGAGTTCCTTTTATAACGAATGAAGCATAGCTGATGAGAATGTATTCAGACGTAAAAAAAGCCACGATAAGCAAACCATGACATCCTAATGGTCCAAAATGCCTATTTAAAACACTTGGCACTGACATCTTTCTACCTGTAACAGCTTTCCATGAGTCATTCAAAATTCCCAGGCTGGCACCTTAGTCCTGTCTTTCTGATCAGGAAAATAACCCTAGTCCTCAAGGAAAAACTAAATTGGTTAAGTGTTTGTTTGTTTGTTTGTTCGTTCGTTTTTAGACGGAGTCTCGCTCTGTTGCGGAGGCTGGAGTGCAGTGGCACAATCTCGGCTCACTGCAAGCTCCGCCTCCCAGGTTCACGCCATTCTCCTGCCTCAGCCTCCCGAGTAGCTGGGACTACAGGCGCCCACCACCATGCCCAGCTAATTTTTTGTATTTTTAGTACAGATGGGGTTTCACTGTGTTAGCCAGGATGGTTTCGATCTCCTGACCTCGTGATCTACCCACCTCGGCCTCCCAAAGTGCTGGGATTACAATCGTGAGCCACCGCACCCGGCCCTAAATTGGTAAAGTATTTTACCAAAGATTAGGAACATGGGTGTTTCGTTTTGCTAAAATCTATCCAAGATTAATTATTTCCCTCTCATGCCATCTTAAAGAACCAGAAAAAATTGGAAATGGCAACAAGCCTTCTCCTTCTCGCTGTCTTAAATCCACCCATTAGATGATTTGAGCACTCCATCTTCGCTGGCAAGCATTTAGAAATGAATAGTATTATTGCAGCCTTCCATGCTGCAGCAAGAGTAACAGGAGACAAGCTAAAGCAGTGAAGCAACCATCATAGTCAGGGACTATAGCTCTGCTCGCTGTCTACCAGCAGAACCCCAGCATCTGATGGTCCCTTTCTTGTCTCCATTCAGAAGAAAGAGAGCAGCAGGTCACAAGTGCAGACATGCAGGCAAGGTAGGACAGTATGAAGCTAATAATCACTGTAGCTCATCTCTACTGATACGTGTCTTTTTGACTTAGGTAATAAATTATCCAGTTTAAGTGATAAGTGGTTGGGATTGCTAATCGATAATTTTTTTGTTTTTTCAGCTGACACATGGGTGGAAAATGATGATAAATAAACCCCCAGGGTTCGAGGGGAACAGCCAATCATTATTAAAGCTTGGACCTAATCTCAGATGCTAGGCCACAAATCTGAAGCAAATACCAACAGCAGAGTTATTATGGTCAAAGAAATATTTTTATCTCCAGCATTCAAGGCGCTCTTAGGACTGGTGAATTTTGTTTGCTGAAAGACCTCTTCCCACCAAAAGCAGTCGCCAAACTGAAACTCACAAAAATAGTCTTGCACATGCCACACCAGTATCAGAGGCAACATCTTCCTTTACATACTCAGGATCATAAATGGCATTTATAAAAACATATATGAATGTAAGAAAACATACATGTTATGAATATCCCTGTTAACAAAGGTAGCTCAGTGGATCGGAAAACATTGGTTCCATTTTCACAGAATCCAGATAACGTCACACAAAATGTTCAATGGCCCATCTCTTCATCATCTTTTTGCTTTATAATGTGTTTTAGTTTGGTTTAATTCTGCTTGACAATGAGGATTCATTCTCATTCTCATCTGTGCACTTGTGCCTGTCATACAGTCTAGAGAGCCAGTGCCTGCCTTTCCCAGAGTTCCCTTCCTCTAGGGTTCTCAGTGCAACCTGACATCTCTCGATGTCAACGAGATAGACTTGCCTGAGATGTAAAAGCACACACAACACTATTCTCCCTCCTCCCACAGCAAGGAACAGAATTGCTGTCTTCAGCAGCCTCTGGGTATTGCCTGTGTCGCCTGTCTCCGCAGTTCTGATGCAAGGTAGCTGGAGTCCACTGTGATTCCCTGCAATATTCTCTCCTGGGCAGCAGCAGCAGCTTCTTGGACCACAGTAACAGTGGCCACCCTGAACAAGAGTGGCAGCCTTCCCTAGCTTTCCCACTCCAGTCCTATCAATAAACACATAACCACAAATATAATCCCTTTCTGCTTGAAATATTTAGAATGCTTTCTATTTTCTGGGCAAACCTGACTAGTATATGATATACCGTCTACTCCCATGACTCAGAAAATGAGCAAGAGAACATTAATGTTTTGTTTTTTAAATCCTCATTTTTAAAAAAGCACAAAGTTAATACCCACTGAAGATGAGTTAATACACACAGTGTTCTTTACACAGAATAATACATGTGCTTTGAATCATCCACTAAAGTTCACATTTTTAAGATGTGAAACCTTGCAATATATATAACACAAATCAGAATCACTGCTGCCCTATTTTAACTCTATTCGTAACATTTATTTTGTGCTTTTTAAACTTCTGACATTTAAAATGTAGTTAATACCGTAAACCCACATGAGTGAGAAAGGAGATTGGGGTTTCCTCATCTGAAAACTTAGTACTTCAGCTCAGTGGTCCTTAGCCTTGGTATATAATATTTCCCTTGGCTGCTTTAAAAAAATGTAGGGGTGGCCAGGCGCAGTGGCTCACACCTGTAATACCAGCACTTTGGGAGGCTGAGGCGAGGGGATTGCCTGAAGTCAGAGTTTGAGACGAGTCTGGCCAACATGGTGAAATCCCGTCTCTACTGAAAATACAAAAATTAGCCGGTCGTGGTGGCAGGCACCTGTAATCCCACCTGCTCTGGAGGCCGAGACAGGAGAATCACTTGAACCCGGGACGTGGGGGTTGCAGTGAGCTGAGATCGCGCCACTGCACTCCAGCCTGGGCAACAGAGTAAGTGTCCATCTAAAAAAAAAAAATGTAGGGATGATTTTAACCCAAGAACAATTAAATCAATCACTGGGGATAATAGGTTGGCCGTTATAAAGGCAGCCCAGGTGTTACTAATGCATTGCCGAGACTGGGAACCACCGCTAACACCAGGGCATCTGCAAAGGACCTTGCCTACCTGGAGACCAGAGGACTTGGACTAAGTGATATCCGCTCCTACCTATCACGTCTACAGTTTTATGGCATATCACTAGCTGCTCTCTTCTAAGGCTACGTAAGATGAAGGGAATAATGAGCATGTTTGCAACTGAGCCAATGTATTGCCAGCTCTAGAAGAAGAGTATCGAGTGAAAACTTTTTTTTTTTTTTAAGACGGAGTCTCGCTCTGTCGCCAGGCTGGAGTGCAGTGGCGTAATCTCAGCTTACTGCAACCTCTGCCTCCTGGGTTCAAGCAATTCTTCTGCCTCAGCCTCCAGAGTAGCTGGGATTACAGGCCCACGTCACCACCCCCCACTAATTTTTGTATTTTTAATAGAGATGGGGTTTTGTCATATTGGCCAGGCTGGTCTCGAATTCCTGACCTTAAGTGATCTGCCCCCGTCAGCCTCCCAAAATGTTGGGATTACAGGTGTGAGCCACTGCGCCAGGCCAACTTTTTTTTTTTTAACGCCAAAGAAAATATATGCAGGCAACCAAAAACATTGGACTAGAGTTAATGTTAAGCTTAGGATGTCTGCCTTCTGGAAGACTCGCCAGTTAATAATATGCTGTTAGAGAGCCTTAAAATGAGCCTTTTCAAGAGGTTTGGCATAGTTATGATATGAGCCAACTTAGAAATTGTTTAAGACAAAAGGTCATCAAGTGGGACTATCAGAACTGAATTTACAACAGAATTAACTTTTTTTCACTGAGGTTACCTCCGGTTATCCCCCAAAAATGTGACTTTATAAATACATGTGGGTGTTCTAGCTCTGAAGATTATTACTAGACAGCTCTGTTTTGTATTATTAATCTTTTGTTAACTCTAAAACTTACCTGTTTGTTACTCAACAGACAAAATAAATATACACTGCCAATGGGGTAGTTTGTAGTGACCCAAAAGGATTTATTGATCTCTGATATGTTTGTTCTATAAGTGTTTCAAGTTTATATACTGATGGTATACAGCATACTAACTTCATTTTAAAGACCAGAAAATATGTTCAGACTGTAGGTAAAATTTTCCATAAAATTGTACCTTTAAAGACATTGATAAGTAAGCATTGGTAAAATTACAGGTAAGTGAAATTAAAATTATGAACCTACTTAGGCACTGCTTGTGTTTTTATCTGTCATCCTAAAGTACGTAAAAAGTCACCCTCCAAAA
Organism: Homo sapiens; assembly: GCF_000001405.40. Lineage (NCBI taxonomy): Eukaryota > Metazoa > Chordata > Mammalia > Primates > Hominidae > Homo > Homo sapiens. The sequence continues at coordinate 62,097,795 of NC_000009.12, read as the reverse complement.
ATCCAATAAACATTTAAGTATAATTATTGAAACAAAAGTTTTCTTTTTGTTTAACTAGAAAGTAATAGGGGCACACTGAATCAACTCGGTTTTTTTTATTTTATTTTTCTCTATTGTGTTGCTCTTTTCAAAGTCATTCATTTCTGATCTTAATTATTGCATTCCTTTTTCTTTGCTATGGTATTTTATTTGTTCCTTCCCGCCTCCCCCCCCGCCCCCCACCAGGTCTTTACTGTAAAACTATACCATTAACTTGAGGACTTTCTTCTTGTCAAGTATAAACATTTAATGATATAAATTTCCCCCTATGCACTGCTTTACCTGCATCTCCCAAATTCTTGTATTTGATGTTTCATTTTCATTCAAAATATATTTTAATTTCCCTTGTGACTTTCTTTTTTGCCTATGGGTTGTACAGAAGTGAGTCATTTCATTTCCAAATATTTGGAGGATTTTTCAGACATCTTTCTGCTATTAATTTCCAGTTTGATTCCACTATAGTAACAGAACATTCTTCATATGATTTCAACCCTTTTAAATTTGTTGAGGTTTGTTTTATGTCCCAGTATCTTGGTAAATGTCCCATGAGCCCTTGAAAAGAATGTGTATTCTGCTATTGCTGAATAGAGCATTCAATAAATACCAAATTTGTCAAGTTGCTTAACAATGTAGTTCTAGTCTACATATTTTACTGATTTTCTGTGCATCTGTTCTATTACTGAGAGAGGAATGCTGCAGTCTCTAAGTGTAGGTTTGTCTATTTTTTCTTTCTGTTCTATCAGTTTTGCTTTATGCATTTTAAAGCTCTGTTGTTAGGTGCATACACGTTTAGTCTTTTTCTTCTTGATGAATTGGCCCTTTTACACTATATGTGGTGGCTTTTTATTTCTGAAGATATTCTTTGTTCTGGAATTTCCTGTTATCTAATACTAATAGAGCAACTGTTTGCATGGCATATATGGTATATTTTTCATCCTTTTACTTTTAACCTGTATACTTTTATATTTAATGTGAATTTATTATAGATAGATTATAGTTGATTCTTGCTTTTTTATCTAATTTGATCATCTCTGTGTTTTAGTTGGTATGTTTAGGTCATTTAAATTAAATACAGCTACTGATACAGTTGGATTTTAATGTACTATCTCATATCTTGTTTTTATTTGTTATATTTGTTCTTTGTTCTTTTTCTAACTGATTTTGAATTATTTTTAATGATTCCATTTAATCTCCATTTTTTGTTTTTTTATCATTTATGCTTCTTTTAAAAATATTTTAGTGGTTCCCTAGGTTTATAATATGCACCTTAAAAAATTGTTTTTCGTAGAGACAGAGTCTCACTTTGTTACCCAGGCTGGTCTCAAATTCCTGGCCTCAAGGGATCCTCCTACCTTGGTATCTCAAAGTGCTTGGATTACAGGGATGAGCCACTATGCCTGACCCATGCATCTGTAATTAATGACACCTTACCTATAAATAATAATATACTGCTTCTCATATTGTATCAGTCATGATTCAACTGAGAAACAGAACCAATAAAAGATTTTATGTTTGTGAATATAGGTGTGGAAAAATTTTTATGATATTTGCTATAGGGCCATGATGTTGTTATAACTGTGGGAGCTGCTTAAAGCAATCTCTGCAGGATGTTGTCTTCATGTCTGATGCTGGAGTTTGAAGTCCACAGCACAGACAGGAAGGAGACATGGATGTAGAGGGTAAGACATCAAAGACAAGCTGTATCCCACAGGCAGGAGCCCCAGAAGATGTACTGAAATCCATCAGTTCTTGTTGTTTGTATCTTGATGCTGTCATGGAGCTAAGTACACAAACTTGGCCTAGACGTCAGAGACGCTGAAAGAGTATTCAGGGAAGGTGGAGCTGTTTCAAAGCCAGCCACTGCTCTTAGCCGATGGTATGTGTCAACAGTCAGCAACAGCATGCGTAACCTACAAGACCAAGAATAGATTAACATTACCAGGGAATAGCAACCTTCTGACGGCCTTCAGAGTCATAATAAACTTCCCGAATGCAGGCTTCTTATTTCATTTCTGGTACTGAAGACAGTGCCTAACTTGTAGATAATACTCAGTGACTTGGACACCCTAAAATACATCACATCCTGCATCTAACTAAGTGGTTTTCCATACATCATCTAACTTGTGAGGTAGCCAGTGCAGGTGCACCCATGCTGCTCTTATACAGGAAAGAATGAACAACTCTGAGCAGTTCAGTGATATGTCCAGGACCAGGCAGGCAAGGGGCAGAGCCAAGGCCAGAGTGCAGAACTCATATCTGCTGACTGTTAGGCAAGCAGGGTGATTCTCAAACTCTGTGTACAACAGAATTATCTACAGATCCATCATTTAATTTAATCAAAACCCACATTTCATGGATTTACCCAAGAATTACTGAGTTCAAATCTCTGGAGGTGGAGGCCATGTAATTGTGATATACACCAAAGTTGAGGACCCCTGTGGCAAGACTTTCAGATAAATTGGAAAGATGACTTGGGGCCACATAGTGGACGACTTGGTCTCTGAGATGGTGGCTTTCAGATGTTGGCACATAAGAATGACCTGGGGCCCTCCCACAGTCACCACACTCTGGTTTTCCGGGACAAGCCAGAAATCTGTATCCTAAGAAAAGTATACCATGTACCACACTCAGTAAACACAGCTCTAAGGAGTTTCTTCCCTTTGGGAAACAGAGGGTTGCTGAATATTTCTTGAGCAAACTTTTTTTTTTGTTCAAGACAGGGTCTCACACTGTCCCCCAGCCTGAAGTACAGTAGTGTGATCACTGCTTACAGCAACCTCAACCTTCCAGGCTCAAGTGATCCTCCCACCTCAGCCTCCCACAGAGCTGGAACTACAGGCATGCACAACCACATCCAGTTATTTTTTTTTTTTTTTTTAGTTTTTGTGGATATGGGGGTCTTGCTATGCTGCCCAGGCTGGTCTCAAACTCCTGGGTTCAAGTGATCCTCCTGCCTCAGCCTCTCAAAGTGCTGGGATTACAGGTGTAAGCCACCACGCCCAACCTATACACATATTTTATATAATGTTTCCATTCTCCAAATATCCAAGCATCTATCATAGAATTTCACAGTGTTAAATGCTTCTAGACATTTTAGTTCTCTCTTAATCTTCATTTGTTTAACCATCAACCAGGTGGGGACACTTTTCATTTTTTTACTGAGGATATAGTCTAGTAATCCAATGGGGAAAAGGGTTCCTCCATAAAAATTATCTTTGTCTCCCTTTGGAGAAAGAGCAAACATTATTATTTTTTAATGCTTTGTTTAAAGTGAATTCAATAATAGTCTTTGTGAAGTCACAGAAAGTACCTTAGAGGCCTCAAAACATTTTGATGATTTCTAAATGTTTTGTTTCTCTCTCTACAGAGAAATCAGATGTTTATACTCACAAAAAACAATCCTATTGTATTGTTTTTGTCCTTGGAGTATTTTTCCTTGGAGAGGACACATGTACACTGTATGGGGAAAGCCTCAGAGGGTACCATCTTGCTTTCTCAAGTTCATTTTTTTTTTTTTTTTTGAGTGCAGTGGTGCGATCTTGGCTCACTGCAACCTCCACCTCCCTGGTTCAAGCAATTCTCCTGCCTCAACTTCCTGAGTAGCTGGGATTACAGGCACCCACCACGATGGCTGGCTAATTTTTTTTTTTGTATTTTTAGTAGAGACGGGGTTTCACCATGTTGGCCAGACTGGTCTCAAACACCTGACTTCAGGCCATCTGCCCACCTCGGCCTCCCAAGTACTGGGATTACAGGCATGAGCCACCGTGCCCAGCCTCTGAAGTTCACTTTCTGAGATTCCTAAGGAATTAATAAAATAAAACCCTGGAAAATAGCCTATGTGTGCCTGAGTGTAAGAAGGAACGCACATGCATGTGCATATGGAGACACAGAATTCCACCAACCCTGCCCTGTCACTCGGTGGGCTCTTGTCACTGTCACACACGTTCAAGAGCTAAGCATGATGCATTCAACGAGAATATGATTAGTCTCGTGCATAAGTCTACAACAATAATGAGCAGCAGACAGAATGACAGTAATAGCAGTTCTTAATTCTCCCATTTATAAGAAAGAAGATTGACTAATGAAGCTGTCTGCCAGTGGCTGCATTGTCTGAATTACTATTAGTTTAGAGGGAATTATGTTAAAAATTTTAATAACATGCAGTATAATAATAACAAAGGTTATTCATCACCAAACAAGCATTTTCAGTGCCAATGAAAGGCCCCTCCACAGCGGCTGCACTGGTGAATCCAAGCAGCCTTTTTCTGTGTGATTGCTCTGCACGGGGTCTTTGGCAACAATGAAGAAACTGGTTAGAGAGAACTAAGTTTGTAGACTCACATTTTTCAAATATAGTAATGTAAATATATTTTCCAATCACATTCCATAAGAGATGATTCATGAAATCAGACAAAAGTAAATTATCACAGGCAAGAGTAGAGCTTCCTTCCTCAGATTGGTGTTACCATAAAACATCTTTGGAGCCTTCTCTAAACGATACCAGCTTTTAGCTCATAATTTATGCTCTTCTCTGGAGTTTTTCTCTAGAGTGGAAGCCACAAATTTCTTTACTTGTGATTTAAGATATAGTTTCTCAATTAAATGGCAAGCTTCTACTGCCACCAAAAGAAATGGTAATTCAATCTACCTTAAACACTCTCATTTCTAAAAATGCTCTAAAAGCTTTGGGTAAGATTAGCACAGTTCCTGAGGCAAAAGCTTAACTTTGTTTCATACCTGTTTAAAAACTGGTAAAAAGTCGTATAGATATACTCTACAAGAAAAGTATTATGAAGAGACCCAGTGAGGAATGCTCAACAATGGAGTTAAAGGGGAAGATGTGTAGTTGTTTAACCCTCTATCTAAGATGTGGTCTGTAGCATGTTTGGGCTTATGCTGTTTGGTTGCAAACTCAGGCGTTGAAGAAAGAGGCTGTAATTTATTAAAGCCCGATAACCCCAACCCATGATGTATTGGTTTCCTGGGGCTTCACTAACAAAGTACCACAAAATGGGTGGCTTAATAACAAAACTGTATTTCCTCACAATGCTGGATACCAGAAGTTCAAAGTGCCGGAGGGCTGGTTCCTTCTGAAGGCTTTGAGGGAGAATCCACTCCATGCCTCTCCCCCAGCCTTTGGCATTGTTTGGCTTGTAGATGGTTTTTCCTCTATCTCTTCACATTGTATTCCCTCTATATATGTCTGTCTCTGGGCCCAGATTTCCCCTTCTTATGAGGACACAGTCATATTGGATTAGAGATCACTCTGATGACCTCATCTTAACTTGATCATCTGCACAGATCCTATTTCCGAAGAAAGTCATATTTACACATCATGAGGGTTAGGACTTCAAACACTTTGGAGGGCAAAATTCAACACATAACATATGCTGATGATCTTGTAGTTTACAGATGATGCTGTAACCTTCTGTTTATTTTTTTATTGAAAAACACATGACAAAGTTTATCGTCTTAATGATTTTTAAATGTATAGTACAGTAGTCTTAACTACTAATGTATGTTGTTGTGCAGTTACTCTCCAGAACCTTTTCATCTCTTGTAAAACTGAAACTATGTACCTACGAAACAACCCCCTTTTCCCTCTCCACCCAGCAATCACCGATCCACTTTTTGTTTCTAAAAGTTTGACTGATTTAGATACCTCATAGAGGTGGAATCATGCAGTATTTGCCTTTTTTGTGACTGGTTTATTTCACTTAGCATAATGTCTGTCCTCAAGGTTTGTTCATTCATGTTGTCATGTGTTTAAGAATTTCTTTCTTTTTTAAGATTAAATAATTTTCCATTGTATGTTTATACCACATTTTCTTAATCAATGGGCATTTAGGTTCCTTCCACCTTTTGGCTACTGGGAATAATGCTGCAATGAATATGGGTGAGCAAATACCTCTTTCAGATAATATTTTCAATTCTTTAAAATGTATACTCAGAAGTGAACTGCTGAAAGTTATGAAAATTCTCCATCATACTGCTTCCCATAGTGACCACACCATGTTACATTCCTGTTAACAGTACAAAAGGGTTCCAATTTCTTCACAACCTTGTCAATAGTTGTTATTTTCTATTTTCCTGATGGTAGCCATCCTAACAGGTGTGAGGTGATATCTCATTGCAGTATTCACCTGCACTTCCAGAATGGTTAGTAATGCTGAACATCTTTTCATATGGTTGTTGGCTCTTTGTATGTCTTTTTTGAGAAATGTTTATTCAAGTTCTTTGCCCATTGTTTAATTGGGTTGCTTCTTTGTTTGTTGTTGAATTGTAGGAGTTCTTTATATATTCTGGCTATTAACCCCTTAACAGATGTATGGTTTGCGAACATTTTATCTCATTCCATAGGTTACCTTTTCACTATGTTGATTGTTTCCTTTGACATGCAGAACATTTTTAAGTTTGATATGGTCCAATTTGTCTATTTTTGCTTTTGTTGCCTGTGCTTTTGGTATAATTACCATAAAATCATATCCAAGTTCAATGCCATAAAGTTTTTCCCCTGTGTTTTCTCTTAGAAGGTTTGTATTTTCGGGTCTTACATTTAGGTCTTTACAGGACTTCCCACACTATGTTGAATAGAAGTGGCAAGAATGGGCATCATATGACAAATATCTGCCCAATCCCTGCAGCCCCCATCCCTGGCAACCACCATTCTATTCTCTATCTCTATGAGTTTGACATTTTTAAGTTCCAGATATAAGTGAGATCATGTGGTGTTTGTCTTTCTGTGTCTGGCTTATTTCACTTAGTATAATGTACTCCAGATTATCCCAGATGACAGGATTTCCTGACTGGACAGAATTTGCTTCTTTTTTCAAGACTAAATTACTATTCCCATTGTGTATATATGTTACATTTGCTTTATTCTGTCATTTGTTGATGGACACTTAGGTTGATTCCAGACCGTGGCTATTGTGAATAACATGCTGCACTGAACATGGGTGTGCACATACCTTTTTGAGATCCTGATTTCAGTTCCTTTGGCTATATACCAAAAAGTGGGACTGCTGAATTATATGGTATTTCTATTTTTAATTTTTTGAGAATTCTTCATACTGGTCTCCATAATTTCTGTACTAAAATTCTCACCAATGTAACAGAATTCTTTTTTTCCGCATCCTCACCAACACTTACCTTTTATCTTTTTGAAAATAGCCATTCTAACTGATGTGAGGTGATATCTCAATGTAGTTTTAATTTGCATTTCATTAATGGTTAGGGTGATGTTGAGGATTTTTTCAAATACCTGTAGGCCATTTATATGTCTTTTTTTGAGAAATGTCTGTTTAGGTCTTTGCTCCTACATATATAGATATAGATATTGATATAGATATATACATATATCTATATATAGAGAGAGAGAGATTTTTTTTTGGAGTCTTGCTCTGTTGCCCAGGCTGGAGTGCAGTGGCGCAATCTTGGCTCACTGCAAGCTCCGCCTCCCAGGTTCACGCCATTCTCCTGCCTCAGCCTCCTGAGTAGCTGGGACTACAGGTGCCCGCCACCATGCCCGGCTAATTTTTTGTATTTTTAGTAGAGACGGGGTTTCATCGTGTTAGTCAGATGGTCTCAATCTCCTGACATCGGGATCCGCCCTCCTCGGCCTCCCAAAGTTCTGGGATTACAGACGTGAGCCGCCACGCCCGGCCAGTCCTTTGCTCCTATTTTTTAATTGGGTTATTTGTTTTCTGGCTATTAAATTGTGTGCTTTTTATATACTCTGTTTATTAACCTCTTATCTTCATGGTTTGCAAATATTTTCTCCCATTCTATAGGGTGCCTCTTCTCTCTCTGATTGTTTCTTTCACTGTGCAGAAGCATTTTATTTTGATGTTATCCCATTTTTTTTCAGTTAAACAGGAGATATATTGTACAACATGGTGAGTATAGTTAATAACAATGTATTGTATACTTGAAAATTGCTAAGAAAGTAAATTTTAAGTGTTCTCATCACCAAAAATAAGTTTTTGAGGTAATGCACATGTTAATTAGTTTGATTTAGCCATTCCACAATCAGTATATTTTTCAAAACATTGTGTTGTACACCATGAATATATATAATTTTTGTCAATTGAAAAATAAATAATCTTTTTAAAAAATAAAAATCTATAAAATTTTTTAAACAGTGGGCATTCTTGCCTGGCTCCTGATCTTAGAAGGGAAAGAATTCAGTTTTTCACTACTGAATATAATATTAGCTGTAGGCTTGTCATATATGGCCTTTACTATGTTAAAATAATTTCTTTCTCTTTCTAGTTTGTTGAGTGTTTTATGATGCAAGTGTGTTTAATTATGTTAAATTCTTTTTCTGTACCAATTGAGATGATCATATATTTTTTGTCCTTAATGTTGTTAATGTGATATCTTACATTAATTGATTTTCATATGCAAATTATCCTTGCATTCCAGAAATAAATCCCATTTGGCCATCACATATTATCCTTTTAACATATAGTTGAATTTGGCTTGCTAGTATTTTTTTAAGTATTTTTCCATTAATACTCATCAGAGATATTGGCTTGTAGTTTTCTTTCCTTGTATCTTTCTCTGATTTTGATATCAGGATAATGTTGGCCTCATAAAACGAATCAGAAATATTCCCTTCCTTTCAACTTTTTGGAAGAATTTGAGAAAGATTAAAAATTCTTTAAATATTTGGTAAAATTCTCCAGTGAAGCTATCAGGCCCTGGTATTTTCTTTATTGAAAGATTTTTGAATACTGCTTCATTCTCCTTATTTGTTACAGGTCTGGTCAGATTGTCAGTCTTGACAGGCTGTATTCTTCTAGAAACTTTCCATTTCTTATATATTACTCAATTTTTTGCCCATAAGTGTTCATAGTAATTTCTTTTTCCTTTTTCTTTTTTTTGGGAAGGAGTCTCGCTCTGTCACCCAGGCTGGACTGCAGTGGTGCGATCTCGGCTCACTGCAAGCTCTGCCTCCCGGGTGCACGCCATTCTCCTGCCTCAGCCTGCCGAGTAGCTGGGACTACAGGCGCCCGCCACGACTCCTGGCTAATTTTTTGTATTTTTAGTAGAGACGAGGTTTCACTGTGTTAGCCAGGATGGTCTTGATCTCCTGACCTCGTGATCCTCCTGCCTCAGCCTCCCAAAATGCTGGGATTACAGGAGTGAGCTACCGCACCCAGCCCAAGTGTTCATAGTAATTTCTTATGATTCTTTTTATTTCTGTAGTATCAGTTGTAATGTTTTCCCTTTCATTTCTGATCTTTGTTATTTGTGTTTTCTCTCTTTTTTCTTAGTCTAGCTAAGGGTTTGTCAATTTTGTGGATTTTTAAAAAAACGCATTTAAAAGTTTTTTTCTATTATTTTTCCGTTCTCTATTTTATATTTTATTTAGTTCTGCCCTAATTTTTATTATGTTCATTCTTCTGCTAGCTTTAGATTTTCTTTTTTTCTTTTTCTTTTTTTTTGGAGACAGAGTCTCACTCTGTCGCCCAGGCTGGAGTGCAGTGGCACAATCTCGGCTCACTACAAGGTCTGCCTGCCGGGTTCACGTCATTCTCCTGCCTCAGCCTCCTGAGTAGCTGGGACTACAGGCACCCGCCACCACGCCTGGCTAATTTTTTTGTATTTTTAGTAGAGACGGAGTTTCATCGTGTTAGCCAGGGTGGTCTCGATCTCTTGACCTTGTGATCCACCCACCTCGGCCTCCCAAAGTGCTGGGATTACAGGCATGAGCCACAGTGCCTGGCCAATTTTTTTCTTTTTTATAGGTCCTTGAGGTGTAAAGCTAGGTTGTTAACTGGAGATCTTTCTTCTTTAATGTAAGCATCTGTCGTTATAAACTTTCCTCTTAGTACTGCTTTTGTTGCATCCCATAAGTTTTGATATGTTGTGCATTTATTTTCATTATCCTCAGGATAATTTTATAATTTCCCTTGTGACTTCTCCTTTGACTTCAGTTGTTTAAGAGTGTGTTGTTTGGCTGGGCGCGGTAGCTCACGCCTGTAATCCCAGCACTTTGGGAGGCTGAGGCGGGTGGATCATGAGGTCAGGAGATCGAGACCATCCTGGCTAACATGGTGAAATCCCGTCTCTACTGAAAATACAAAAAATTAGTGGGACGTGGTGGCAGGCGCCTGTAGTCCCAGCAACTCGGGAGGCTGAGGCAGGAGAATGGCGTGAACCTGGGAGGCGGAGCTTGCAGTGAGCCGAGATTGCGCCACTGCACTCCAGCCTGGGTGACAGAGCGAGACTTTGTCTCAAAAAAAAAGAGTGTGTTGTTTAATTTCCACCTAATTTTGAATTTTTCGATTTTCCTTCTGCTGTTTATTTCTAGTTTCATTCCATTCCATTGTTGTCAGAAAAGATACTTGCTTGGTCTGATTTCAATATCCTTAAATTTGTTCCATGGACATGGAATATGTTCTATGTGCACTTGAGAAGAATGTATGGTCTGCTGTTGTGTGGAGTGTTCCGCAGGTGTCTGTTAGGTCTAATTGGTCTATAGTGTTGTTCAAGTCCTCTGTGTTCATATTAATCCTCTGTCTGGTTGATATATTCATTATCGAAAATAAGGTATTGAAATCTTCTAATATTATTGTGTTCCTGTCTATTCAATTCTACCATTGTTTGCTTCATATATGTCTGTGTTCTGATGTTAGGTGAATATTTATAATTGTATCTTATTTTATTGATCCTGTTGTCATGTATTGTTTTTCCTTGTCCCTTGTGAAAAGTTTTAGAATTATAGTCTATTTCATCTGATATAAGCATCACAACCTCTGCTCTCTTTTGGTTACCATTTGTATGGAATATCTATTTCCATTTTTTCACATTCATTCTGTGTGTGTCCTTAGAGCTAAAGTGAGTCTTTTGTAGACAGCATACGGTTGCATCTTGTTTCTTTTTCAATCCATTCAGCCATTCTGTGTCTTTTGATTGGAGTGTTTAATTCAATTACATTTAAAGTAATTACTGATAGGAAAGAAATTTTACAATCTCCTGCTGTCTTCTCTTGTGATTTTTTTCAGTGACATGTTTGTATTTCTATCTCATTTTTGTACATCTTTTTAAGATATTTTATTTGTAGTTACCATAGAGATTACATTAAACATCTTATAGTGAACTTGATGAACTTACATGAACTTATAATTATGAACTTAACTTCAATCACACACAAAACTTTACTTCTTTACATGTTACCCTACACACACTTTATGTTCTTGGTGCTATCAATTACATTTTTAACTTTATGTATCAATGTATATAGATTTATAGTTTAGTTATTTTCATGCTTTTATATTTTTAACTACACTAGAATTAAAAATTATTTATGCACCACCATCATAGTATTAGAGGATTCTGTGTTTGCTTAAATATTTACCTTCAGCAAAGAGCTTTATATTTTCATATGATTTCATGTTGCTAGCTAATCTTTTCATTTCATTTTGAAACTCCCTTTAGCTATTCTTCTAAGCCTAATCTAGTGGTGATGAAGTCCCTCAGCTTTTGTTTATTTGGGAAGGTCTGTTTATTTTTGAAGGACAGTTTTACAAGATGTAGTATTTTTGCTAGGCAAGATTTTTTTTCTTTCAATACTTTGAATATATCATCCCACTCCCTTCTGACCTGTAATGTTTCTGGTGAGAAATCCACTGATAATCTTATGGAAACTCCCTTGTACATGATGAGTCTGTTTTCTCTTGATGTTTTCAAGAATCTCTCTTTGACTTTTGCTTTTGACCAGTTGGTTATTGTGTGTCTTGGTGTGAGACTCTGAGTTCAACTTAATTGGAGTCTTTTGTGATTCCTGAATTTGGATATCCATTTTCTTTCTCAGTTGAGTGGTTTTAAGCCATTATTTCTTCAAATAAACTCTCTTCCCTTTCTTGCTCCCTTCTCCTTCTGGAACTCTCATAATGCCTGTATTGGTCCACTCAGTGGTACCACATAAATCCCACAGACTTTCTTTATTTTCCATCATTCTCTTTTCTATTTGATCCTCTAATTCAATAACTTCAAATGACCTTTCTTTGAGTTCACTGATTCCTTCTTCTGATTGATCACATCTGCTGTTAAATGCTTATAGTGAATATTTCAATTCTGTTATTGCATTATTCAGCTCCATAACTTCTGTTTGGCCTTTATTCTGGTTTCTGTCTCTGCTGATATTCTACATTAGTTTGTGCATTGTTTTCCATTTGTTCTTTTTGTTTGTTTGTTTTTTGTTATTTTGAGATGGAGTCTGGCTCTGTCGCCCAGGCTGGAATGCAGTGGCATGATCTTGGCTCACTGAAAACTCCGCCTCCTGAGTTCACGCCATTCTCCTGCCTCAGCCTCCTGAGTAGCTGGGACTACAGGTGCCTGCCACCACGTCCAGCTAATTTTTTGTATTTTTTAGTAGAGACAGGGTTTCACCATGTTAGCCAGGATGGTCTCGATCTCCTGACCTCATGATCCACCTGCCTCGGCCTCCCAAAGTTCTGGGATTACACGTGTGAGCCACCATGCCTGGCTGTTTTTTTGTTTTTTTGTTTTTGTTTTTTTTTTAGATGGAGTTTTGCTCTTGTTGCCTAGGCTGGAATGTAATGGCGTGATCTTGGCTCACTGCAACCTCCAACCTCCACCTCCTGAGTTCAAGCTATTTCCCTGCCTCAGTCTCTTGAGTAGCGAGGACTACAGGCACCTGCCACCACGCCCAGCTAATTTTTGTATTTTTAGTAGAGACGGGGTTTCATCATGTTGGTCAGGCTGATCTCGAACTCCTGACCTCAGGTGATCCACCCACTTCAGTCTCCCAAAGTGATGGGATTACAGGTGTAAGCCACCGTGCCCAGCCTTCCTCTTTGTTTAGTTATATTTCTGTGTTCTCTTGTAATGCATTGAGCTTCTTTAAGGTGATTATTTTGAATTCTTTGTCAAGTAATTCACAGATATCCATTTTTAGGATTATTTTTTCTGGAAGTTTATTTTATTCCTTTGATTGAGTCATGTTTCTATGTTTTTCCATGTGTCTTGTTATTTTTTGCTGTGATGTGTGCATTTAAATATACAGCCACCTCTTCCAATCTTCATAAACTGCCTTCATACAAGGGAAGAGCTTCACCAATCGGCCTGGTTAGAGATTCTGGGGTCCTCCAAAATCTTTTCTGGGGATACATCTTTTCTGAGCTTATGTATCTGATTTCCCAGTTAGAGAGATTTGCAGTTTCTTTTTCAGGAGCTTCTAATCTCTTGCTGACACTGATGTCTGTCTGCAGTACTAGAAATTCTCTGATGTAATATGCAAGCTGCTGAATACCCTATTGTTTTCTGTGACCATAGGCATCCAAAGCATGCAGGTTCTGTCAATGCTCCAAGTCAGGTAAGACAGAACTCTGTTTGTAGGGCAGCCCCCTGACCAAAAAAAAAAAAAAAAAAAAAATACACTGAATTGCTGGATGCATGTTCCACTCTTCTCTTTTTCTTCCAAACGAGTAGTCATGAGCTGGGCATTTTCTCCCAGTCACTCCAAGCTGTACCAGCTCTTTCATGGTGATAAGGTTCTCTGGGGCCGCATCAAACTGCTGAGCAACCTTTTCTTCTCAGCAGTCCCAAGACATCCATACTATACTGGTTCCTCATCACTGCTTCAAGCCAGGTGAGAGGGAAACCAGTCCCTGAGCAGCCCCCTGAAAAGCTAGAACATTAAACATATGTTCTACTCTTCTCTTTCCCTCTCAAAGGAAAAGGCATGAGCTGGCCTTTTTCTCCTAATTTTGCTGTGTTGTGCCAGCTTGGAGGAGCTACTAAGGTTGAAATAAAATAACCTTTCTTACTCATTATAATGTGGCTGTTCTTGGCTTTGAGCTTGCCTGAGGTGCAATGATTTCTTAACTACTTTCTGGAGTTCTCATAAAGGCTTATTGTTGTCAAGTCAGTTTATCTGTGAGTGAATGAAGCCTGGGGCTTCCTAGTCTATCACTTTACTGACATCACTCTCTACTTTCTGTTTATTTCTTAACAAATTCCCAGATACTTCCTCTGGGCCCAAAAGTACCGAATCCATTTAATCCCATCACTTATTCATTATAAGGAGGAAAGCAAGGAGACCATGTTCTACAAGTCATTTCTGGCACTTTATTTTGCATCCACTCCAATATAATAAGTTCATAGTGAGCAGTGGTGGAGTAAAAACTTTAAAAGATGGAGAGAAAAATCTCTGTGTTAATGAGAGTTTTTCCAATTGACTGTGTTAAAAAAGAACACTGACTTTAGAATCAGACAAATAGCAGACTAGCAATCCCAGCTTGACTACTCAGTATGGAATATGGAGAAATTGAAATTCCCTGAGCCTTAATTTCTTCAGTAAATAATGCTGCCTTCACATAAAGTTGATATGAGTGTTCAATAATGAATGCAAAGTTTCTAGCCTAGAACACAGAACACAGTAGGCATTCACAGTAGGCACTCTCCTCCTCCAGTTAGCCAAATTAGATGAAAAGTATTATAGCAAGGAATAAATCATGTGAATAAGTTCAGTATATACCATATACCTATGGAAAAATATTGTATAATCTAAAGACAAAATTTATATGTGCCTAAACTTTCAAATGATGTCTAGTACCTACTTTACATTTTTATAAACCAGCTGCCACATGCCAGGTAATTTGGTTGTTTGTTCTATGCCAACTAAATACCACAGTGAATTAGTGAGGTTTTTTGTTCTTTTTTTTTTTTGCTTCTCACTAGAAAAGTATTTTAGAATATAAAGCCTGAAAAGAAAGGCCAGATATTTGTAACTGACTGAGCAATACCTGGAAGGTTAAATAGGTACATTGAGGGATGTTGGCCAGAAAGGCTTCAAATGTATACCAAGAGAAAAAAACAAACAAACATAGGTGACATTTTGATATCACCATCAGCTTTACTTTAATAAGTAATAATAAAAGACATGAAGACATTGACATGTCTCTATAAATGTACACAATGCCAAAAGAGTTGTACATTATTTATTAGACTTGAACTGAAAAATATGTAAAGTAAATTTGCATATTGATTCAATCTACCATTGACTTTCAATATGATTTTTAAAATCTCAAAGAAATATTTCCAATTTGAATAATTAATACAATTCATCCTTCAGATCCTGATAGTCATTTAAAGTACCATTAGCAATACCTGTCTACTCACTCCTACCAATTAGGTGGCAAAAAATAAGCCAGAGTCTAAATACCCAGGAATTTTTAAAACTCACTTCAAAATAAATCATCTCATTAAGGCTTTGCACTGCCTATTAAAGGCAGTAATGTAGATATTCAGCAGAAAATGTAACATGGAAAAGGGGCTGAGTCTGACTATACGGTAAAAACCCGTTATTAGAAAACTCTGCAATTAGCTCTCTTCATTAAGATCTGCTGGCTGGGCCGGGCGCGGTGGCTCACGCCTGTAATCCCAGCACTTTGGGAGGCCGAGGCGGGCGGATCACGAGGTCAGGAAATCGAGACCATCCCGGCTAAAACGGTGAAACCCCGTCTCTACTAAAAATACAAAAAATTAGCCGGGCGTAGTGGCGGGCGCCTGTAGTCCCAGCTACTTGGGAGGCTGAGGCAGGAGAATGGCGTGAACCCGGGAGGCGGAGCTTGCAGTGAGCCGAGATCGAGATCCGGCCACTGCACTCCAGCCTGGGCGACAGAGCGAGACTCCCTCTCAAAAAAAAAAAATAAAATAAAATAAAAAATAAAATTAAAAAAAAGATCTGCTGGCTGATGGACCAAACACAAAAAAGCAAACAGGTTTTACAGGACTTAGTGCAAATTAATGACAGTTTATATTGCAATTTATTTTGCCCTAGATAACTTCCTTTGCAAAGATGTCAGAGAAAAGGGAGAAGGCAGTATTAACAGACAAATTACAAAATGTGTTACAAGTAACATACAAATATGTGCAAAAGTTCTTTCATTTATTGGTTTATTCACCTTTATGCAACAATTATTGAGCACTTACTATGTGCCAGGAAAGACTTCACAGGACAAGATCTCATGGACAATATATCCTAGTGGGCAAGACAGAAAATAACAGATAAGTAAATATATAAAATAATTTTAAATAGTGATGTATGCTATGAAGAAGATAATCTTATGTTACTGTCCTATCTTGGTAATTTAGCAGTCTCAAACTTTATGAAGCAGGTATAAAGAAAGGCTAACTTACGTGCTTTCATCTGAATCATTACATCAAATGATTGAACCAAGAAAAAGCCTTCCTCAGTTGGCTTCTTCATGAAAGTGACCACATCCTCCTTTCATGGAAACCGTTGGACTCACTCACTGACAGGATTTGACTTATCCTTCATGAATGTTGAAAATAAAATTACAGTTTTTTTGAAGTTTAGGAAACAAAAAAGAGTTTATTCAAGAAATAATGCCTGTGATAAAAAGAGCTCATTTGCACCATTTCTACCTGATTCTGAGTAGGCTAGTTAATGTTTTAGAAATTGCATTTGGGACTCAAGCAAAGCCTTTTGAAATTTAATATTCTGTATATTCATAAAAGCATAATCAGATGTGTATTATTATTAAAAGTTCCTCTCATGGTTTTCATTTATGGTAAACGGCAATATGAAAGGACATAAAGAATACAAATTGATAAAAAATTTCCCTTAAAAAAAAAAGATTTTAGGATCCCCTTCCTCCTGCAAGACAAGTAGTTTCTGATGAGATTTGATTGACACTATGAGGTCTATGCACCTGGGTTGATATTCGTGTCTGTTTTTGCAATTAGAATACGTATTAGTGCTGACAAGCCTGGAAATTCTTCAGCACTTTAAAAGAAGCACAATTTTAGTCTTGCAAAAAACCTAATTATAATAAACAAAAAAATTATAGCTCTGATCATAGTAACCAGGTTGCAAACTCCTACCCAATAGTAGGAGTTTCAAACAACCTTCATTTAAGTTATTGTATTCACTTCACAGAGGAAAGAAATAGGGCAATTGAGCATTAAACAGTGTTGCAAATATGACTGGAAAACCTCCACCTGATTCAAGGGAAGTGTCTGTCCTCGGTGAAATGGGAAGATTGGTCAGGGGCCTATCCCCCTCTTGGAGGTAAATGAGGCCAAGTATTAATATTATTCTAAGCAGGTGGAGGTCTTACTATATTAATCGGATAAATTCTAAAAATTAGGTTTATGCTTTAATGAGCTGCAGAAGGTTTGATTTTTTTAATGCTTCAACTGATCTGAATTCCTAACTCACAATACAGAATGGTCTTATGAAATGTCCCTATTCATAAAAGGTGCGTATTTCAATTTCTAGACAATTCATTAGACATTCTTCTCTGTTTAATCCATAAAAATAAAGCCTATTTCATCATGATTTGGATAATTTTGCAAAGGACGATGAGGCATCCCAGAGCTGGTTGCTTGCATAAACTGTTTTCATTTTCATGAATTTGTAAATAAATTACTGCCTGAACAACCAGACTTTTATAAGTCTTCAGGGTAGCTGTATTTAAAAAATTATACATAGTACTCTGACAGTACATTTCTCTAAAGGAAGTCAGAAAATTGTTCAAAAAGTATTTGGATTCAGCTTCTAGGACATATTTAAGGTAGCAAACCTGCCCACCACCAGAGTATGAAGTAAAACAAGGCTAAGAGTGATAGAAGCATTTTTTTTTCTTTGAGATGGAGTTTTGCTCTTGTTGCTCAGGCTGGAGTACAATGGCACGAAGTTGGCTCACTGCAACCTCCAACTACTGGGTTCAAGACATTCTCTTGCCTCAGCCTCCCAAATAGCTGGGATTACAGGTGCCCACCACCATGCCCAGCTAATTTTTGTATTTTTGGTAGAGACGGGGTTTCACCATGTTGGCCAGGCTGGTCTCAAACTCCTGACCTCAGGTGATCCACCTGCCTTGGCCTCCCAAAGTGCTTGGATTACAGGTGTAAGCCACCACCCCCTGCCAATAGAAGCATTTTTTAACATGAGAGTCATTTAAAATTGCATGAGATCCTACCACGTAACAAACGCTGCATGCGTGCACTTTATGGGTGCATTCACATATGGCACCTCTTCCAAAGGGCATGCGATTTGGATTCCATGAAATTGAATGTTGCAAACTCATCAAAATGCAACCTTTAAAACTAGTTTTCCAAATGAAGAAACATCATAATACAATTTTATAGGCCGATGTGGAAAGGCTGTGTTAAAGACTGAATGCCTGCTCTCTGACACGTTCATCTTGTCAAGGCTTCCCAAAGGCACTGCAGACTTTGCAGCTGTATTAGCAGTGATTCCTTCGTTTGGAATGCCTGTTCCCATGCGCACACACTCTTGCTGCAGCCACATCATATTTAAAATCTGCCCTGATCCTCCTGGTTGACATCAATGTTGTCACTCCTCTTCATTTTCATAGCATTAAGCCCTATTTTGTACTTAACAGAAAGTAAGTTCGGCACAGAGGGAAGAGAATTGGGCCTATTTTGTTCATATCCCATCTCTGGAGCTGAGCATAGTGACAGGTACACAGAAAGCTCTCATCTGGTATTTTGAATACATTATAACATTTTCCCAGTCTTTTCAACATATTGTCTCAGCACTGGTGGGGGAAAAATGCTGCAAAGGCCATGCTTTTCCAGCCTAAATCTTCCCCAGGACTGGCACAGTGAGTGGCACATAGTAGGGGTATTAGTCCCTGTGGCTGCTTAACAAAGTATCACAGCTGGGCTGCTTAAAATAACAGAAATTTATACTTTCATAGTTCTAGAGGCCAGAATTCCAAAATCAATGTGTTGGCAAGACCACACTTTTCCTGGAGTCTACGGGGGTGGACTGGTTCTTTGCCCCTCCCATCTTCTGTTGGCGTCCCTAACTTGTGGCTGCATTACTGCGGTCTCTGCCTCCATGGGCACTTAAGTTCCTCCTCTCCTTTCTGTGCTTTCTCCCTTTGCCTCTCTTTTATAAGGACACTTGTGATCATAATTCAAGGCCACCTGAATAAAGAAGGTTCATCCCCTCATGCCAAGATCCCTAACTTAATCACGTCTACAAAGACTCTTTTGCCAAACAAGGGAACACTTCCCAGTCCCAGGGATTAGAATCTGAGATCTTTGGATGACCATCTCTCAATCTACTACGGTAGACGTGGAGTAAGTACACGGAGTTTTACCAGTACAAGCACAGTGATACATGATCTGTTGGTTGATTCCATATATCTTGTTTTTGATGCTGTTTGCCAAAAAATATCAAAAGATCACAGCTCTTCTGCAAGGCAGTCATTTAAGCAGAGAAATAAATCCACTGTAACGGTGTTATTTCTCACTGTTGTTTTCTTAGCTGAGTGGCTGGTTTCTTAAGCATAGCCACAGCATCCGATGAACCCTAGAATTTCTGTTGCATTTGCAATCATCTCTCCAGTCACTTGGGTCCTTCTGCACTCGCTTCCTGCTCTGACTTATGTGGCACCATTCCACCATGTGGCAGGACTCCCCATCTTTTTTGTGGCACTGACACGATAGGACACTACACATTTCTAACCTTTATTTTCAACAGATTGTTCCCTCACTCAGCATAAAATTTCATCCAGCATTCTCATCACACGGTGAGGGTTCACTGATTTCAATGGTGTATGAAAATGCAGCTCTGGGCTGGGTGCGATCCGAGCACTTTGGGAGGCCGAGGTGGGTAGATCACGAGGTCAGGAGATCGAGACCATCCTGGCTAACACGGTGAAACCCCGTGTCTACTAAAAATACAAAAAATTAGCCGGGCGTGGTGGCGGGCGCCTGCAGTCCCAGCTACTCAGGAGGCTGAGGCAGGAGAATGGCGTGAACTCAGGAGGTGGAGCTTGCAGTGAGCAGAGATCGTGCCACTGCACTCCAGCCTGGGAGACATACCAAGACTTCGTCTCAAAACAACAACAACAACAACAACAACAACAACAATGACAAAAGACTCTCTGTTGTATGTGGCGTCAGAGACAGAAGCAGATGGCTAAACTGGCCTGTGCTGGGATCCCAGCACTAAAAGCCAGATGGTGTGGATTTCAGTCAGATCTTTCATAACCAACAAATTTGAGAAACAGATGAGGCAGGGCCAAGAACTACTAATTTTTTCATTTTATAAATAAGCACCATTAAGCTTTTCTTCTATAAAGCCTCTTGATCTAACCACTAACTAAGCTATTTGTCTGAAACCCTCAAGTCAATGTAGTAAATAAGCATTTACTAAATTTAAATTTAATAAAATAAGCATTTTTTTTTCCTCTTTTGGCCAATTTAGTTCTTTAGAAGTTGGGTTAACAGAAGCCAACTTCACCACCGTCAAAACATATGTTTGCTTTTACATAAGTAGAGGCATGCTGTTACTTCTTTTTAAAAATAGTTTAGGCCAGGCGCAGTGGCTCACGCCTGTAATCCTAGCACTTTGGGAGGCTGAGGCGGGCAGGTCACGAGGTCAAGAGATTGAGACCATCCTGGCCAACATGGTGAAACCCTGTCTCTACTAAAATTACAAAAATTAGCTGGGTGTGGTGGCACAGGTGTGTAGTCCCAGCTACTCGGGAGGCTGTGGCAGAAGAATCTCTTGAACCCAAGGAGGTGGAGGTTGCAGTGAGCCAAGATTGCGCCACTGCACTCCAGCTTGGCAACAGAGCAAGACTCTGGCTCAAAAAAAAAAAAGTTTAGTGTAGAAAATAGTACTTTCAGATTGGGCTACCAGTGTACCATGCATAAATGAAAAGTGTCCTGTGTCATTAAACAGGTGCATTTAAAAAAAGAATTTTTTTACAGGTCCACAAACAAGTTTGAAATTAGAAGGAAATTGTGAGCATTCAAATAATAAAGTGGCTTAATACAATCCAAATAAGCTGAAATGTTCAATTACAGAGTATATAGTAAAAATATAGATCCATGCTCTCTCAGTGCAAGCTGTCATCCCATGTCACAGCATGCACTATACGCCCTCTTCTTTTCTCTTACTAATATCTTTAAAGCTGCACTTGCACCCTTACCCTCACACGATCCTTCCTTACTTGCATGCTTTTTTTTTTTTTTGAGACGGAGTCTCGCTCTGTCGCCCAGGCTGGAGTGCAGTGGCGCGATCTCCTCTCACTGCAAGCTCCGCCCCCCAGGTTCATGCCATTCTCCTGCCTCAGCCTCCCGAGTAGCTGGGACTACAGGCGCCTGTGACCATGCCTGGCTATTTTTTTTTGTATTTTTAGTTGAGACGGGGTTTCACCATGTTAGCCAGGATGGTCGCGATCTCCTGACCTGGCGATCCACCCACCTCAGCCTCCCAAAGTGCTGGGATTACAGGCGTGAGCCACCGCACCCGGCCTGCATGCATTTTTAAACTGCATTCAACTCTTTAAATTCTTTTTAAATTTTATTTTTTAATTGACAAATAATACTAGAGGCAATGGTAACCATGAATTCTGAAAGAGATGACTGTTTTATTAAGAGCTTTTATTATTTTATTTTTGATCAACATAAAATAATTATACATCTCTATGGGTTACATAGGGATGTTTTGATACATACAATACAACCTTACTGAATTGTTTATCACATCTAATGGATTTTTGGCAGAGTGTTTAAGTTCTTCTATATATAAGATTATGTTGCCAGCAAATAGGGACAATTTGACTTCCACCTTTCCAATTTGAATAGGCTTTATTTCTTTTTCTTGCCTAATCACCTGCATAAGTTGTTATTGGATACCCACTAGATACTAGGCTGTTTGTTCTATGCTAGATGCTATAAGAATAGAAATATGAAAAAAAAATACCTACCACAAGGAATTTTAGTCCCATGGGCCAGCCCTAAGGCAGAGAGCTAGCTATGAGAGATATTGTGAATGGTACTAAGTGGCCAAGGAACACAGAGAACAGAGATGTGAATTCACATTCACAAGGGCTGGAGGAGGAAAGAGGCAACTGGTAGGTACGTGGCATTTCTAGGCCATTTGGTGTTGGTTAGGCTTTGAGTAGACAGATAAGAAAATAAACGGGTTTTCAGTTGGGAGAACGGTATACCCACAGTATGAAGGCAGAAAGACTCGAAGGTTGTCTACCAAACAGCTTTCCGACCAGTGTGATCCAGGAGACTGGGAGAACTCTCTGAAAAAAAAAAAAAAGAAAGAAAGAAACAGCATAAGTCGGATAACAAGGACCAGACTAAGGTTGGAAGTTTATTCATTAGACCCTAGAGACCCATCAAAATGTTTTGAGCAGCGTTATATTAGATGGGTATCAAATACTTCTGGAATCCATTGGTACTGGATTCATTATATTTTAACCACTCCACCAGGCCTACCATTAGTTACAACATGAGAAGCTAAACGTTATATTCTAACCAACACTTTATCTCCAGTTTTTGCAGAGAAAGCAGTCTGAGCTGCTGCTTTGACTCCACTCAGTAGTTTGTGATTAGTCTGAAATGCTCTACTGCACAGAGCAGGGTCAAGCACATTTCATACACTTGTTTAACAAGTAGCACTCAGGAAGTATATTTTCTGATCCACTTCATAGTATCACAATGCAAGCCGAAAACAATGACTGAAGATGGCAAGATAAAACTATTTGTAATGGAAGCAAATATAAGTTATCCACTTTTATTATTCAGTCCTCTGTTTGGATGGAACACATGAATATTAAAATGGCTGTATTTCATTCCTTTTCAAAAGTAGTAAGAGAAGGATAATCATATGCAATAAAGCATTTTCGGCCTGGGTCTTTATGACAGCTCTAAATGCCTGCCACATTTTAAATACCACAGGTGCAAAACAAATGTATAAATTCCCTGTTACATAATTTTCCATTTATATTGTAGAGAAACAAAATACAGTGTAATGGGGAATTTAATTCTCTGAATAGAAATTATATAATCTCAGCAAGAAAATTCAATAACAGCTTCTACACAGATGGCAAAAATCTGCTGAAAGATCCCAAGAGTAATGGAAGACAACTGGAATTTGCATATAAGATTGGATATCACCTTTCCAAAGCCGTGTCAATAATTTAGTTCCAATGTTTTCTGCGTGATTCACTAATTTTATAATTATAATTTTTGGCAGAATATGGGCTACTCAAAATGGTCCAAATGCAAAAAGTAGCTTTAAGCAGAACATGAAGTAATCTATCATCTTTTTATAAGTAAATAAATAATAATCACATTTGCTATTATTCATATGCTTTGCAAGTTTAGTATTTCTTTGTGTCCTGTAACATGTTCCCTTCAAAGTAATGGAAGATGGAAAATAACAACAATGAAAAGCTGGAACGTGCTCAAAATTTTGACACATCAGCAACACCACCAGTTAAATCCACATACTGCACTAAGATATACAGTTTAGTGAACAGTTGTCAGGCAAATCTATTGTGTGAGTGAACCAGCCAATGTGTTCAGCACTCTTATAACAACTAGTTTAGAACATTTTTTGATTGAGTAACCTGAAGACTCTAGGAGACTGAGAAGTGTGCAGAGACCCAGCCAGTAAAGATCTGGGACAGAAATTAAGAACGTTAGACTCCAGGTTGAGTGTTCGCTCCACGACACAGCAGAAGGGAATTGGAAAGACCCTTGTTTTTATAGTATCTTCATTGTCATAGGCTTCCTAAGAAGAAGAGTTCTAGGGGTAAAAGTCACCAAACGCAGAGGGAAAGTAAGTTTTCTTTCAGTGCTTTTTAATTAGCAAACTCAATAATGTTGGCAAATACATATATTCATCCCCTGAGCTGAGTCAACACAATCTAAATGAAAGAGAATCTGGGGGAGCATAAAGGAGGGAGGCTGTGAATTAAACAGCCTGGGGAAGCCTCAGACATCACTGATCAAGGTGGCCTAAGCATCTCCTGCATCCCAGCACATGTTTGGCTGTGGAGACACACTGTTTCAGAAGGCATACACACAACCACCAACAAAAACAGGTCTAGGTGGGTATTTTGCAGGGGAGACTCACAGGGCTTTCCTGCAGTACCATCTCCTCTCTTTATAAAAATTTAGAATCTTGTTCTGATTAGTCCAAACCCACAACCATGCCCTTCTCCCATTTTATCTGTTTCCCCCCCTATTTGGGAATAAATCTTATGGTTTAAATTACTTTGACAGGTAAATGCCAGTCCAGCATCAGCAAACCTGGTGGGTTGCCATAAGCTACTGGCAAAGTGCAACCACCAGGGGCGCCCGAAACCTGTGGAGGCGGAGATTGTGAGTTTGTCAAAAACAAGGACACCCTTAAAGCAGGCGCATTGCTGGGTGTGAAGCAGGGGAGGGGGCTTTAAAAAGGCCGTACCTTGGTCGGGCTCGGTGTTCACACCTGTAATCCTAGCACTTTGGGAGGCCGAGGCGGGCGGATCACAAGGTCAGGAGATAGAGACCATCCTGGCTAACACGGTGAAACCCCGTCTCTACCAAAAATACAAAAAATCAGCGGGGTGTGGTGGCGGGCGCCTGTAGTCCCAGCTACTCAGGAGACTGAGGCAGGAGAATGGCGTGAACCCAGGAGGTGGAGCTTGCAGTGAGCCAAGAATCGCGCCACTGCAGTACAGCCTGGGCGATAGAGCAAGACTCCGTCTCAAAAAAAAAAAAAAAAAAAAAAAAATCCTGTCCTCTATATATTGTCTCTTTTGGGATTCCACGAAGATGACATGCTAGTGTGGGACTGGGTCTCACCTCTCACCTGAAACTGGGAGCTGGAGGTCAATAGTCGTAACCTGGAAGTGCTGGCTGGCAAGGTTTTGGAGCAGGCTCATATAAGGGTGGTTGGAAGGTGCAGTTCTTGAGGGTACGGCTGCTACAAAAAAAAATACAATAAAATGCAATGCAATATTTGGGACATACTTATACTAATTAACAGTATTTGTCATTTATCTAAAATCCAAATTTAACTGAGTGTCTTAAATATTCATTTTCTAAATCTTGCAACCCTACTTGTGGTAGAGTGGGGAGGAGTCACAAAAAAAGGAGGTAAAAAGTCTCCGGGTCTGCTGTGTCGGAGAAACAGAGGTTAATACAGCAAGAGTCTGGGCTGGAAGTGGAGAAGTGGCTGAGATAAGAAGGCCCCTTACCTGACTGCCCTGGATTTAGGGGAATGGATGCTTCACAGTCTGCCCTGGGCATAAGAGTCAAGCAACATTCCTATGATAACCTGAAGAGTTCCATTTTTAACATACTGAATTTTGGATGGTGCAATTAATATCTGTTACACAGTTACCACATTGCAGTGTATCGATCATTTGCACTAATATCTAATTAAATTGTAAGTTCTGGCATTTTATCTTTCCATACCCATATCCTTGGAAAATGCTAGGTACATATTTGTGCTTGCTGATTTTTGAAAAAAAATTCAAAAAATTTTTTAACACATTTACTAATTAACCATAAACTCAGTATCAACCAGTGCTAAAACAGGGAAGAGGGCATGCAGCTACCTGGATATGGCACACAGCTACCTGAACAGACAATATTACAGGAAAGGCAATATACATGGAAAGTCTCTTCTCTCTGCACAAAAACGTATCTCAGAAAATAGTTTTTTCCCTGCGTTCCTGGCTCTGACATTAACAAAGGCAGACTGAGGGTGTCCCAGGTGACATACATGATGGTGGGGGCTACTGACGCCTTTTCATGTGTAGAAAGATTAAAAGAAGGAAAGACAGGCCGGGCGTGGTGGCTCACGCCTGTAATCCCAGCGCTTTGGGAGGCCGAGGTGGGTGGATCACGAAGTCAGGAGATGGAGACCATCCTGGCTAACATGGTGAAACCCCATCTCTACTAAAAATATGAAAAAATTAGCCGAGCGTGGTGGCGGGCACCTGTAGTCCCAGCTACTCGGGAGGCTAAGGCAGGAGAATGGCATGAACCCGGGAGGCAGAGCTTGCAGTGAGCCAAGATCGTGCCACTGCACTCCAGCCTGGGCGACAGAGGGAGACTCCGTCTCAAAAAAAAAAAAAAAAAAAAAAGGAAGGAAAGAGAGAAGACAGGAATTAGGAGGTCGTTAGAGACTGTGACATTCACCTGCCAGATCCAGATCCAGGTGAATCTGACTCTTTTTCCAGAAGCCCAGTTTTAAGCATTCAAAGTGCCCAATAATGCAAGACAGCCTCGCAACGGTAACGGGGACCAGGGCTCCTGGCCACTGGAAAAGCTACAGCTGATTCTAGGGGAACAGCCAACAGAGATGTAATACATACCTGCATTTGGGAGGAAGCGAGGACCAGGCATCATTAAAGGCTTGTCTACATTTAAGTGTCTGTGGTTCCAGATGAACCTGTCCCAATGCTTCCCTCACCATTCTCTCTTCCTCAAATCAAGATGGACATAAAACTGAATCACCTCATTACTTACCAAACATTACAGTGAAAGTCTCACTCACCCTCATAATTACTTAAAAAAACCTGCACTTACATGATTCTGAATGGGCAGATAAAAACATTGTATGTTCTGGCTTTATCAGAGGACTGAGGTTAAATGTGACAAGAACAAGCTCAGCTCTGCCCGGGGATGAAGGGCCTGCCTGTCACCCACACCCCGGGGATGTGGACTCCCAAAGGTATTCAGACACCTCTATCGCTCCCTGCTGTTCAGGGACCAGTGAATCTTGCTTGTGTCCTGCCTTAATTCCACTTACGACTTTTCTGACGATTGGACTTTATCATCTTTACATTTGCATCACTGCATCTGTGTATATGTCTGTAATATTTTTATGTTTCTCAAAACACTTTATGTTGTTTTTATTTATTCTAAAAATCGTAAGTGGAACTATAACAGAGTAATGATGCAAATTTCACTCACAATTGAAGATTTAAAAATCCAAGCCTCGGTTTTCTTTTCTTTTTCTTTTTTTTTTTTTTTTGACATGGAGTCTTGCTCTTGTCGCCCAGGCTGGAGTGCAATGGCGCGATCTCGGCTCACCACAACCTCTGCCTCCTGGTTTCAAGCGATTCTTCCGCCTCAGCCTCCCAAGTAGCTGAGATTACAAGCGCCTGCCACTACGCCCGGTTAATTTTTGTATTTTAATAGAGACGGGGTTTCACCATGTTGGTCAGGCTGGTCTCAAACTCCTGACCTCAGGTGATTCGCCCACCTCAGCCTCCCAAAGTGCTGGGATTACAGGTGTGAGCCACCGTGCCCGGCTTGGGTTTTCTTTCTTCTTTCCCACAAAGGTCAGTAGGAAACTGTTTGCAACAGGAAATGCCCTGGTCTCCAGGTGCTGCTCCAAGAAGTGGCTGACCCATTGCCATGTGTCATTCAAGTGACAGTGTTGAGGGACTAAATATGTCATTCCACGGTTAAAGTTGGCTACAACAAATTTGGCAAGAATTAAAGTGTAAACATTTCGGGGAACATTGTACAGTTAAAGCATCAGAAATAAATGGCAAAACAGTTTGCTGCTCCTATAGTCAACCAAATGAAAGTTTAAAACAATAAAGAAACATTAAAGTTTCAGGCCAGGTCACTACTATTAAAGGTTTGTCCATTTCACTTAGAACTCAGTTTCTCTAGCTCAGTATTATTGATATTTTGTACCTGATAATTTTTTTGTAGCAGGGGACTGACTGTCCTGAGTGTAGTAGGACTTTGCAGGCCCTCACCTCTGTCGACAAGATGCCATTTGACTTTGATGAAAATAGGCTACCATGGCCGCAGTTGCCCTTGGATTCCAAGGCAGCGGAACATGAGCAAAAGCTTGGAGCCCTGTCACTTGAGATGGTCCTCAGTGATAAAGAAACAAATTATTTCTGGCCAGGCGCGGTGGCTCACGCCTGTAATCTCAGCACTTTGGGAGGCCGAGGCGGGTGGATCACGAGGTCAAGAGATGGAGACCATCCTGGCCAACAGGGTGAAACCCCGTCTCTACTAAAAACACAAAAATTAGCTGGGTGTGGTGGCGTGTGGCTGTAGTCCCAGCTACGCAGGAGGCTGAGGCAGGAGAATGGCGTGAACCCGGGAGGTGGAGGTTGCAGTGAGCTGAGATTGCACCACTGCACTCCAGCCTGGGCGACAGAGACTCTGTCTCAAAATAAATAAATAAATAATAATGGTAAATTCTATCATGTATATTTTACAACTTTTACAAAGGCATAAAACTTCATAAGAAAATACCTTCTTTGGAGGCAACCTCTGCAAAAGACAATGTGGCTTTGAGGGAACAGGGCATGGTACTGCTGAGGCCCAGCAGCGGTGCCAGTGGCCAGGCTCCTGCAAGCCCATCTGTACCCCGATCCCAGCTCTGCCAGCCCGGGGCTCTGCTCTGGGCTCCCCACCAGGGCTGCAAATTGATAAAGCAGCTCTACACATATGAAAATATCTAAGAAACATAAATGATTCTCTAACTTGTATATTATGAATAATTATCCCAAAAGAGCATTTCCTCTTATGTGTGACAGGTGTCAGACCATCAATATAGGAGTGTATTAGGGTTCTCTAAAGAAAGGGACCCAATAGAGGAGATATAGATGTATATCGGGTCCCAGAGATAAATACACAAATATTTGTATGTGTACATATGTATATATACAGGAATCAGTTCACGGGATTCTGGAGGCTGCGAAGTTCCATAATCTGCCAACTGAAAGCTGGAAAATCAGGAAAGCCCACAGTGCAATTAAATCTGAGTCCAAAGGCCTGAGAATTAGAGCACTGCTGTCAGAGGGCAGGAGAAGAGAGATGTCCCAGGCCAAATACCAACAAGGGATTCCCCTTTCTCCGCCTTTTTGTTCTACTTGGGCCCTCAGTGGTTCAGATGATATCTGCCCACATTCGTGAGGGTGATCTTCTTTACCGAGTCCACCAATTCAAATGCTCATCTCTTCCAAATCACACTCACAGACACACCCAGAAAGAGTGTTTGGCCAGCTGTCTGGGCATTCCGTAGCCCAGTCAGGTTAACAGATAAAAGTCACCATTATGAGGGGAAAGAGCAAGTGGGGACGTATGGACTATGCACCCTCACCTTCCCAAAGTGGGGACTATCAAAAGTAGATTGAGTTAATCATGCATAATGCAAAACGTAAATCAAGGCTCTGCTTGTTTCATGATAGTATGAAAGATAGTATAAAAGTTACAGTTTTGGCCGGGCGCGGTGGCTCACGCCTGTAATCCCAGCACTTTGGGAGGCCGAGGCGGGTGGATCATGAGGTCAGGAGATCGAGACCATCCTGGCTAACAAGGTGAAACCCCGTCTCTACTAAAAATACAAAAAATTAGCCGGGCGCGGTGGCGGGCGCCTGTAGTCCCAGCTACTCGGGAGGCTGAGGCAGGAGAATGGCGTGAACCCGGGAAGCGGAGCTTGCAGTGAACCGAGATTGCGCCACTGCAGTCCGCAGTCCGGCCTGGGCGACAGAGCGAGACTCCGTCTCAAAAAAAAAAAAAAAAAAGTTACAGTTTTTAAAGATAAAACAAACACAAAGTAAACAACAAACAAACAAAGCTCAGAGGTTGGAAAGTTTTGTATGAACCAGAATTAGTAGAACTTGTCCTAAACGTGAACTCCGGACCTCCTCATAAGTAACTTAGTCACGCAACAACTGTGCTGAAGATGAACAAGCATAAATGTTGAGAATTGTTTGGTTTTCAAATGCAGAATCAAATTAGCTGTAAAGTCATTTCATTATGTAAGCTACGCTGCGTCTCTCCCTATGGTAGTGTATATATGATATTATGGTAAAAGGAAATGCAATAGAGCAGCCTTAAAACCCTTGATTGAATCCAACAAGTCTGGGACAATTACCTCATTCCTCAAATATTTTATTTAATGTCCTGGTGGTATTCACACTCTCATCCCCTAATGTAATTCTGTTTTATAATCAGTATTATCAATGATAAATTGGTATCTTTAATCATAATGAGAATTGTAGGCAAATCTTCTCCCTGCTTCAATAAGAAATCTAATTTTTCTTTTAGAAAAGAAAGGATGTTTTCCTCTAGTGATACATATAACTACACTTCTTATTAAATAATTTCAGCTCTCTTGTGTTTTCTAAAGCTTTCATTTTGCAGTTCAATAGTACTTAAGGTAGGATTGAGTCCCACATCTGTTTTAGCATGCTGGTGCCGCCAAAGTACCACAAACTGGAGGCCCCAGACAACAAAAATGTATTAACTCACAAGTTCTAGAGCCAGAAGTCCAAAATCAAGGCTTTGGCAGTGCTGGCTTCTTCCTGGAGGTTCGGAGGGTGGCTCTGTTCCCTGCCTCTCTCCTGGTGCTTCCCAGCAATCCTTGGCCTACAGCTGCACTAGTGCAGTCTCTGAGCTGTGGTCCATCATGCTTTTCCCTTTGTATCTCTGTGTCTCTTCCTATGAAGACAGGAGTGATTGCAGGAGGGCCCACACTGATCCAGGATGAGCTCATCTTAACTTGATTTTTCTGGCAAAAACCCTATTTCTCAATAAGGTCCCAAGCTGAGCTTCCAGCTGAACAGGAGCTTTGGAGGGACACTATTCAACCCACATGACCTCCCTCTTCTGAAACCAATTTCTAAATAACCTTTCTTGTTATATTTTCCATTGATTTCTGGTTTCTTGCTTCAGTCCATCAGTGTGGTGGTGGATGAACAGCAGTGGCCGAACAGTTTCCATGATCCTGTTAGCACTTGTTCTTGTTACACTCCTTGTCCCTTTCTCTTTCATGGCCTTTGTCACTGTTCAACAGTCAGAGGACTGATGCTAGGTGGACCACCAATACAGCCTGTCCACCAAACCTCAGTGGTCCATCCAGATGAGCAGGGGCGAACTAGAACCCTTACCTGGGACTTAATCTTAGAATTACACAGAAAAGCCTTTTTTCTCTCATCAAAAAGCCTCAACACTTCAGCTGCTATGGCATCAGCCTTATGAAGAAGCTGACCTGGGAGAATAAAGCCAGCACAAGAGAGAATCATAAATGAAAGATAAGAGAGTCCCAACAGCACCCATGTTCCTAACTTCACACATTAAAGCCAGTTTCAAATGACCTAAGATCAATCCACTTTTTTTCTTAGTATTTGCTAATTGCAACCAAAGAATTCTGACTAAAATAGACATCGGAGGTGTTGTGTTATGTTTTCCCAGAGTTGCCACAACATATTATCATAAACTAGGTGGCATGTAAACAGAAATTTATTGGCTCACAATTCCAGAAGATCAAAGCCTGAAGTCAGGTGACAGCAGGGCCATGCTCCCCCTGAAGGCTCCAGCGGGGAATCCTTCCTGCGTCTTCCTGGCTTCAGGTGGTTGCCAGCAATTCTCGGCTCACAGCTGCATCACTCCAATCTCTCCCTTCATCACTGCATGGCCTTCCACCCTCTCCGTGTCTCTCTGTCTTTCTGTGTCTCCAAATCTCCCTCTCCTTGTAAGGACACCAATCATTTCATTTGGGGCCCACCCTAATCCGATATGACTTCATCTTAACTTCATTACATCTACAAAGACCCTATTTCCAAATAAAGACACAATTCCAGGTTTTGTGTCTACTACATTTACAAGTGACGAACACTAAAATTTGATCTTGGCTGATTCAAGGTGTGACAGAGAACCTTGAATAGGCTCAAGGAGGCAAAACTACTTTGCTGCTTAGTGCACTGTGCATTAAGTTCTTCCCTTTTGTCTCTTGGGAGTCAATCCCCATGCATTCTGAAATGATTTAGGGGACCTTGCAGAAATCAGTGTAGTCAATTGTGTCAACTACTTCCTAAGAAATTCAGTAAGATGCAGTGGAAGCTCTAGAGAGAAGCCACAGGCTCAGCCAACCTGCCTAGACACAGAAATGGAACAGGTGAGCAAACATGCATGGGGAGTAGCATTTAGCCCATGTCCAAATAGCTAACACCATTTAAGGACAATCGTGCAGTGACCAGGAATGAGGACACTCAGGAAGCAGCAGAGTGGACTCCCTTGGGCAAAGGGCAAGGCAGCTGCTGCTGTCAAGGGGCAGAAAAATCCCAGGCCGATCCAGACTTAAGATGTGGTTTGTATACTCTCCTTGCTGTGGGAGATTGGATTATGGTCTATCAAAGATTCACTCTATTCTCTTTAACCTCCATGACAGAAGCATACTTCTCTCCCCATTGATGTTGGCCAATGAGCATTAACAGACTTCACCCAAGCAGGGGCTTGAAATGCTCATGAAATGCCTGTCCCTTGTGCTTCTGCCATTGCCCCAAGGAGAGCACATGCTAAGCAGCACGGCACGGGAACAGCTACATGAAGCTGACTTGAAACCCACCTGCAGCCTGGAGCCAAGCCAAGCCCTGACTTAATCAGCTTAACTCCAAGCAACCTGCTGATGTGCGAGCAAGAAATCAATGGTTGTTGCCATAAGCCATTGAGTTTGGGGGTGGTTTGTTATGCAGCATATTTGTGAGAATAGCTAACTAATAGAATAGCTAATAGAGCTCTGTTCTCGAGATAAAATGGATAGACAACTGATTAGAGCTTTAGAAATTGTATCGTTTTCCAATCCTGGCAAACAGGAATTCAAACCTTATTGTAATTATATTTGCTGAGCCAGAAACATTTCTCTGCCAAAAAAATAAGTTTAAAAATGAATATTCTTAGCGATCCCTGGCCCAAATAAAGCATGATACACATGCTGAGCTAAGTTGCATGTTCTTTATACATTGCTAAATAAGAATTTTCATTATCCTGTTTTTCCTCTACTGTTTCATTTCAGATGGTTGGGTAGCTAAATTTGATATGTGGCAGGATCCCATGAAGCTATTCATCCAGAACTGACCCAGAAAACAAACCTTGGCCACAGTTCTGAGCTCAGAGTTAGACCCAAAGCTGCCTTGCTTTGACATTCATCCTTCCTCATCCTCAGCCTGCCTGTTCCCTGGAGGGTGCTCCTGCGTGCCCTCCTTACGTGGTGCTTGTGTGCCCACCTGCACCCCAGAAGGAGCTCCCAGCTGGCCTGTTGCAGCCCCATGTCACCTCCTACCAGCTTCTGCCCGGGGCAACCCAGAGAACCTCCTCTCAAGCTGGTGAGCTGCAACCACACCTCCAATGAGTCAGAGGCCCAGTCTTGGGGAGTGGGGCCCCTTTTCAAGTTTGTTTCTTCCTTGGGGACTCTCCCAGAGCCCAAATATTTTCTTCAGGTACCCCTTTATTGTTAACCCCATATAACATTTAATATTATTTATATTGATTTTCCTTTCCAAATTACTATGTGGTTTCTGTTTCCTCATTGGATGTTGATTGATTCAATTGCAGAAACTGATACAAGTTTTTCCTAAATAAACATTAATTTTATTAGTGACAGTTACTATTCTCTGGAAACCTAAATGACTTAGTTTTCTTTATTAAAATGTTTTGTTTAACAGCCTAAGCTAGGTAATTTCAAGCTTATTAATTTTCACTACATTTTATTTCAAATACACACTGGTGTATGCAATCTCTCCATCTCAGACTCTATTTAGCTCTCCCAAGCTCCACCGGCCTCACTGTCTCCCTCTGTTTCTAAAGTGGCTAACCCACAGCACAATGTACACAGAGTTTGCGAACACCCTAACCATACTGATCTGAGGAGTAAAAGAAAGGAACTAACAAAATTTTTTTGATTTCTATATTGTTGTTTAATTTCTATAACAACTCTACATAATAAAGTTATATTGTGAAAAAAGCTTCAGATTAATTTGCTCAGAATCATGTGATCATAAGCAAACCTCTATCCTTCAAAACATTTTTTCCACTGTCATGCAACTTTTTCATTAATATTATTTTTAATTGAAAAATCATCATTGTACACATGTATTGGGTACAAAGTGAAGTTCTGATATATGTACATGATGTGGAATGTTAAATCAAGTCAATTTACGTATTCATAATGTCACTTATTTTCTGTGGTGAGACATTTGAAGCTTACTCTTTGAGCATTTTGAAGTGTACTTTTAAAATGGTGGGATCATCATCTGGACTATACAAGAAATCTGTCAGTATGGTTATAGTTTCATAGAATTCCTTATATATGTGCACTAGGCAAAGAGATGGGAACAGAGTATTATTAAACTGGTGACTAGCACACAGTAGATTCACAATAAATACTTATTGAGTAAATAAAAGAAAACAGAAGAGTACAAAGTGAATCTTAGAAGTTACAAAAAAGGTGGCAAATTTGGTCTGGAATCCAAGCAGCAGAGGAACAGGTGGATAATACGCATTGTTAATTTCAGTATCTGAAACTCAATGAATAACGAAAGCAATAAAAACAAAAATGGCTGCCACTTATTGAGGATTTACATATGCCAGATCTCTGTCATATTATTTAACCTTCAATGAAAACTTATTGGAATATAGCCTGTCATTATTCCCAGCCTGCTGATGAGAAAATTGCGGGACATGACCTACCTGGAGACTCAGATTAAGTGGCAAAGTCATGACTGAATCAAAATTCAAACTTTTGGCCGGGTATGGTGGCTCATGCCTGTAATCCGAGCACTTTGGAAGGCCGAAGTGGGTGGATCACCTGAAGTCAGGAGTTCGAGACCATCCTGGCCAACATAGTGAAACCTCGTCTCCACTAAAAATACAAAATTAGCCAGGCGTGGTGGCACATGCCTGTTATCCTAGCTACTCGGGAGGCTGAGGCAGGAGAATTGCTTGAACCCAGGAGGTGGAGGTTGCAGTGAGCCAAGATCATGCTCCATCCAGCCTGGGCAACAAGAGCAAAACTCCATCAAAAAAAAAAATAAATCCAAACTCTTAGCTACTGCCCTTATACTAATTGTCAAGAAAGAAGAAAACACAACCCAAATTCTTGAAAGGAACAGGGTGTGGGCAGCCAGGGAGTGCTCCCAGGTGTGTGGGCCCAGCGGCACCAGACTCTGCACACAAGAGTGCCTCCTTTCCACCCAGGCCTGGTTTCATGGAATGCCTGCTTCACCTGCCAGCATTTGCCTCAGACACATAAACTTCCCATGGAGTATATGAGTAAGCTCTGACAGCTCCATTGTTGGTGAGCTACTAGATAGCAGGAATTATAACCCAATTAAATTCAATACTCTATGGAAAAGGAAAAGGCAATGCAGTCCATCTTACTGATAGACAATTTTAGAATAGGTGTCTGTGATAGAACACACACATTATTTAATCCCCAAATAAGGGTAAAGTTTTAAAAGACAGTAAACCATAGCAGGCTCAGATATTATCTCTAAAGATTTTATTTGATATCCAGGATCCAAGAATGAAAAACATCCAACAATTATGAAACCAGCTTTTGCAATGGCTATCATCACCCAGGAAAAGGCATTGTTTAAAAATCCAAAGAAAATGGAGCAATGTTAAAACCAATCAAGCATTCAAGAACAGGTAAGGGATTAAATAAATAATGGTGAATCCATGTTATGAAATATTGGAGCTGTGCAAATGATATTTCAAGTAATCTTTATGACATGGGGAATATTTTCACTATATAATGTCATCTGAAAAAACATGCATAACGCCAATCTGTTTACACAATTTCATCTCAATTATTGAAAAGAACACATATCTATAAGAAAAAAAAAAAAAGGAAGAGGCAGACTCCCGTGGAGGGCAGTTGTGCCAAGCAGAGGCATGGCCTGATGGGCTCATTGGCACCACAGACGTTGCTCTGTGGTGGGAAGAGGAGGCTGGGGGGCCAAATTCTAAGACGTGTGGCTCTCTGCATATATAGCTACGCGCGCGCACACACACACACACACACACACAAAGGATTTTCAACAGAGATGCAATCTACAAACTTCCTAGTGACAGGTATCATGTAGTGAGTAAACCCCCAAAAGAATCTTATGCCTATGAGGCAGAAAATTACAGATTTATCAAACTTTCCCAATTATCCATATCTGTCCCTGTCCCTTTCCTCCCCTCGGCAGAGGATGTCTCATGCTTGTCTTCTCAAAAAATGATAGTTTTGGAAAGGCCCAATGGCTTCATCCGTGAGTTGCTAAGGTGCCAGAAACCTTGCAGGATTTCCCGTGGTCTTCTGCTTTTTCAGTCTCTTTGAGTTCATATTTAGGGGCAGAAAAGCAGGAGAGCCTGAACTTGAGGCCCTGGAGCTGCTGTCAGTAAACCTGGAGAGAAGGGCTGTGTGTCTACACTCCGAGGTGCTAGATCATTATCCCCTTCAGTCTGGGTGTCTGAGAAGCTTGGTCTATCAGTCTAGCAGAACAGACTGAAGATTCCATAGGAACTCAAGGGGAACTGACTCCCGCCCTCCCTCCAGCCTCCAAGCGTGAGAGGGCATCACTAAGTCCTCCTGGGGCTCTGGCTAGAGTTCATCTGGGAGGTCTTAGAAGGCTTAATTTTTCCAAATTCTCCTTCTGCTTTTACAGAATAATCCCAAAGTTGATTTTTTATTGAAGAAAAAAGATCTATATTATAAGGGTTCTTATGTAATTATTACAAAGGTAGCCTACATAGTGCAGAAATTGGAATTTGATTAGTATAAATGCATTTTTATCTGAATTTTTGCAAAGTAAGTTCAATAAGTCATTTGATTTGTTGATATTCAGTGTTTATAATTTTGTAGAGACGTGTTTTAACTTTTACTCTGTATTTCTGTGCTCAGAGAGTTGTTTGATAAGCCTGTGCAACTTGACTTCGGAGTTTTATTTCAAGCATATGTAGTTTGTATCAGGAAATCATATTTTTTTAGAATTATGTATTCATCATAGAAAAATCCTTAATTAGCAGTAGTGAAGGAAAGCTCTTAGACTGAAGACTGATTAGCCCAGCCTCCAGAGGAGATGTACGTTAGTGGGACAACGTCCTCTAATAAAGGAACATTCAAGTCAGAAATCACAGCGAAACACCTTAAATTGTTAACCACGAAGGAAACAGCGCCTCCAAATTGATAAGGCATTTAGATCTGCCTAGGCGTTAAAGAAAGTTTCATAACTGCCCACACATGTATTGCAAATATTGAATCATTAGCAATTACTTTAAATATGTTCTTTGTATTTAAAGTGACAAGAATGTTTTCTCCCTGTGGCATGCTCACCCTGGGTTCTTGGAGAACTTTAGACCAATGATGTGGCCAGCGAGTCCCAGCCCAAATCATGAAATTCAAAGACGTGAGAATATGCTGGCACTTACTGCATGCCGGGAGGGTCTCTCAAAAGGAGAAGGAACTCAGTGGTCACCTGAGGCAGGATCTTTCACACAGCAGCTCTTGTATGCAAAGAGAACATGGCGCAACTCTTTATTAACTACACTGATTTTTTTATTTTTATTTATTTTTAATTTTTTCAGAGCTGCCCCTGCTGATTATAAGGGAAAATTATCTATTAAGATTGAAAACATTAAACTCATAATTTACACTGGTTTCTCAGTTAACGCTCAGTATCCTGTAGGAAAAAGGCCAGTCTGCCAATGTTCTAGGTTACCCAGCCTCGCTGTGACTAGTCAAGATGGCATCAGAAAGGCATCATAGCTCGCCAATAGCAAATGTGTGTGTGTGTATGTGTGTGTGTGTGTGTGTGTGTGTGTGCACTCTGTTCCTAGGCACTGGGGACACTATTGGGAACAAAATGTCAAACTCTTTGTCTTTACACAGCTCATATTTTAGTAGGGAGTTGAAGAAAGAAAATAAACAAATACATGTGTCATATGGTGATAGGTGTTAAAAAGAAACATGGGACCAGGGGCTATAGTGAAAGTAGTGCAGGGAGAATCATTCTAGAAGAGGTGGTCGGGGAAGCCACACTGATGTGGTGGTGACTGGGAGCAGAGATGTGAATGCAGTAAGCTGGCCATCTGGGCTATGTGGGGAACACATTCCTACAGGGCAGAAGACATAATAGGTGCAAAGGCCCTGAGGTGTGAGGGCACCCCCACCCTGGGTGTTTCACATACAATCTTCATGAAAAGCAGTGGGGCTCATGGGACCTTCAAGCCAAGGGAGAGAGTCAGGATCCTGGGTTGCCACGTCCGGGACAAAGGACCTCCCCATGTCATTTCTTCTTGCCTTGCTGACGTTCTCAGCTAGGTCAAGGCTGGGTGTTGCTCCTGATTTATTTCACTCTGGCCCAAAAACTCAGCAGCCTTCCTGGCTGGTGCAGCCCTACCCAGGTGCACCCTGGCCCTACATCTCATATCTGGCTGCACCTCCAGTTTGGGTCTGGCCCAGCTGGGCCACTCTTCAGCCTCTTCGTTTCTGCCAGGTTTACCCCTCTTGATCCCATATACGTCCAGGAGCCAAGAGAAGCTCAGGCCCCGCACCTCAGGGCCTCTCACTTGTTGGCTGTGCTATACCACCTAAGGGCCTTGGCTGAGCCTGAGTTGGCATGGGGGCTGCTTCAGGAGGCCAGTCTTTCCCGGAACCTGAAACATGAATGGGGCGAGGGCCACCCTCCCCACACCAGGACCACAAAGGAGTGGGCTTTCCTTGCATTTCCCCACATCACGTCCTCCACCCTCACAGCACCAGCTCTGTGCTGACAGCAAATGAAGATATTTTCTGCACACATTTGTAGAATGTGTAGGATTGGAGTCTTCCAGGCTTAGCCCACTCTCATCCAAAGGAGGCTTATTATACTGTGAAGCTTCAGCCAACAAATCAGAGGCCAAATATGACATTGTCCAGCTTCAGTTCCATTTGCAAAATATTTCTGCCTTTAGGCCGCACTGCCTGGTGAAGTGTGCCCTCTTCCCTGCCTGTGCCATCTTTTGACTAATAGTCACGTATGTACTGCTACATATTTTTATTAGAGAAGTTACAGCCCCATTCTCACTGTTATCTTAAATTTGAAATTACTACCTCAATTTAAACTAAAGATTTAATTCTTGTAAAGCAAGAATTTTAGGTATGGTCACATTGGTCAATAGTGTAATAAACAATTGTTGTGTAAGAAATAAACACTATACCTATGTATACAGTCTTAAGATTTTATATGTCTTGCATATAGTTGATTGTATCACTTAATGGACAATTTTTAAACTGAAATTTGCATATATATGATAAACGATAGAAAGATAAATGATAGAGAATAGGTTATATATACGTGTGTGTACAAATATATATATATATAGAGAGAGAAATGTATATAATTCACTGAATGATTTCCTTCAGTTAGAAGGAATCTATGCACATCTATTTTTTTTTCCATCTTGTATTAGATGGAAGTTATATTTTTTCCTTAGGCGTTACCATAAAAGGATGAAAGGAGATCAAGGGAGGCCAGAAGGGAGAGTGTCTGTAGCTACATTCCCAATAAGTTCTTTCCAACTGCCACTTAGGCAATTGCTAGAAAAACTATCAGCAAAGAATGGGGCTTGCTTTGGCTTAAACTGTCAACGCTAGGTTGTTTGGGTCCTCACGCTGATCTGTGCCAAGGTGCAATGCTTTATCAAGGCTGCAGACACCTTTCTAGTAGAAGCGCCACTTCAGCCTGGAGGAAGCAGCAGGGAGACACCAGGGCAGGACCCCAAATGCCACAGCCATTCACAGGCCCTCAGGCAGCAGTCACCAGTCCCCATTACTGAGAAATGACTTGCAGTTGTTTGTTTCTCTTATTCTGTCTTGGAAGCCACATTGTGGTTCTTACTGGAGTCTGACTCATTTATATTCATGTTTTAAAGAAAAAATTTTTTTTTTTTTTGAGATGGAGTCTTGTCCTGTCCCTCAGGCTGGACTGCAGAGGTGCAATCTTGGCTCACTGCAACCTCTGCCTCCTGGGGTCAAGCAATTCTCCTGCCTCAGCCTCCCCAGTAGCTGGGATTACAGGCACCCGCTACCACACCCGGCTAATTTTTGTTTTTGTTTTTTTTTCGTAGAAACAGGGTTTCACCATGTTGGCCAGGCTGGTCTGAGGAACTCCTGACCTCAGGTGATCCGCCCGCCTCGGCCTCCCAAAGTGCTGGGATTACAGGCGTGAGACACCACGCCTGGCCAGAAAACATTTTTTAAGTATAGAAAAATGAAATTAACTGCCGTGATTCAGGGTTGGAGGAATTAAGTCAGTTGTTTTGTTTTAAAAGTCTTGTGTTACCACAAATGTGTAGGGAAAGAGTCAGAATAAGAGGCCATTTCTATCCACTCAAGGATGAAACAGGGCAGATGTTCAGTGCCTGCTGCCTCCATTCCAATTCAGCAGCTGCCTGGGGTAACAGGGCCCATATTTCTTTATCTTCTAGATGAGAATAAGCCTGCTTTGAGCACGGCAGACTTTTTTTTTTTTTTTTTTTTTGAGACGGAGTGTCGCTCTGTCGCCCGGGCAGGAGTGCAGTGGCGCGATCTCAGCTCACTGCAAGCTCCGCCTCCCGGGTTCATGCCATTCTCCTGCCTCAGCCTCCCGAGTAGCTGGGACTACAGGCGCCCGCTACCACGCCCCGCTAATTTCTTGTATTTTTAGTAGAGGCGGGGTTTCACCATGTTACCCAGGATGGTCTCGATCTCCTGACTTCGTGATCTGCCCGCCTCGGCCTCCCAAAGTGCTGGGATTACAGCGTGAGCCGCCGCGCCCGGCCGAGCACCGCCGACTTCTAACCATGACTGGGCATCCTGAGCACTCATTCCCCAGCCTGACAAGAGGAACCAGGTGCGCCAAGCATTGGGGGGATGGTCACTATTGCTGACCGGTCTCCCTCGGGCGCTCCACTCTGGGCAGCTGAGCACTCTGCCAGGAGATGGGGCAGAACCACCCCAGTAACCACACACTCCCACTCTGTTCCAGGCATAGCGTCCAGCCTCTCTGGGCTTCCTCTGGCAAAGCCCGTCTAACTGCATGGAGCACAGATCCTGGGGCCACTTCTCTCTGCAAAGCCCTTTCTCCTTGTCATCTGAAGAAATCTGGA
Organism: Homo sapiens; assembly: GCF_000001405.40. Classification (NCBI taxonomy): domain Eukaryota; kingdom Metazoa; phylum Chordata; class Mammalia; order Primates; family Hominidae; genus Homo; species Homo sapiens. Next base: position 62,057,040 of record NC_000009.12, on the reverse strand, counting down.
GAAATTTTCATAGACCTGAAACCCTGAAACCTACACTGGCCCCTCTGGGGTGCCAAGCTTTTTTCTTCTCAGTGGCCTGAATTTTTCTTTAAATTCTTTTTCCCACTTAAGAATGGGGAGAGGGAAGAGGAGGTTAAGGACAATCAGGATGTGAACACCTTAATACCTGAGTGGACTCTCCTCACACTAGATTCACAAAGAAAAATTAAACTACTTTTTAGTGATAGGATCATTTTAACTTTTCTTCCTGTAACATTTTCAAAAATGATATGTAAAAAAGAAAAACATTTCAGGTGTTTTCTGCTGGCAGCCTAGAGAAGTAATTGTTATTACTATTATTTTTACTGTTATTTATACACCCCATTATACTTCAGGGAATCTGAGATGAAAGAAACTAGTTTATAAAAACCAATACAAATTCTCATGATTCAAATAAACTGTTGGCTGGGCGTGATGGCTCACACCTGTAATCCCAGCACTTCAGAAAGCCAAGGCGGGTGGATCACCTGAGGTCAGGAGTTCGAGACCAGCCTGGTGAACATGGCGAAACCCCATCTCTACTAAAAATACAAAAATTAGCTGGCCGTGGTGGCACATACCTATAATCCAAGCTACTTCGGAGGCTGAGGCAGGAGAATCACTTGAACCCAGGAGGCAGAGGTTGCAGTGAGCCAAGATCGCGCCATTGTACTCTAGCCTGGGCAACAAGAGTGAAACGCCATCTCAATAAATAAATAAATAAAAATTTTAAAATAAACTTATAAAATTTCTTATTCTAATAATTTAACTCAGCACAGTTACAATTAAATAGTGTAAAGATCTTTTGGATTTGGTTTTGGCTTTTTTCTCAAATCGCTCTGGGTGGCTCCCTGTTGATGTTCAACCATGTCTGGTTTGGTGGAATATGTAAGTTGAATAGAATGGTATTGGTAGTGATTTTCTGTCAATTGGTAAGTTAAGAAATGATTTAATTATGCAAAAAGCAGACTGTGCTATGTTATGAAAAGACCTCCTTGAGGGCTTGGGGTCTTTTCTTTCTCAGCACTGCTGAAACAGTGGATACCTAGCAAGCTTGGGTACAGTGTCCAGCTGAGGCTTCCACAGCTTACAGAGCAAACCTCACTGCTATGCCAGAGGCTTGTCAGGAGAAGAGCTTGGATCTGGGATACACAATTAAGAACTCATTTAAAAGAAAGATCCTGGAATGTTAAACATCAAAATATCTGTGCATTTATATATACAGTACATACTTAGTATGACACTGGTTACCAACTTGGCTGAGTCTGCTGAGATGGAACACAAACACACAAAAGTCACGTACGTGGATTTGTTACTTACAGATAGGCAGCACCTGGGATTCATGGCAAGCTAGTCCTCCAAGGCTGGGGAAAACTGCTCGGGGGAGGTGTAGTCCTGTCTGTGCATGCCACACTTGTACCTCAGCTAGGGACCCGCAAAAGCAGCCCACCCTGGGTTTTATACTCCAAGGTGAAGTTACCCCCTGGACAAAACATTGAAAGACATTCTGTTTCCAAGGAACTGGAACAGGGCCTGGGCTGTTCTAGCCATTCCTTTCTTCTCTCAGGATGTTGCATTCCCAGTACATTCTACAGTTATTCTTGAGAACTACAAGAGACAGGGGAGAGAACTGGGTTGGTCCAAGGCCACCCAGAGAACTGTCCTGCACTTAGATCCTTCTAACCTTTGCAATTAAGATAAATGCTGCTAATTAGTCAACCTTCTGTTATGATAATTATTCAAACATAATCTTAAGTGCATTTATTATGTAACTAGAGAAATCAGAAACAAATAAACTGAGCATTGAACCCAAGAAGCTGGATGAAAATGCAAAAGAAATAGGGGAAAGATATTAAAAACAAGTTTATAAAATAAAAAAGAAACATTTTTAAGTGACATTTTCTGATTTTTTTCATGTTCATATCATTTGAATATTTTTCTACATGAATATTTGTAGTTTTAGTACTGACTTGTAGGAGCTGTAAATGGCAATTTATTGTTATATAGGATACAAATGTTTTTCATGTATTTATTCACTTTCCTATAAAGTTTATTTACACTATTCTCACTGATAATATTTAAAATTAGAACATAGAATTTAATATTCTTCAGATATACTCATCATAGCTAAATTTGATTATTCTCTTCTGTGTTATATAACTGTCTTCTGAGTTATCTGTTACTGGACATTTGGATGAATAGCTTCAAGGGCATGTGTTGGATATATTAACTAAATACTTACTGAGGTACATTGTTAACAAAAACAAAAGTTCAGTGGAGCTCATATTGATCAGCCAGTTTTCCACAGCAGTATCTTCATTCTGTGGATGACATAAAATCTAATCCTCCAAAAATACTGTTGTGTTTTTCCCTACATGTTTGTTCCTGACTTTAGTAAAGTGTTTAAATCCTTCTAAAAGATTCTGCCTTATATCAAATAATAGAAACAAATACCCAGATTCTTCTGTTTTTAAAGAGTTTAAAGTCAACTGCTTTTTATTTATTTTTTTTCAGAAATGAAAAGTAGGATGTTTTAAAAATACTTCTTAGGGCCGGGCACGGTGGCTCACGCCTGTAATCCCAGCAATTTGGGAGGACAAGGTGGGCAGATCACCAGGTCAGAAGATAAGAGACCATCCTGGCTAACACAGTGAAACCCCATCTCTACTAAACATACAAAAAAAAAAAAAAAAAAATTAGCCGGGCTTGGTGGCGGGCACCTGTAGTCCCAGCTACTCGGGAGGCTGAGGCAGCAGAATGGTGTGAACCCGGGAGGTGGAGCTTGCAGTGAGACGAGATGGCACTGCACTCCAGCCTGGGCTACAGATGGAGGCTCTGTCTCAAACAAAACAAAACAAAACAAAAAAACCTTTATAGGATGAGACCACTACACTTTTTTCAACTGAGATCACTAGGTCATTCTTTTTTTTTTTTTTTTTTGAGACAGAGTTTGCTCTTGTTGCCCAGGCTGGAGTGCAATGGTGCGATCTCAGCTCACCACAACCTCCGCCTCCCAGGTTCAAGCAATTCTCCTGCCTCAGCCTCCCGAGTAGCTGGGATTACAGGCATGCACCACCACGCCCAGCTAATTTTGTATTTTTAGTAGAGACGGGGTTTCTCCACGTTGAGGCTGGTCTGGAGCTCCTGACCTCAGGTGATCCACCCGCCTCGGCCTCCCAAAGTGCTGGGATTACAGTTGTGAGCCACCGCGCCCGGCCTAGGTCATTCTTATCATTGTTTTTACTTAGCACTTTCCCACTGTTGGGATGTAGCCGCTCTTAGATGATATGTGCCAATAGAGGAAATCATCAAAAATGGAAACTCTTCTGTTTCGCCAATATTTCAGTTTCACAATTAACTACTTCCTGATTTTAAGATGATGGCTGGTACAAAATAAACCCATTCCATTTTATTATACCATTTCCTTTTTGAGAGAAGTCAAGCATCAATGAAGATCTGTAAAACTTAGTTGAGTTTTCATTTCTCATACCAGAAGAATTTCCAGGGCTTTATAAACTTAAGAGAGAGCATTCTACTAATCAGTCCACTAAAATACGCTTTGAAAGTAGTTCCAAAATACCTTTTATAAGATTATTTACTATAAGTTTCTTCTGCATAAGTTTGTATATCACCTAACTTTTTAAAAATTATTAAGAATACATCATCATATCTTTCTTTAAATTCATCTTGGACTGATCCACACTATATAATACAAAATGAGAAACAACTAAAGTTGACACAGATAAAAATCTGTATCCATCAGTACTCCTTTTATTAAGCAAAAAATGGAAAACAAACTAAGATATAAGGTATTTTATGAAATTAGGGATGCTATTACGAGGAAAATGTAGTAGTACTGGACCTGTCCAAGGTGAAAAGTTCAAAGAGAGAAATTTTCGTCCACAAGCTAAAAACCCAAAATGGCTACATAGCCAGTGTAAGTGTCAATCTCATTTCTGGAGTGCTGTAAGAAAATAACTATCAGTCTAGAATTCTATATCCAGCACAAATATTCTTCAGGAATAAAGTGGAACATCAAGAAGAAAGTAGAAACAATAAAAAGAGCAAAACTTTGGGTAAATACAGGTTTTCCTTCTACTCTTGAATTTCCAAATTATGTTTGACTATTGAAGTAAAAATTATAATAATGTCTGATGTGATTCTCGATGTATGTAGAAAAAATATTTAAGACCATTATATTATTATTATTATTATTATTTTTGAAACAGAGTCTCCTTCTGTCACCCAGGCTGGAGGCAGTGGCACGATATCGGCTCACTGCAAGCTCTGCCTCCTGGGTTCACGCCATTCCCCTGCCTCAGCCTCCCGAGTAGCTGGGACTGCAGGTGCCTGCCACTACGCCCAGCTAATTTTTTGTATTTTTTAGTAGAGACGGGGTTTCACTGTGTTAGCCAGGATGGTCTCGACCTCCTGACCTGGTGATCCGCCTTGGCCTCCCAAAGTGTTGGGATTACAGGCTTGAGCCACTGCGCCCGGCCAAGACCATTATATTATAAATGGAGAGGGAAAGAGACACAAAAGGGGATATAATTTCTATACTTTAACTGAACTGGTAAAATATTGATACCAGCAGAATATGCTGTTACGTGTGTATAATTTAATACCTAAAGGACTCCCAAAAAGCTATACAGAGAGATATACCCAATAACACTAGAGATAACAAAAAAATGGAATTCAAAAAAAAAAAAATGAAGTAGCCCACAGTGAAACAGGAGAAAGAAAAACATAGATGTAAGAAACAAAGAATAGACACAAAACAAAAAAAGAAGACTTAAACTCTAAAATATCAGTAATTACATTAAATGTAAATAGTTTAATTTAGAAGATTCTAAAAAAAAAAAAACCCCAAAAAAGTATACAAATGAAGAAGAAATTTGAGCTTTCAAGGGATAGGAATCATGGGGGTAGGAAGGTGACAGTAAGGGGTTGCATGAGGGAGATCTCTGTGATGAGGGAGATCTCTGTGGTGAGGGAGATCTCTGTGGTGTGGGAGATCTCTGTGATGATGGAGTATTTCTGTATTTTAATTTCTGTGGTGGTTACACAAATCTACACATGATAAAATGGCAAAACTATACAAACCATATTATGCCATTGTCAAAATCCAAACTTTGACATTGTGCTACAGTTATGTAAGATACATCTATTAGGGAAATTGAGTGAAGGGTATGAGGAAACTGTATTATCTGTGAAACTTTCTGCAAACCTATAATTATTTCCAAGTAAAAGTTTAAAAGACTCTTACAAAGAAACACAGAGATAAAAATATCAATGATTCAATAAAAGGATGGCAAATATACTCTCAGATAAACAAGACTAGGAAAATTTTGCCATAATCATATTATTCTACATCACTAAAGGAATTTCTTATAAAAAGAAGGGAAGTGACAACAGATGGATGTTCCAGAATGCAAGAATAATTAAAGCACTGAGACTGATAAATATAGGAGTTAATCTAAGTGAACGTTGGCCATTGAAAAGCAATAGCATTTTACACACCTAGTAACAGATCCTCAAAATAGATGAAAGAAAAGTTGACAGAACTGAAAAGATAAATATGCAATTCTACAATAATAATAATTGGAGACTTCAACACCCCACATTCAATAAGAAATATATAACAAACAGAACATACGTAAGAAAATGGAGGACTTGAACAACACTATAAACCAGGTGGATCTAAGAGGCATACACAGAATACTCTACCCAACAACAACAGCAAACAAATTCTTAAAGGCACATGAGACATTTCTCCAAGACAGACCATATGTTAGGCCACAAATTAAATCTCAATAGATTTTAGAAGATAGTTGCCATACAAATGGTATCTTCTCAGACCACAACAGGATGAAGTTAGATATCAATAACAGAAAGCAAACAAAAAAGAAATGGAGATCTGCTATTACATGAAATGGACACTGCATTTCAAAAACTTAGTGTAATGGGAAAAGTTTCCTTATCCCCCAGCAGGGCGTGTGATGGGGGTGTGGCTCACTTCTTTGGTGCCCTGCTACTCATACCTCTAGGGGAACCATGCAGACAGGCAGGGCATGGGAAGCGCTGGCACCATGGCAGCCTCCAAGGTTGAGTGTTTACAACTTCTGAAGCCCCAGTGGGCATATATTACAGTTAACTCTTTCAGTTTTGTGGTCTGCAGGTGGCTTGTGTTAATTAGCTCAATTACACACTGTGCCTTATCGCAAGGACAGAGGGCTTTTTGTATCCTGGGTTCTTGCCTTGGTGTACCAGAAATATTAGATCACACGTGGGTTTGGAGAATAAGTGCAAGGTTTTATTGAGTGGAAGTAGCTCTCAGCAGATGGAGGGGAGCCAGAGGGGGGATGGATTGGGAAGGTGGTTTTCCCCTGGAGTGGAGCCGCTCAGTAGCCAGACTCTCCGACTGAATTCCCCTCAGCGTTTCGTCATTCCACTGGTGTCTGCCAAAGTGTTCCTCTGCCTGTGTGTTCCTCTCAATGTCCAGCCATTTGAGTGTCCTTCCACTTGTGTGTGTTCCTCTTGATGTCCAGCTCCTGTGTCTCTGCCCGCTAAGGTCTCAGGGTTTTATAGGCACAGGATGGGGGCATGGCAGGCCAGGATGGTCTTGGAAAATGCAACATATGGGAACGAAAGCAGAAATATCTGTCCTCACCTAGGTCCATGGGCACAGGCCTGAGGGTGGAGCCCTAGCCAGGGACCTTCTCCTCTACCCAACACTGCCCTGCCCTCCTCCTATATCATTAGTACAAAAGAAAGAATGTAAGATATCTCGATACTAATTTCTTTCATTGATGATGTATTGGAATGGTATGATAATACTACGAATATATTAAGCTAAATAGAGTATACTATTAAAAATATTTTTAAAGAAGGAAAACTAGAAAATTCAAAAATTTGTGGAAATTAAACAACACATTCTTAAACAAGCAATGGATCAAAAAAGAAATTGCAAATGAAATTAGAAAACAGAGATGAATGAAAATGAAAACACAACATACCAAAACTTGTGGGATGCACTGAAAGCTGTGCTCACAGGGAAATGTATAGCTATAAATAACTATATTGAAAAGGACATTCCAAATCAGTAACTTAACTTTCCACCTTAAAGAATGAGGATATAAAGAACAAATTAAACTCAAAACTAGAAGGAAATAAACAATAAAGATTAGAGCACAGAAAAACAAAACGGGGACTAGAAAAACAATAGAGAAAAATCAATAAAATCAAAAGTTGGTTTTTTGCAAAGATCAACAAAATTGACAAACTTACCTAGAAAGACTAAGAAGAAAAGGGAAAACATGCAAATGACAAAAATTAGACATGAGAATGGGGACAATACTAGTGATGTTATAGAAATAAAGAATTAAGAGTACTGTGAGCAATTGTATGCCAAACAAATAACCTAAAATAAGTGCATAAATTTCTTAAAACACACAAATTATCTAAACTGACTAAAAAGAAGAAACCAAAGTGATTAACAAATATAAATTTTAACAGATATAACAAATAAAGAAAGAGAGAGAGAATTCTGGAATGGCAAATTAAGAAGCACCGGGAAACTGTCTCCCCCAACTAGACACAATTGCATTGATAGAATATGTCTGACGTAATTCTTTTTTTTTTTTTTGAGACAGAGTCTTTGCTCTGTCAACCAGGCTGGCATTCAGTGCCACGACCTGGACTCACTGCAAGCTCCGCCTCCTGGGTTCATGCCATTCTCCTGCCTCAGCCTCCCTAGTAGCTGGGACTACAGGCGCCTGCCACCACACTGGCTAATTTTTTGTATTTTTTAGTAGAGACGGGGTTTCACGGTGTTAGCCAGGATGTTCTTGATCTCCTGACCTGGTGATCCACCCGCCTCGGCCTCCCAAAGTGTTGGGGTTACAGGCGTGAGCCACTGCAGCCAGGCTGATGTAACTCTTTTGGAACTCTAGAGTCTGTTAAAGGTTTGCGACTTCCAGGGAAAGGTTGGATGGTAAATTGCATTAATTTTGTCAATTTCAGCTCTTAGCACAGTAGCAACTATCCATCCCTTACCTCCACTCACATGGCAGGTAGCTGTGCATGCATTCCAATAGCAGTTTCCATTCAGCTTGCAGAGGCCAGGGTGGCCAAATAGTACCCTGTCCTCCAAATATCAGAGATCTATTCTCTGATTGCTAATTGCTGCTTCTGATCTCAGATATTCTGATAAAGGATTAATATCCAGACTATATGAAGAACTCTCAGATCAGAATATCTCAGACATTCTGATAAAGGATTAATACCCAGACTATATGAAGAACTCTTAATACTTGATATGGTTTGGCTCTGTGTCCCCACCGAAATCTTATGTTGAATCGTAATCCTCACATGTCGGGGGGACCTGGTGGGAGGTGACTGAATCATGGCGGTGGACTTCCCTCTTGCTGTTCTCATGCTATTGAGTGAGTTCTCACAAGATCTGGTTGCTTGAAAGTGTGTGGCACTTCCCCCTTCACTCTCTCTTTCTCTCCTACCACCATGTGAAGAAAGTCCTTGGTTCCCTTTCATCTTCCGCCATGATTGTAAGTTTCCTGAGGCCTCTCAGTCATGCTTCCTGTTAAGCATGCAAAACTGTGAGTGAATTAAACCTCTTTTCTTCATAAATTACCCAGTTTCAGGTAGTTCTTTATAGCAGTGTGAAAACGGACTAATGCAATACTCAACAACAAAAAACAAACAAACAAACATTTAAAAATGGGCAGACGACTAGAATAAACATTTCTCCAAAGAAGACCTACAAATAGCCAATAAATACATAAAGAGATGTCCAACATCATTAGTAGATAGAAAAATACAAATCAAAACCACGAGATACCATGTCACACCTACAAAGATGGCTATACAAATAATAATAAAAATAATAATTGAAAAATAATAAATACTGGTGAGAATGTGGAGAAATTGGAACGTGCATTAAGGGTGGAAATGTAAAATGTGGTGCAACTGCTTTGTAAGATAATTTGGCAGTTTCTCAAATAGTTAATCTTAAGACTACCAAATGACTCAGCAATTCCTCTCCTAAGTATGTATAGAAAACAATGGAAAGCAAGGACTAAAGCAGGTATTTGTGTACTAATGTTCATATCAGCATTATTCATAACATCCAAAAGGTGGAAGCAATCCAAGTGTCCATCAACAGATGGATAGATAAAGAATATGTGGCATTGTGATGGAATACTATTCAGCTATAAAAAGAAACAAAATTTTTATATTTGCTACAACATGAATGAACCTTGAAAATATTATGCTTTGTTTAATAAGGCAGATATAGCAGGACAAATATCGTACAATGCCATGTATATAAGGTACCTAGAGTAGGCAAATTTACAGACAGAAAGTAGAATCAAGCTTACTAGAGGATAAGGAGTGGGGAAATGGGTACTTATTGATTAATGACTACAAAGTTTATGTTGAGGATAATAAAAATTTTTGGTGTAGGGGCCAAGTACGGTGGCTCACACCTGTAATCCCAGCACTTTGGGAGGCCGAGGCAGGCGGATCACGAGGTCAGGAGATCGAGACCATCCTGGCGAACATGGTGAAACCCCGTCTCTATTAAAAATACAGAAAAATTAGCCGGGCGTGGTGGCGGGCGCCTGTAGTCCCAGCTACTCTGGAGGGTGAGGCAGGAGAATGGCATGAACCCAGGAGGTAGAGCTTACAGTGAGCAGGGGTCGTGCCACTGCACTCCAGCCTGGGCGACAGAGCAGACTCCGTATAAAATATATATATATATATATATATATATATATATATATATATATATATTTTTTTTTTTTGGTGTAGATAGTAACAATAGTTATATAACATTGTAAATATATATTTAATGCTACTGAACTGCATACTCACAAATGGTTACAATGATAAAAAGTATGTTATGTATATTTTACCACAATAAAAAATAGAAAAAAATAATGGCATCACCTTGTAGAATGTTTAAGATAAAAAATGAAATTTTATTAACAGCAGAATAAAAAGAGAGGAAGGAAAATAAAGTAAAAGAGTCTTCTAATGCTCCTTTATCATTTGGTATGAGGTCAAGATACAGATTAACTGAGACACTGATCAATTAAGTGCTGTAGTGCTCAATTTTATGTGTTCAACTTTACTAGGCCACATGGTGCCCAGACATTTGGTCAAACATTATTCTGGATGTGTCTGTGAGAGTATTTCTGGATAAATTAACATTTGAATCAGTAGACTGAGTAAGGCAGATTGTGCTCCCCAATGAGAATGGGCCTCATTCAATCAGCTGAAGGCCTAAATAGAACAAGAAAGCTGACCTTTTCTTTCATGCCTGACTGTTGGAGCTGGGATATGCATCTTTTACTGCCTTCAGACTTGAACTGAAAAACGGATTCTTTTTAGGTCTCAAGACTGCTGGCTTTCAGACTGTGTGTGTGTGTCCTGTTGGTTCTGTTTTTCTGAACAATATGGATATTAATATAGTATCTATGTTATAATTATTACAATAAAAATAAAAATATTATACAACTTCTAAATTACAAGGGGGGAAATTAGATAAGAAAATATAAACAACCTAAGATAAAAGAAAATGGAACATGGATAAACTACGAACACAGATATAATGGAAAATACACACCTATATATATCAGTAATTGTTTTAAACATAAACTGACTAAACTATTTATTTTAAAGTAAAAATGAACAGACTATAACACAAAACCCAATTTGCTCCTGTTTTCACAAGACATATATAAAACATTAGGATACAGAAAGGTTAATGATTTAAAAAGTAAAAAGGCATACCAGGAAAATATTAACCATAAAAGCTAATATAGACATGTTATTATTAGGAAGATAAAATAATTATAATATATATACATCTAATTACCTAGCCTCAACACTCATAAATAAAAACATCCCTAGAACTACAAAGAAAATCCTCTACTCTGATTATTTTTCTTTTTAACACATTTTTATCACTAATTAATAGAAGAAACTAAGAGGATTTAGAAGATTTGAACCTCATAAAACTGTCACTCAGTCAAATGCTGCCAAAATACACATCATTTTCAAGCACATACAGAACATTTATTTAAAAAGAAGCACACACTGAACCATAAATAAAATCTCAACAAATTTCAAATGATGGAAAATCTACAGATATTTTCTGATAAGGAAGCCATTAATCTGGAGAAAAATAAAAACATCAAAAATATCTAGAAAAATATGGAAATTAATAAACACGCATTTCATTTACCCATAAGTCAAAAAGAAATCTAAAAATAAGTAGAAAATATACAGATGTCTATAAGAATAATTAGTTCAAAATTACTGTAGGAAAATATATACAGTACATCTCTCTAATAAAAAAATTTACAATAAAAATCCCCTCCACGAGATGGGCCAGCCGAGATAGTCAAATAAAAATAACAAAAGATATCCAGATTGAAAAAGAAGAAGTAAAACTATCTCTACTTATACATGACCTAAGTTTTGTATACAGATAATTCAAAAGAACACCCCGGAAAACTATTAGAACTAATGAGTTCAGCAAGTTTGAAGGATAAAAATCAATATTAAAAATTAATTTTATTTTTATATGTTAACAATGAACATTCAGTGAATGAAATTAAGAAAACAATTTCATTTGACATGTGAGGTAATTCAGGAATGGAAAACCAAATACCACATGTTCTCACTTATAAGCTAAGCTATGGGTAGGCAAAAGCATACAGAATGTTATGATGAACATTGGAGACTCAGAAGGGGAAGGGATAAAAAACTACTTACTGGGTACAATGTACACTCCTCAGGTGTCAGGTGTACTAAAATCTCAGACTTCACCACTACACAATTCATCCATGTATCCAAAAACCACTTCTACCCCTAAAGCTACTGAAGTAAAATATATATATATATATATACACAATTCCATTTGAAATGACATCAAAAAGAATAAAATACTAAGGTATAATTTAACAAAAGAATTGCAAGATTTGTATACTAAAAACTACAAACCAGTTTTAAAAGAAATTAAAGATCTAAATAAATGGAAAGATATTACCTAGACAATATTTTTGTTGTTGTTGTTGTTGTTGTTTGTTTGTTTGTTTTGAGGCAGAGTTTCACTCTTGTTGCCCAGGCTGGAGTACAATGGCACAATCTCGGCTCACTGAAACCTCCCCCGCCTCTCGAGTTCAAGCGATTCTCCTGCCTCAGCCTCCCAAAGACTTAATATTGTTAAATGACCATACTTTGTAAGCTGATCTACAGATTCAACACAATCTCTATCAAAATCTTAGCTAGCTCTTTTTCAGAAACTGACAAACTGATCTTAAAAGTTCTGAAAATTCAGGGACCAAGAATCCCCAAAACAATTTTGAAAAAGAATAAATTTAAAGGATTCCCGTTTAATGATTTTAAAACATAACACAAAGCTATAATAATAAAAACAGTGTAGTATGGCCATAAGAATAACACATAGATCAGTAGAACAGAACTGAGAATCTAAAAATAAATTATTATATTTATAGCCAATGAATTTTTCAGAAGGGTTCTAATAAAAGTGCTTGGAGAAAGAAGAGCCTTTTCAACAAATGTGGCTAGATAACTCAATGCCCTATCTCACACCATACACAAAAAGCTTATTCAAAAAGATTAAAAGCCTAAGTATAAGCATAAAAATCTGTAAAACTTTTAGAAGAAAATAGAGGAGTGAAATTTTCTGACCTTGGGTTTAGGCAAAGATTTTTAAGGTACAACAGCAAAAGCACGAGCAATGAAAGAAAAAATAAATTCGACTGCATCAAAATTTAAAAGTTTCGTGCTACAAACGATACCATCAAAAAAAGACAAAACTTGCAGAAATGAATAAAATATTTGCATGCCATATATCTGATAAGGGTCTTATATCCAGAATATAAAGGAATCATACCACTCTCAATAGTAGCAAGGCAAATAAACCAAATACAATATAGGCAAAGGATTTAAATAGGCATCTCTCCAAAGAAGATGTACAAATATCCACAAACATATGAAAATTGGCTCAACATCACTATTCATTATGGAAATGCAAATCAAAATCACGTCTACAAAGACAGCTATAATCGAAAAGGCAGACAGTAAAAACTTTTGGCAAGGATTTGAAGACATTTAAACCCTCACACACTGTTGATAAATATGTGAAATGATGCAGCCATTGTGGAAAACTGACAATTCCTCAAAAAATTAAACATAGAATTACAATACGATTCAATAATTCCACCATTAGGTGTGAAACATGTTCACACACACACAGACACAAATGTGTACATGGGCCAGGCGCGGTGGCTCACGCCTGTAATCCTAGCACTTTGGGAGGCCGAGACAGGCAGATCATGAGGTCAGGAGTGTGAGAGCAGCCTGGCCAATATGGTGAAACCCCATCTCTACTAAAAATACAAAAATTAGCCAGGCATGGTGGCACGTGCCTGTAGTCCCAGCTATTTGGGAGGCTGAGGCAGAAGAATCACTTGAACCCAGGAGGCAGAGGTTTGCAGTGAGCAGAGATCATGCCACTGCACTCCAGCCTGGGCGACAGAGCAAGACTCTCTCAAAAAAAAAAAGTGCACATGAATGTTCATAGCAGCATTATTCCTAATAGCCAGAAGTTGAAACAACCCAATGTCCAAAATGCCCATTTATCCTGATGAATGGATAAGTAAAATGTGGTACATAAATACAATGAAAGATTATTCTGTCTTAAAAAGAAATGAAGTATTGATATAGGCTACAACATAGATGAACCTTGAAAGCATTATACTAAGTAAAAGAAGCCAGCCACAAAAGACCATATATTGCATGGTTCCAATTCTATTAAATGCCCAGAATAAGCAGGTAGATTAGTGGTTACTTCGGGTAGAGAGGTGAGGAGTTGGTGAAGTGGGGAAGGAGAGGAGAATAGCAAGTGACTGCTAACAAGCATGGGGTTTCTTTTAAGGGAAATAGAAGTATTCTAAAGTTGAATAATGGTAATGGTTTTACAAAACTGTGAATATAGTAAAAAACATTAAATTACATACTTTAAATGGGTGAATATTATGGAATGTAAAATTATATCTCAATAAAACTGTTTTTTTAAAAAACCTTTTCTTATAGAACATATCTTCCCACCTTTCATTATAAAAACTCAGTGCTTAGGCAGGAACTAAAAGGAACTCTGTGTTTGTTTAATGTGTGATTGGGCTTAGGGAAAAGTACTGAATGAGCACAACAGATTGTAACATCAGTTACTTACGGTTTACCCAAATTTTGTATACGTATAATCCAAAAGAATACCCCAGAAAACGATTCCTAATAAATGAGTTCAGCAAGTTTGAGGGATAAAAATCAATATTAAACAATTAATTGTATTACTATACACTCGCAGTGAGCACTAAGTGAATGAAGTTAAGAAAACAACTCCATTTGAAATGTGAAGTAACTCAGAATAGAAAACCAAAACCATATATTCTCACTTATAAGCTAATATGGGTAGGCAAAGGCATAGTGTGGTATAAAGGACACTGGAGACTCAGAAGCGGGAGGGGAGAGCGGATGTAAAAACAGGAAATAGGATAGAAGAGGGGTGTAGAATAATTTTTGTTTGTTTGTTTGTTTTTTGAGACGGAGTCTCCTTCTGTCGCCCAGGCTGGAATGCAGCGGCGCGATCTCGGCTCACTGCAAGCTCTGCCTCCCAGGTTCACACCATTCTCCTGCCTCAGCCTCCCGAGTAGCTGGGACTACAGGCGCCCGCCACCGTGCCCGGCTAATTTTTTTGTATTTTTAGTAGAGACGGGGTTTCACCGTGTTAGCCAGGATGGTCTCGATTTCCTGACCTCGTGATCCGCCTGCCTCGGCCTCCCAAAGTGCTGGGATTACAGGCGTGAGCCACCGCGCCCGGCCGAATAACATTTTTTTAATCATGTAGAAAAGAGAAGATATACACAGAATGTTAACTGAACAGGAAGAATATAAAATTCCGTGTATAATATCTGCAAGTGTAAAAATGTGCAGAAACAAAAAGCGTACAGTGTATGCCCTATTAAAATAATTCTATAGCAAGCTGGCTGGTTTCGTTTGGTTACAATTCAATTATTAGCTGGACAAAAACTGAGTTTTTTGGCCTATTCATGTAAGATCTTTGTTAAGAGGCATATACCATGGAAGTTTTTTTCTCTAAAAGGTTTAAAACCCAAAAGAGTATATGTAGATTCAAGAGAGCAGATAGGAAGCATGCCTTTCATTCTACTTACCCCTGAAATGCCACTAAGATGACAATAAGGGGGTTGTCTTTGTAAAAAACATAATAAACCCATAAGGATGAAAGAAGAGAAAACAGGAACTTGGGGATCTGGAAAAAAAGATGGATATGTGCCATTGACTTAGTAGTTTATATCACGTGTAGAAGAGGTTCGAATTATATGAAATGGTCCCACTCCCAAAGTTCAGGAATTGATGACATTAGGTACACTTGAGAGAAAGGACCATGTAAAGGACATTGCCAGGAGTCACATTACCAGGTCCCCCTCCCAGCTCTAGATAACTGCCTTTCCCCCAACATGTGTCCCATCTCAGGTCCTCTCAACCCCCTTTGACTTCAGCCATGGCTGCACTACCCTGAATGCTTTCTGCAATGAGCTTTACTGAAATTTCTCAGGACACAGCACACAGGTCTGCATAACCTGGGAGTGGAGAGGCATTAACTCCAAAGAAACAACCTGCTTCTGTTGGAGGACAATAGCCATCAAGAGGATGCATTTCATGTAGCTCCTCAAACAGTTCCAGCAGTATTCAGCCCTATCTGCAGAGGTGAGCCCCTATGTAATTTTTTTTTTTTTTTTGAGACAGAGTCTCGCTCTGTCGCCAGGCTGGAGTGCAGTGGCACGATCTTGGCTTACTGTAATCTTCTCCTCCTGGGTCAAGCAATTCTCCTGCCTCAGCCTCCCAAGTAGCTGGGATTACAGTCACCTGCCACTACACCCGGCAAATTTTTGTATTTTTAGTAAAGACAGGGCTTCACCATGTTGGCCAGGATGGTCTTGATCTCCTGACCCTATGTATTTTTTAATTGGCTTTTCCTTCTCTCGGTCATGTTCTCCAGGCCCTCACATTACTGTTTCCTACAGTCACTTCCCAAATAAAATAAAATGCCTACATACCTTTGTACTAGGCTCTGTTTTTAGAGAAAACCCAGGTTAAGAAAAATTTGGTTTAAATATTAGTAATAATGTATAAAAATAAAGTATAGCCCCCCAAACAAGCAATCATTAATCCCAAAGGAAAGAAAATGCTGTTCTTGAAAGGAAGAGTAATCATAGTACCACACACAGCTAAACTTAAAGTAGCAGGTGGGCAGTCATCACAACAAAGGCTGAGTGGTAATCTTACCTCACTGTTGTATGAGAAGATTAGATTGCTGCAAGAATGTGGATGAGAAGTGTGGATAGCTGTTGTATGGTACAATAAGAAACATCCCATGCCTGTAAGATTAATGATGGCCATAAAGCCCACTCAAACATCTCATGGGGTCTACACTATGTTTCACTTAGCAGTATGATGTAACCTGGCCTGGGGATTTCCAGCCCTGGCCGGGAGATGATTACTGGGTCCCTATGAAAATAAGACCTAAAAACCCTGATTGCCTAGGCCACCTCAGCACATATGCCACTTTCATGAATCTTAAAACAAAGCTTACCCTTATATGATTAAAATTCCTCTATGAAAGAAACACCTAATGACTGAAGCCAGATTAAATACAGGAATAAAAAAGGAGGAAGAATCCCCCAAACAATGAGAACAGTCTGTGGATGAAGAACCTCCCCATCAGGTGGTCATCTGACCCTGACTGTATCTGGCCTGTGCCGCCGGCCTGCTCCCGCTATCCCTCTCGTAAGAGCACTGCCAGAATGAACTGCTGGAGCATCAGACAGTGCTGAAGACTCACCTTGGATGCTGAATGAACAGAAGGTGAACAGCTGCGTCTGGAGAAGCTGGTTCACTAGGACCACCCGAGACTACTGAAGATCAGCTTCAGTAGTATCCAGTTATCAAACTGGATACAAGAATGAGATTTGTGTAAGCAAATGAGTAACCACACCCATTCTCACGGGAAAAGCAGGAGGGTAGAAAGGTGAAAAAAAAAAAAAAAACTTTCAGAAATACCCAAAATTAATATGTGTTAACAGGTTGCCACTGCTTCATTGTCCAGAGTTGGGGCAAGTCGTTTATCCATGATCCCACCTTTTCTGCTGGAATACAAAAAGAGTAATTATTGGCTGGGCATGGTGGCTCATGCCTGTAATCCCAGCACTTTGGGAGGCCGAGGTAGGTGGATCGCGAGGTCAAGAGATGGAGAACAGCCTGGCCAACATGGTGAAACCTCGTCTCTACTAAAAATACTAAAATTAGCTAGGCGTGGTGGTGTGTGCCTGTAGTCCCAGCTACTCGGGAGGCTGAGGAAGGAGAATCCCTTGAACCTGGGAGGCGGAGGTTGCAGTGAGCTGAGATCATGCCACTGCACTCCAGTCTGGTGACAGAGCAAGATTCCATCTAAAAAAGAAAAGAAGAAAGAAGAAAAAAGAAAGAAGAAAGGAGAAGAAGACGAAAGAAGAAGAAAGAAGAAGAAGAAGAGGAGGAAGAGGAGGAGGAGGAAGAGGAGGAGGAAGAGGAGGAAGAACAAGAGGAGGAAGAAGAAGGAGAAGAAGAGGAAGAAGAATTATTGTGAAAAGGTTATATTGTGAGTATAAAGAGTAATTATTTTGAAAATATTTTCTCACTTTCCATTTTATCTTTTAACTGTCTGCAAGAAAGATAGAAAATGGCACAAACCTAAATCATTCTCTCTGCTCTCCATCATCTATCTACTCTCCATATTACTCAAGAGTACTGCTTCAAGCCTTTTAAAATTCTGTATTCCAAAGAGAACCAGCTTCCAAAATATGAGTTGTCAGGTCCTCTGAGTCTTGTTTGACATTTGACAACATCGGATACATTCCTCCAATGGCAACAGACAAGTGCAATCTTTTTAGGAAAAATAACCCATGTCTATTTTTGTTGTAGCTGAATTTTTGCATCCTCTTTTTTACCAGAAAAGGGATCTTGATACAAACCCCAAGAGAGTGTTCTTGGATCTTACACAGGAAAGAATTCAAGGTGAGTTGCAGAATAAAGTGGGAAGGGAGAGTTTATTGAAAGCCTCTAGGTTATAGAGTAAGGTATCCTCAGAAAGCAAGAACAGGAATGCCCCATCTTTGTTTTAAGTTTTTCTTACATATACATCTTCTTTATGTAAAGAATAAACTAAGCTTTGCCTATGTGCAGGTGGACTGACAGAATGACAAAATTTATTATTCTATTGATTTAAAGAAAACGATCCTTGACATTTTAGTGTACGAGTACATCAAAGCGTAACTACAACTATCTTGAAAGCATATATTGTTATGGGCATTGGGACATCTGGACTGCCTGTTATTGTAGGAGTTTGTCCTTGCAGGCATTACCACGCTCTTTCCTTGGATGTGAACATGTTAGGACCATGAGTCATGACTGGCAAGGAATGCACCCTGCTAACTTGAAGACGGAGCTGATGTTAAAATGGTGTCACTCGGGCTCTCCTAGGCTTCTGCTTCCCTAACGCCCTTGAGGTGACTATTTTATTCTTGAGTATAAACTGTCAAATGCAAAAAGAAATGAAAGCATGTTCTGAAAATAGGATCCACTCTGTGGAATATACCCAAGTCATTTTCCTTCCTCATTCCCATGACCCGGATTCTACAGTTCCCACAGCAGAGCTGCCTGGACACTGGCCCTTCTAAGCCCACTTTCATTGATCTTTTTTATTTTTTATTTTTTATTACAACCATTGAATAGCCTCACACCTCACATTTTCAGGCAGTGAGCTCTGCTTTTTTGCATCTAGTGTGGGTTGATTTCCCATCTCAACATTAATCCCAAACTTTGTAAAGTACCTTTGTAAGGTGAGGCAGAAAGGCCGATTTCATCAGTTAGCCCAGGTACTCAAAGAAAATGTAGGCATTTATTTCTAAAACAATTGTATATGTTTAGGAAGGTAACTTTTGGATACAGTTACTGTCGACCTCAAACAATACTTGCCTGAAATCTCGTTGCATATTGACTACAGGGAATCAGACACTCCAAAGTTTGGGAGATGATGGTCCTGAACTCTAACAGGAATGATTTAGGTTGGTGTCATTTTCTGTCTTTGTTGCAGACAGTTAAAAGATAAAATGGTCTGGGTGCAGTGGCTCACACCTGTAATCCCAGCACTTTGGGAGGCCGAGGCAGGTGGATCAGGAGGTCAAGAGATTGAGACCATCCTGGCCAACATGGTGAAACCCCGTCTCTACCAAACACACACACACACACACACACACTAGCTGGGCGTGGTGGCACACACCTGTAGTCCCAGCTACTTGGGAGGCTGAGGCAGAAGAATTGCTTGAACCTAGGAGGAGGAGGTTGCAGTGAGCCGAGATTGCACCACTGCACTACAGCCTGGTGACAGAGCGAGATTCCATCTCAAATAATAATAATAATAAATAAATAATAAAATGGAAAGTAAGAAAATATTTTCAAAAGGTTATATTTTCTAGCAAACAATAAATGGATTAACTTGAACTCTCCAGAGTTACAAAAGGCAGGGAGCTCTCCATTGCTGAATGTGTTCCAGAAGAGGCTGGAAACTGAATAGAAAATTCATGAATCGGCTGGGTGCGGTGGCTCACGCCTGTAATCCCAGCACTTTGGGAGGCCGAGGTAAGCAGATCACAAGGTCAGGAGATCCAGACCATCCTGGCTAACACGGTGAAACCCCGTCTCTACTAAAAAAATACAAAAAAAATTAGCCAGGCGTGGTGGTGGGTGCCTGTAGTCCCAGCTACTCAGGAGGCTGAGGCAGGAGAATGGCTGAACCCAGGAGACGGAGCTTGCAATGAGCCGAGATCGCCCTACTGCACTCCAGCCTGGGCGACAGAGCGAGAATCCGTCTCAAAAAAAAAAAAAAAAATTCATGAATCAAAAGTGCAGTTGTGCTTCTAGCACATTAAAGCCTCTTCTAATCTCAAGACTGAAAAGTTAACAAAACCTAACAATTTCATGGGTGAGAAACAAGCGACTCCTATGAGAAAGTAATTGGTAAAGTGGGGAGAGCCATGCAAATAAAATATACTCTTGTCACCATTCAAGGTCACTCCAAACCATAAGCCTATTCTGGAGGCTCCTGGATTAACTACAGAAATTAAAAATGGACAAATGCTTTCCCCACCTACATGCACAGATTAAATCGAGTGTTTCGAAGCACCAAACAGAGGCATTTCTTTCTCTCTCCTGTTTTTGTTTTTGGCATCAGCTTCCATTCTCCCTACTTTTCCAGCCATGTTCCTCAAGCAGGAACTCAGGGAGAGGCCTCCTCCCTTTGGTTGATGAGTGTGATGAATGCGATGGGGTGACTCCTACCGGACCCCAACATGATTGTCTTTGATTACAAGCTTCCACTGCTTTTTTAAAAGGGGGAGCTAAAAAATTGAATACACTTTCCTTGTTATCCAAAAACATCAGGATGGGCAAGAACAGCAGAGCTGCCCCATGAGGTGAGGCCAATCTTCCCACCTTATCTGTCAGTCACTTTTCTCATTAGAAGCACTGATTGTCTTAGGAGTGCAGGCTTATTTCCTTCTGGGTTATGATCTCTTCAATCTGACAATCTGCAGGAGATTTCTTAAGAACCTAATTGATTTACTGAACATGACACGTAAAATTTAACAGCCCAAATAATCAAAATGTTTTTGTGAGCTAAGCAGGATAATATCATTTTTTTAAAAAAGTCTGGTTATAGTACTTCTTATTGTAAAAAAACAGTTGACATATGCTGTTTTTTATATTTCAAAGCAATGTTGTTTTAAAGAGAAATTTAATATGTCTTCCATAAAGAATGATACTGTAGGGGTGGGGAGAGGAAACTGGAGAAGGAAAGCAAAGTTGAGAAGTTTATTCAGTTTATTCAATACAGAAGCTAACACACGGTTTTATTATTTCACATACGAGTGTGATAATGGCAAGAATTCCAGGATGCAGCGGCTGGACCGCCTGCTCAGTCTCACAAGGCTGAAATAAAGATGTAAGTTAATGTTTTCTTCCCTAGACCCCAGGCTCCTCTTCCAAGCTTACTCCTGCTATTGGCAGGATTAAATTCCTGGCATTGGAGGACTGGGGTCCTGGTTTCCTTGTTGGCTGCCAGCCAGGACCTGTCTTGCACCCTTCAGGCCACCCTCATTCCTGCTCTCTTGGCTCCCTCCGTTTCTGAACAGCAGTACACACTGCGTCATTCTCATACTCTGAATCTCTCTGACTTCTTCTACCAGTCAAAAAAAACACTCTGCTTCGAAACTGTGTGATGACATTAGGCCCACCAGATAGTGTCCCTACTCTACAGTCAACTGTGCCATATGACACAACATAGTCATGGGATTCCCTATTCTTGTGGGCTCTGAGGGATTCGGGTATGAAATCATGGGATCACATTGCGAATTCTGTCTACCACACATACGTAGAGAAAATATTTATTGGTTCATTTTATTTCTTATCAGATTTTTCTTTCTTCTCAATGAAATCAATATTTACTGTGCAATTGTGATACACCCCGCATGGATCAAGAGCTCTGCAGGAAAACTCCCACTGATGTATTTTACTGCCACCACCACAGTGCATACTCACAGATCACAAAATAGACCTCAGCAAATGTATTATAAAATGTGACCCAACAGGCTGGGCACGATGGCTCACTCCTGTAATCCCAGCACTTTGGGAGGCTGAGGTGGGCGGATCACGAGGTCAGGAGATCCAGACCATCCTGGCTAACACGGTGAAACCCCTTCTCTACTGAAAATACAAAAAATTAGCCGGGTGTGGTGGCGGGTGCCTGTAGTCCCAGCTACTCTGGAGGCTGAGGCAGGAGAATGGCGTGAACCCAGGAGGCGGAGCTTGCAGTGAGCCGAGATCCAGCCACTGCACTCCAGCCTGGGAGACAGAGCGAGACTCTGTCTCAAAAAAAAAAAAAAAAAAAAAAAAAAAAGCAGAACTGCTCACAGCTGTCCTAAAACCTCCTGATTGCCCATCAAAGCCTCCACATGTGCCTCCACCAGGAAAGTGTGTTCTTTCCACATGCTTGCTGATATCACAGACTTAACCTTCAACCTCAGGCTCTGAGGTTCACCCTGTCCTTCATCTTCATTTCACTGATCAACTCACGTTTCTCCTTTACTCCTATATGTGGAGTCCTATATGTGGAGTCCTATCATGACACGCATGTTCCCATGTGTCATGACAGGACTCCACAGGACATGAGAGCTGTTTAACAAGACTGTGCTGGGCAGGCTGGGCGTGGTGGCTCACGCCTGCAATCCCAGCACTTTGGGAGGCCAAGGCAGGCGGATCATGAGGTTAGGAGATGGAGACCATCCTGGCTAACACGGTGAAACCCCATCTCTACTAAAAAAAATACAAAAACAAAATTAGCCGGGTGTGGTGGCGGGCTACTTGGGAGGCTGAGGCAGGAGAATGGCATGAACTCAGGAGGTGTAGCTTGCAGTGAGCTGAGATGGCACCACTGCACTCCAGCCTGGGTGACAGAGGGAGACTCTGTCTTAAAAAAAAAAAAAAAAAAGACTCTGCTGGGCAGTAGTGATGCTTGTGCATAGGCAAGCCTGCATTTCCCAGCCCTTAACATTAGGCAGGGCCTCATGACTAGTTCTGATCAATGAAATGTGAGCAAAAGTGAGGCCAATGCTGTCAAAGTCCCAGTGTGGTTCTCTGTTCTCTTTCTCCTGCTGCAGCGACCAGAAAGGCCACAAATTCCACCAGAAGCAGTGACAAGAGGATGGAGCCGTTGTCAGCCTAGACTCCTGAGTGTCAGTGTGAAACAGAGCTCCCCATCCACCCTCACTGGACATCTAGCATGAATGAGAAATAATCCTTTTTTTTTTTCTTTTTTTTTTTGAGACGGAGTCTTGCTCTGTCACCCAGGCTAGAGTGCAGCGGCACAATCTCAGCTCACTGCAACCTCTGTTTCCCAGGTTCAAGCAATTTTCCTGCCTCAGCCTTCCAAGTAGCTGGGATTACAGGCGCCCGCCACCACACCCGGCTAATTTTTGTATTTTTAGTGAGAAGGAGTTTCACCATGTTGGCCAGGCTGGTCTCAAACTCCTGACCTCATGATCTACCCGCCTCGGCCTCCCAAAGTGCTGGGATTACAGGCATGAGTCACTGCGCCTAGCCCCTTTGTTGTTTTAACCTACAGAAATTTTGAAATTGCTTTACCAGTGCTTAATGTAAATTGTCCCGATTAAAATAAAAACTAAAGAACAGTATTTAAATGTGACATAATCAAGCATTCTCTTTTACCTATGGAAATATTTTAAGTGAATTCTGATAATCCACAATTCATGTAATGTTTTAAATTTTAAATTTCAGTTTGTTTCACACTTCTCTGAAATACTTTTTTTCTCCATAGCTCAGCATACTGATTTTCACAAAGACATGTAATGTATACAGTAACATTTTAAACGTGGCTTTGAGAGATGAGATGAGAGGTGAAGCAGAGAGGTGCTAATGGCTCCAGTCACTGAGGGGCAGTGAGAAAGCAGTTCGAAGGGAGGAGGATGAGTGTGACGGTTACTGTCATGTGTCAGCTTGACTGGGCCACAGGATGCCCAGATAGTGGGTTAAACATTTCTGGGCATGTCTGTGAGGGTGTTTTCAAAAGAGGTATATATCTCATTAACTTTTTAATTGGCGTACTGAGTAAGGCAGATTGCCCTCCTCAATGTGAGTGGGCCCCATCCAATCCACTGAGGACTTGAATAGAACAAAAATGTCAGAGGAAGTGAGAATTCTGTCTCTGCCTTTCCCTGCCTGACTGCTTGATCCAGGACATTGCTTGGTTTCTGTCCTTGAACTCAGACTTACACCATCAGTGCTCCTGATTCTCAGGCTTTCGGACTCAGACTGGAACTATACCACCAGCTTTCCTGGGTCTCTGTCTTACAGACACAAGACAGAAGATTCTCAGCCTCCACAATTTCAGAAATGCCCCCAGTGAGTGCTGGAAATCTCTGATCAAGTGATTTCGGAGTGGTATACTGCCTAAGACTTCATTGTGTTGGAAAACCACTCACCATTACCCCTAGCAACTCAGTAGCAAATGTTGACTTCCTGTTTTCACAATCTTATGCTCTACTATAGAGGATATAGTAACTACCTAGAGGTTATAGTAACAGAGGGATGAATGCTCCCACCAGGAGACGCAACAACGACTCTACTGAACTGGAGGTTAAGAAAGTCACCTGGCCACTTTGGGTTACTCATGCCTCTGAATCAACTGGCAAAGAAGGGAGTTATTGTGCTGGTTGGGGTGATTAATCCTGACTACCAAGAGAAAATTGGACTACTATTCCACAATGGAGATAAAGAAGAGTATGTCTGGAACATAGGAGGTCCCTCGAGGCACCTTTCAATATTATCATGCCTGGTGGTTAAGGTTGATGGAAAACTACAACAAACCAATCCAGGCAGGAACACTCATGGCCTAGACCCTTCAGGAATGAAGGTTTGGGCCACCACGTAAAGCAAAGAGCCATGTAGTGCTAGAGGGCTTACCGGAGGAAACAGCAATAGTGAACTGTTAAAGGAAGAAGCTAATTATAAACACTAACTACAGCCACAAGACAAATTATAGAAATGAGAACTTTGTCACATATATATCTTTCTTTCTTTTTTTTTTTTTTTTCCGAGACGGAATCTCTCTCTGTCGCCCAGGCTGGAGTGCAGTGGTGTGATCTCGGCTCACTGCAAGCTCTGCCTCCCGGGTTGACGCCATTCTCCTGCCTCAGCCTCCCAAGTAGCTGGGACTACAGGCGCCCACCACCATGTCCGGCTAATTTTTTTTGTATTTTTAGTAGAGATGCGGTTTCACAGTGTTAGCCAGGATGGTCTCGATCTCCTGACCTCGTGATCTGCCCTCCTTGGCCTCCCAAAGTGCTGGGATTACAGGCGTGAGCCACCGCGCCTGGCCGTCATATCTATATATTTCTTATTTAATTATAAATACACTTGTGTGTGTGTGTATGTGTGTGCGGGTGTGTGCGTGTGTGTGTGTGTCCTATTGGCTTTGTTTCTCTGGGAAGCTCTAACACAAAGAGGGTAATATGGTAATATTGTGACACTGGTAAGTGGTACAAACATCAGAGGTGCCAGGCTTTTCAAGGGTAGAAAAAGAAGAAATGATTTGGAAGTCGTAATGAGGCCTATGGAATTGGAGGGGGGATGATGACTAGAGAGAGGCCAATTTTCAATTAAGGCAAGAAATGGGAGAGAAGGTTTAAGTAAAGGATGTCTATATGAAAACTATACTGATCAGGAATTCCACAGAGCACAGAGAAAGGGTTTGAAGAGGAGAAGACTGATGGAAGATGGAGTCAGATTGAGGAACATTCACAAAAGTGGTGAAGGGTAGGGGTGAGAGAGGGAAATTCCAGGAGCCTGTGACAGCGGTAGTGGGGGAGGTGAGGGTCCAGATCTGTTTTCATGGGGAAAGAGCATAATAGGTTTATCATTAATGTAAGTACCCAGCCTGCTGGTGTGGCTGCCTTATGGTAACTGTGCCCTCTAAAAGACCACGTCTCTCATAAGCACCAGGAGTGTTTTGAACATGGTAGGCAAAAACTATGAGTGTGTTAATTTGAATTTAATTTCTTAGCAAATTCTGTGAAAAGATGAAGATGATTAATTCCACTTTTTTTGTATTTTCTTGTGGGCAGGAAGATCCTCCCAACTGCATATCCTGCTGCAGTATTTCCTCCCCCTGTGAGCTCACAGGCTTCTTGGTGTAATAGAATGACTCTGTTACAATTCTGTTGGCTGGAGGTTTCACCTGAGTTTCACAGGGAAGGCCAGGAGGAACTTTTAGTCAAAGCAGCAGATGTTTTTTCTTTCCTGTATGTAAGTAGGAGTTTGAGTGGATCTTGGGACCTCATTGCACAAATGAAGCCAACTGAGATGCTTAAATATATATAAACATATGTCAGATGATTTTAACTTTTTCCACACTGGGCCAGGAGACCTCCAAATCAAGGTAGCACAGCAAGTTCATGCTTCAAAATTTCCCTCTTCTTTGCAAACAACAATAATAAATAAATCAAAAGAGGACACTGTCAAACAGACAGCAGGTCCAAAATGCAAAATAAAATGCCTGTGCCTTGGGATAGATGTGTGGAGAAGGAAGGGAAAGAACAGAGAAAAAGAAATGCCCCAAACACTTACCAATTAAAATCCATTTATATGTTATTAGCCAACCAAATATAGTATGGGTATTTTTTTAGAACTCAATAAACAGAGACCCCTAGAGGTATTTTTTCCTTGGTAGGTCCTTCATAGTTTTATGACAACAGTGTCCCTCCGTGCCCTGCCAGTCCTAACTCACCTCAAAAATGTCTAAATATTTTCATGAACAAAGTACCTAATTCTGGCCATACCACTAATTTTATTCACTTGCTTTTACATTTCTGGGCCTCGGTTTCTTTCTCTAAATGAGGATATTGGACTAGAATTTTTAAATATTTTTGGAGCACTCTAATTTTATCTTTCTACTTTCATAATGATATTAAAATATTTCAAATATGCTTGAGATTCTCATGGTTGTTATTTATATGTATTCGTTTAAGTAAGAAGAAATATGGTAAAAGTATTAAATATACTACAATAAAATGATTGTTTTAGTATTCCCAAACAGACAACAAACATAATTACACTGCAAGAAACTCAAGTGAAATATAGATTTGAAATTATTACTAATCACATCCAAATTGAGATTAACTTCTTAAACATGTAGAGGAAAATCTTAATCTATCCAAATAAATAATATGCCTCTAGCAAGAAAAAAGACTTCATTTTGGGTTGAGTTTTACAGATTATTCCCTTACTTCTCCTTAGTCAATACCTATCTAAAGCAGATGCATCTGACTCATTTAAAGTATCCAGTCAGGAATATGAAGGCCAAATCCACATCTTCCAAGCATGAAGCAAGGAAATAAGGTATAATGATTTTCTGTCAATGAAGCTCATGCATGAAATAAAACTGGGACTCACCATGCAGACTCAAAGCACACAATGACCAAAGGGCCAGAGATCAATCCAAGGTGACTACAACACAGCCCACAATGAAAAAGTCAGGAAAGTGCCTCCGTAAATCCATGCAAAGAATGAGAAAAATAGGAGGTAAAATAAAACTGATGAGTAATAGTATTAAACTTTGCACAAGTCCTGGAAATACAGCACAGTACAACCATGGATCCAATTAGGGGCATCTGGGCTTTTCTCGCCTCTTGAGTTAGAATCAGTTAGAACAGCATTGGTTCACAAAAATTGCATACCTGGCCAAAAAAAGTAGCTCTTGGTAATTATTTCCAAATGGCTGGAGAAAAGAAAGAGGTAACATAAAACATGTGATTGAAGAGTACTGCAGCCTTGGGGCAGAAGGCTGTAAGGAAGATGGTGAATAGGACTTTCTAGCTCTTGCTCCCCTGCAGAAACATCAATTGGAACAACTATCCATGCATAAAACCACCTTCACAAGAACTAAGGAAACCAGGTAGGAGATTTCAGAAAGGATGCACTAAAGAGATAGAAAGGACAGTTGGAGTAGTAGCCTGACTGTAGCTGATCAGTAGCCCCAGACTTTGGACAAACCCCAACTCCAGGCTATCCCCCACAGACTCAGGCTCTAGGCCCACCCCAGGGCCAGGCAGCCAAAGGCTCTGGACTGCTTGCAGCACCAGGCTGGTCCCCATGGTCCCAGGATTCAGACCTACCCAAGAACCAGGCCAACCGCTACAGCTCTCATCTCCAAACAGGCACCCACAGACCCACTCTTCATATTTTCCCCTGCAGCCACACATTACAGCAGAGCCACAGCCCAGTTTCTTCCTGGCAGACTCCAGCACTGGATTAGCCCCCATGGACCCAGGCTCCAAGATGACCCCTGTAGACTCAGGTTTCAGGCCAGCACCTGGAGCCCCCAGACAAAGGTCAACCCTAATGGTCCTAGCCTCCAGGCCAACACCCACACACCCAGCCCCTAGGACAACATTGTTTAAAGAAATAATCACTAAAAAATTCTTAAACCTGGGGAATAATATCAAGGTATAAGGACCAAATGTCTCCAATCAGATTCTATCCAAACAAGACTATAACAAAATGTATTATAATCAAACTATCAAAAATCAAAGACAAAGAGAGAATCCTAAAAGCAGCAAGAGAATAGAAATAAATCACATATATGAGAGTTCCAATAAGGCTAGCAGCATATTTCTTAGCAAAAACCTTACATGGCAGGAGAGAGCAAGATGATATATTCAAAGCCTCAAAGAAAAAAATATGCCAACTAAGAATACTGTACCTGCCAAAGCAGTTCTTCACAAATAAAAGTGAGATAAAGACTTTTCCAGACAAATAAAAGCTGACTTGTCTCACAAGAAATCCTAAAGGAAGCTCTTCAGGCTGAAAGAAAGAAAAGAATGCTCATTGGTGTCATGGAAACATGAGAAAGTATAAAACTCACTGCTAAAAGTAAGTACACAGTCAAATTCAGAATATTCTAATACTGCAGTGATGGTAAGTAAATCATCTGTGTCTTTAGTATGAAGATTAAATAAATATGTATTAAAAATAATAGCTATAATAATTTGCTAAGGGATATACAATTAAAAATATAAATTATGACATCAAAGCATAAATTGGGGGCAAGGGGATGGAGTAAAAGTGGAGACTTTTTTCTATGTGATCAAAGTTAAGTTGTTACCAAATATAAACAGTCCGTTATAAGAGGTTTTATGTAAGCCTAATGGTAACTACAAAATAAAAACTTATAGTAGATACGCAAAGCAAAAATAAACAAAGTCAAAAATTGTTACAAGAAATGAATTAAGGTCATTATATATTGATAACTCATAAATTTATCAAGAATATAAAATACTTATAACTGTATAGATACCAAAAATCAGAACTCCAAAATACATGAAACAAACATCGATAGACTTGAAGGAAGAAGTAGATAGTACTACAATAATTGTTGGAGACTTCAATACCCCACTGCATTTGGCAAATTATATGCCCCATATCACTTGAATGTGGCCTGGCCTTGCCAAAGCTCATGTGGAAACTTGTTCCTCCATGTAACAGTGCTAAACGGAGGAGCCCACTGGGAGGTGTTTGGGTCAGTGGGTGTATCTCTCTCTCTCTTGCTTTCTTTTTCACCACGTGATCTCTTTGCACACGCCCACACCCCATCCACTTTCTGCCATGAGTGGAAGCAGCATGAGGGAGGCCCTCACTAGATGCAGCTGCTCAATCTTGAACCTTCAAGTCACCAGAATCATGGGCCAAGTAAACCTCTTCTCTTTATAAATTACCCAGTCACAGGTAGTCTGTTACAGCAACACTAAATGGACTCAAACAGTCACTTTCAATAACAGATAGAACATCTAGACAGAAGATCAATAAAGAAATAGAGGACTTGAAAAACACTGTAAATCAACAAGACCTAACAGACATATAGAAAATACTCCACCGAGGCCAGGCGCGGTGGCTCATGCCTGTAATCCCAGCACTTTGGGAGGCCGAGGCGGGCTGATCACGAGGTCAGGACATCAAGACCATCCTGGCTAACACGGTGAAACCCCGTCTCTACTAAAGAATACAAGAAAAAAATTAGCCAGGTGTGGTGGCGGGCACCTGTAGTCCCAGCTACTTTGGAGTCTGAGGCAGGAGAATGGCGTGAACCCGGGAGGCGGAGCTTGCAGTGAGCCGAGATCTGCGGCACTGCACTCCAGCCTGGGCGACAGAGCAAGACTACGTCTCAAAAAGAAAAAAAAAAGAAAATACTCCACCAAACAATTGCAAAATACACAAAGCACGTGGATCATGTGTCAGGGTAGGCCATAAAACAAGTTTCAATAAATGTAAAAAGATAAAGTTATGTAAATTATCTTCTCTGACAAATACAGAATGAAACTAAAAATCAATAACAGAAGAAAAACTAGAAAATTTACAAATATGTAGAAATTAACACAATTTTAAGCAGCCTATAGGTCAAATAAAAAGTTATAAGGGATATTAGAAAATATTTTGAGCCAAATGAAAATGAAAACATGATATACCCAAATTATGAATGTAGTCAAATCATTGCTCAGGCCAGGTGTGGTGGCTCACGCCTGTAATCCCAGCACTTTGGGAGGCCAAGGCGGGCAGATCACCTGAGGTCAGGAGTTTGAGACCAGCCTGGCCAACATGGTGAAACCCCGCCTCTACTGAAAGTACAAAAATTAGCCAGTTGTGGTGGCAGGTGCCTGTAATCCCAGTTACTTGGGAGGCTGAGGCAGGAGAATCGCTTGAACTTGGGAGGCAGAGGCTGCAGTGAGCCGAGATTGCGCCACTGCACTCCAGCCTGGGTGACAGAGCAAGACTCCGTCTCAAAAAAAAAAAAAAAAATTACAAACTATTTTATGCCAACAAGTTAGATAACCTAGATGAAATTAGCAAATTCCTAGAAACACACAATCTATCAAAATTGACTCGAGAATAGAAAATCTGAATAGACCTATAACAAGTGAAGTAATTCAATCAGTAATTAAAACTTACCACCAACAACAAAAAAGTTCAGGACCAGATAGCTTCTCTGATTAACTCTACCAAACATTTAAAGAGGGATTCACACCTATTGATATAATCGTATAGTTTTTAATTTTGTTTATGTGATGTATCACATTTATTGACTTGTGTATGTTAAACCATCCTTGCATCCCTGATATAAAACCCACTTGTTCATGATGCATTATCTTTTTCATATGCTGTTGGATTCAGTTAGCTAGTATTTTGTTGGGGATTTTTGCATCTATGTTCGGGGATATTGGTTTGTAGTTTGTTTGCTTTGTTATGTCCTCTCCTCCTTTTGGTATTAGGGTGATACTGGCTTCATAGACTGATTTATGGAGGATTCCCTCTTTCTCTATCTTTTGGAATAGTTCCAGTAGGATTGATAACCAGTTCTTCTTTGAATGTCTGATAGATTTCAACTGTTAATCCATCTGGTTCTCGATTCTTTTTTTGTTGGCAGTGTTTTGTTTTGTTTTTTTAATCACTGATCAATCTTGCTGCTTGTTATTGGTCTGTTCAAGGTTTCTATTTCTTCCTGATTTAGTCTAGGAGGGTTGTATATTTCCAGCAGTTTATTCATCTCCTCTAGACTTTCTAGTCTGTGCATGTAAAGGTGTTTATAACATCCTTGAATGATCTTGTGTATTTCTGTGGTATTGGTTGTACTATCTCCAGTTTCATTTCTACTTGAGGTTATATGAATCTTTTCTCTTCTTGGTTAATCTCCCTAATGGTCATCAACTTTGTTTATCATTTCAAAGAACCAGCTTTTCATTTCATTTATCTTTTGTATTTTTTGTTTCAATTTCATTTAGTTCTCTTCCATCTTTGTTATTTCTTTTCTTCTGCTGAGTTTCAGTTTAGTTTGTTCTTGTTTCTCTAGTTCCTTCAGGTATGACATTAGGTTTTCTATTTGTGTTCTTTCAGACTTTTTGACGTAGGCATTTAATGCTATAAACTTTCCTCTTAGCACCAGTTTTGCTGTATCCCAGAAGTTTTGATAAGTTGTGCCATTGTTCTCATTCATTTCAAAGAATTTTTAATTCCTATCTTGATTTCATTGTTAACCACCAAATCATTCAAGAACAGATTATGTAATTTCCATGTATTTATATCATTTTAAGTGTTCTTTCTGGAGTTGCTTTCCAGTTTTATTCCACTATGGTCTGAGAAAATACTTGATATGATTTCAATTTCGTTAAATTTGTTGGGACTTGTTTTGTAACCTATCATAGGTTATCTTGGAGAACGTTCCATGTGCTGATGAAAAAAAATGTATATCCTGCAGTTGTTGGGAAGAATGTTTTGCAATTTTCTGTTAAGTACATTTCTTCTAGGGTATAGTTTAAGTCCATTATTTCTTTGTTGACTTTCTGTCTTGATGACCTGTCTAGTGCTGTCAGTGGAGTATTGAAGTCCCCCACTATATTTGTACTGTTGTTTATCTCATTTCTTAGGTCTAGTAGTAATTGTTTTATAAATTTGGAAGCTCCAGTGCTAGGTGCATATAAATTTAGGATCATAATATCTTCCTGTTTGACTAATCCTTTTATCATTATATATAAATCCAGCATTCCTTTATAATAAAAACCTTCCTCAAAATAAGCATAGAAGGGACATATCTTAAAGTAATAAAAGCCATATATGACAAACCCATATGCAACATCATACTGAATAGGGAAAAGCTGAAAGCATTCCCCCTGAGAACTGGAACAAGACAAGGATGCCCACTTTTACTGCTTCTACTTAACACAGTACTGGAAGTGCTGGCCAGAGCAATCAGACAAGAGAAAGAAATAAAGGGCATCCAAACTGGAAAAGAGGAAGTCAAACTGTTGCTGTTCACTGCTGATATAATTCTATACCTAGAAAACCTTAAAGACTCATCTGAAAAGCTCCTAGACCTAACAAATGAATTCAATAAAGTCTCAGGATACAAAATAAATGTACATAAATCAGTAACACTGCTATACACCAACAGTGACCAAGCTAAGAATCAAATTAAGAATTCAATTCAGCCAGGCATGGTGGCTCATGTCCGCAATCCTCAGCACTTTGGGAGGCTGAGGCAGGTAGATCACCTAAGGTCATGAGTTCGAAACCAGCCTGGCCAACATGGAAAAACCCACTCTTTACTAAAAATACAAAAATTAGCCGGGCACATTGGTGGGCACCTGTAATCCCACCTACTCAGGAGGCTAAGGCAAGAGAATCACTTGAACCTGGGAGGCAGAGGTTGCAGTGAGCTAAGATTGCACCATTGCACTCCAGCCTGGGCGACAGAATGAGACTCCATCTCAAAAAAAAAAAAAAAAAAAAAAAAAAGAATTCAATCCCTTTTACAACTGCAAAAGTAAAACAAAATACTTACAAATATATTTAACCAAGGAGGTGAAAGATCTCTACAAGGAAAACTACAAAACACTACTGAAAGATTCATAGATGACACAAACAAATGGAAACACATCCCACACTCACAGATGGGTAGAATAAATATTGTGAAAATGACCATACTGTCCAAAGCAATCTACAGATTCAATGCAATTCCCAACAAAATACCGTCATCATTCTTTATAGAACCAGAAAAAGCAATCCTGAAATTCATATGGAACCAAAAAAGAACCTGCATAGCCAAAGCAATACTAAGCAAAAAGAACAAATCTGGAGGCATCACATTACCCAACTTCAAATTATACTACAAGGCTAAAGTCACCAAAACAGCATGGTACTGGTATAAAAGTAGGCACATAGACCAATGGAATAGAACAGAGAACACATAAATAAAGCCAACATACTTACAGCCAACTGATCTTCAACAACACAAACAAAAACATAAATTGGGGAAAGGACACTCTCTTCAATAAGTGGTGCCGGGAAAACTGGGAAGCCACACATAGAAGAATGAAACTGAATCCTCATCTCTCACTTATACAAAAGTCAACTCAAAATAGCTTAAATCTAAGAAAACTTAGACTTAAATCTAAGACCTGAAGCCATAAAAATTTTAGAAGATAACATCAGAAAAAGTCTTCTAGACATTGGCTTAGGCAAAGAATTCTTGACTATGACCCCAAAAGCAATGCAACAAAAACAAAAATAAATACATGACACCTAATTAAACTAAAAAGCTTCTACAAAGTAAAAGAAATAATCAGCAGAGTAAACAGACAACCTACAGATTGGGAGAAAGTATTTGCAAATTATGCATTTGACAAAGGACTGATATCCAAAATCTACAAGAACTCAAACAAATCAACAGTAAAAAATAATAATAGTTCCATGAAAAAGTGGGCAAAGGACATGAATAGACAATTGTCAAAAGAAAATATACAAACATCCAACAAAGTGAAAAAAATGCTCAACATCACTAATTATCAGGGAAATACAAATTAAAACCACAATGAGATATCACCTTTCTCTTGCAAGAATGGCCATAATTAAAAAGTCAAAATACAATAGATGTTGGCGTGGATGTGGTGGAAAGGTAACACATCTACACTGCTGGTAGGAATGTAAACTAGTACAACCACTATGGAAAACAGTATGGAAAAACTAGTTTTCCACTGCGGAAAACACAGATTTTTTTTTTGGTTTTTTATTTTATTTATTTATTTATTTTTTGAGACAGAGTCTTGCTCTGTTGCCCAGGCTAGACTGCAGTGGCACCATGTTGGCTCACTGCAAGCTCCACCTCCCAGGGTTCACGCCATTCTCCTGCCTCAGCCTCCCGAGTAGCTGGGACTACAGGCACCCGCCACCATGCCCGGCTAATTTTTTGTATTTTTTAGTAGAGACAGGGTTTCACCGTGTTAGCCATGATGGTCTTGATCTCCTGACCTCGTGATCTGCCTGCCTAGGCCTCCCAAAGTGCTGGGATTACAGGCGTGAGCCACTGCGCCAGGCCGGAAAACAGTTTTAAAGGATCAAAAGTAGAACTACCATTCGATCCAGCAATCCTGCTATTGGGTAAGTACCCAAAGGGAAATAAGTCACTATATGAAAAAAGATACATGCACACACATGCATGTTGATAGCAGCACAATTTGCAGTTGCAAAGATATGGAATCAACCTAAGTGCCCATCAACCAATGAGTGAATAAAGAAAATGTAGTATATATACACCATGGAATACAACTCAGACATAAAAAGAAATAAAATAATGTCTTTTGCAGCAACTTGGGTGGAGTTGGGGGCCATTATTTTAAGTGAAGTAACTCAAGAATGGAAAACCAAATATCATATGTTCTCCCTTTTAAGTGGGAGCTAAGATATGAGGATGCAAATACATAAGAATGATATAATGGACTTTGGGGACTCAGGGGAAGAGTGGGAGAGGCATAAGTGATAAAAGACTACATGTTGGGTACAGTGTACACTGCTCAGGTGACAGGTACACCAAAATCTCAGAAATTACCACTAAAGAACTTATCCATGTAAGCAAAAACTACCCGTACCTCCAAAACTATTGAAATAAAAATACAAATTAAAAAACAATTAATATCTATCCTTCTCAAGCTCTTCCAAAAAATTGAAAAGGAGGGAACACTTTCTAACTTATTCTATAAGGACAGCATTACCCTGATATGAAAACCAGGGAAAGATATTCCAAGAAAAGAAAGCTACAGACCAATATCCCTTATGAATAAAGATACAAAAATCCACAACAAAATGCTAGCAAATAAAATCCAACAGCATATTAAAAGGATTTTATACCATATCTAAGTGGAATTCAGCCCAGGAAAGCAAGGATGGTCCAACATTAGAAACCCAATGTATTATATGACATTAATAGGATAAAGGTGTGTGGGGGCGAGGAGAAATTCAGGATCATCTCAACTGCAGAAAATGCATTCAACAAAATCTGCCACACTTTCATGATAAAAATCCTCAAGCCGGGCATGGTGGCTCACATCTGTAATCCCAGCACTTTGGGAGCCTGAGGTGGGTGGATCATGAGGTCAGGAGTTTGAGACCAGGCTGGTCAACATGGTGAAACCTCGTCTGTACTAAAAAAAAAAAAAAAAAAAAAAAATGAGCTGGGCTTGGTGGCAGGTGCCTGTAGTCCCAGCTACTCAGGAGGCTGAGGCAGAAGAATCACTTGAACCCGAGATGCGGAGGTTGCAGTAAGCCAAGATCGAGCCACTGTACTCCAACCTGGGCGACAAAGCTAGACTTCGTCTCAAAAGAAAAAAAAAATCCTCGTATAAAATTAGAAATTGAAGGGGAATTCCTTAACATAAAATAAGGGCATTTATGAAAAACCCATAGTCAAAATCATATTCACTGGTTAAAGACTAAAACTTTCCCCTAAGGTCAGGAACAAAACAAGGAGGACCCCTTTTACCACTTTCATTTAACATTGTACTGGAAGTTCTAGCCAGAGAAATCAGAAATGAAAAATAAATAAGAAGCATCGAAAGATCTCTATTCACTGATAAACCTAGATATAGAAAATCCCAAAGAATCCACTACTACAGCTAATAAACAAATTCAGCAAAGGTACAGCTGAACACAAAAATCACATGTGTTCTTAGAAAGGCGCAGTGAATAATTTAAAAACTAAATTAAGACAATTCCATTTATAATAGCATAAAAATGATTTAAAAAACCTCAAATTAAATGTTATCAAGGAAGTGAAAGTATTACACAATGAAAACTACAAACCATTGCTAAAAGAAATTAAAGAATACCTAAATAAATGGAAATATGCCTTGTGTTCATGGATTGGAAGACTTGATATTGCCACAATGGCAATACTTAAACAGATCTAGTTTCAATACAATCTATGTCAAAATTTGAATAGCCTTTTTGCAGAAATTGAAAAGCTAATTATCAAATATGTAAGGAATTGCAAAAGATCTCGAACAGCTAAGACAGTATTATTGAAAAAGAAGAGTAAAGTTGGAGAACTCACACTTTCTAATTTCAAAACTTATTACAAAGTTAACAATAATCAAAACAGTGTGGCACTGTTTATCCTTATGGATAAACATATAGATGAGAAAAATAGAATTGTGATTCCAGAAATAAGCCCATTCATTTGTGGTGATTAATTTTTGACGGGGTGCAAAGACCATTCAATGGGGAAAGAATAGTCTCTTCAACAAATAGTGCTTAGACAACCAAATAGCCACGTGCAAAAGAATGAAGTTGAACCCTTATTTCATACCATATAGAAAAACTAACTCAAAATGTATCAAAGACCTAAATGCAAGAGCTAAATCTACAAAACTCTTAGAAGAAAACCTATGGTTAAATCTTCCTGATCTTGAATCTGAGATTAGGTTCTCAGATACAGATTAGGTACATACATGTTCTTAGACATGACCCCAAAAGCATCAACAACAAATTAAGAAATATATAAATTGGGCTCCATCAAAATTTAAAACTTTTGTACACCAAATGATATTATTAGGAAAGTTTAAAAATAGCCTACAGAATGGGAGAAAAAAATTGCAAATCTCTAAATGATGTGTCTATATAAAGAACTTTAACTACTCAACAATAGAAAGACAAACAACTCAATTAAAATGAAATGGTCAAAGAGTTTATATAGGTATTTCTCCAAAGAAGATCTACAAATGGCCAACAAGCACATGAAAAGATGTTCAATATTATTAGTTATTAGAGAAATACAAATCAAAACCACGATGAGATACCACTTCACTACCAGGATGGCTATAATTAAAAAAAAATATTAAACACCAAGTGTTGGTGAAGATGTGGAGTAAATCATACATGGCTAGTGATGATGATGTTTGCGGAAAACAGTTTGGCAGTGGTCAAAAAGTTGAACATAGAATTACTATATGACTCAGCAATTTCACTCCTAGGTATATACCCCAAAGAAATGAAAACGAGTTCTCAAACAAATACATGTACATACATGTTCGAAAGAGCTCTATTCAAAACAGCCAAAAGTTGGAAACAACCCAGATGTCCGTCAACAGAGGAATGTATAAACAAATTATGATATACACATATAGTGGAATATTATGCAGCCATAAAAAGAAGTGGAGTACTGATAAATGCTATAACATGAATGAACCTCAAAAACATTATGCTAAATGAAAGAAGTCAGGCCCACAAAAAATTATACAGGGTTATTGTATAATTTCATTTATATGAAATATCCAGGATAGGTAAACCCATAGAACAGATCGGTGGTTGACAGAGACAGGAGGAGAGGACAGGTGGGATTTGACTGCTTACATGGTTTTATTTTGCAGTGATGAAAATATTTTGAAACTAAACAGAGGTGGTACTTCTATAACATTGTAAATATGCTCAGTGTTACCGAATTGTTCACTGTAAAATGGTTAACTTTATGTTACGTGAATTTTACCTCAATTTTTTTCTAAAAGCAAGACAAAATTATTTGCTGTATTATAAACATATAAAATTCGAAAGAGTTTGCTTTTTAAAAAAAGTAACCATTTACTGGTACCAAAACAGATATATAGACCAATGGAACAGAACAGAAGCCTCAGAAATAATGACACACATCTACAACCATCTGATTTTTGACAAACCTGACAAAAACAAGCAATGGGGAAAGGATTCCCTATTTAATAAATGGTGTTGGGAAAACTGGCTAGCCATATGCAGAAAACTGAAACTGGATCCCTTCCTTACACCTTATACAAAAATTAACTCAAGATGGATTAAAGACTTAAATGTTAGACCTAAAACCATAAAAACCCTAAAAACCCTAGAAGAAAACCTAGGCAATACCATTCACAACATAGGCATGAGCAAAGACTTCATGACTAAAAACACCAAAAGCAATGGCAACAAAAGCCAAAATTGACAAATGAGATTTAATTAAACTAAAGAGCTTCTGCATAGCAAAGGAAACTGTCATCAGACTGAACAGGCAACCTACAGAATGGGAGAAAATTTTTGCAATCTATCCTTCTGACAAAGGGCTAATATCCAGAATCTATAAGGAACTTAAAGAAATTTACAAGTAAAAATAAAAAACCCCATCCATCAAAAAGTGGGCAAAGGATATGAACAGACACTTCTCAAAAGAAGACATTTATGTGGCCAAAAAACATATGAAAAAAAGCTCATCATCACTGGTCATTAGAGAAATGCAAATCAAAACCACAATGAGATACCAAAACCACAAAGAGATTGCCAGCTAGAATGGCAATCATTAAAAAGTCAGGAAACCACAGATGCTGGAGAGGATGTGGAGAAATAGGGATGCTTTTACACTGTGGGTAGAAGTGTGAATTAGTTCAACCATTGTGGAAGACAGTGTAGCGATTCCTCAAGGATCTAGAACCAGAAATACCATTTGACCCAGCGATACCATTACTGGGTATATACCCAAAGGATTATAAATCATTCTACTATAAAGACACATGGAAATGTATGTTTATTGCAGCACTGTTCACAATAGCAAAGACTTGGAACCAACCCAAATGCCCATCAGTGACAGACTGGATAAAGAAAATGTGGTACATATACACCATGGAATACTATGCAGTCATAAAAAAGGATGAGTTCACATCCTTTTCAGGGACATGGATGAAGCTAGAAACCATCATTCTCAGCAAACTTACCCAGGAACAGAAAATGAAACACCCCATGTTCTCAGTCATTAAGTGGGAGTTGAACAATGAGAACACATGGACACAGGGAGGGCAACATCACACACTAGGGCCTGTCGGTGGGGGTCGGGGTGGGGGGCTAGGGGAAGGATAGCATTAGGAGAAATACCTAATGTTGATGATGGGGTGAAGGGTGCAGCAAACCACCATAGCACGTGTACACCTATGTAACAAACCTGCACGTTCTGCATATGTATTCAGAACTTAAAGTATGTGTGTGTGTGTGTGTGTGTGTGTGTGTGTATACAGTCACCATTGAAACTAATAAGAAAATTTTATCGCGTGGCTAGAAACAGGTAAATTTTACAGAGCAACTTTCCTTTATGATGGAAATAATCAACCAGAAAATTGAAATAAGGAAAAAGATTATATTTGCATGTCAGAAAAACAAGAAAATACCTAGGAATAAACCTAATAAGATAGGTTCAAGGTCTGGATGAATGTGATGTCATGTTCCTGATCGAGGAAAAATCAAGCAAAAGTTGAGGAAGCCGTGGGGAGGCAGTGGGTACACAGGGCCAGTCCCTCCTCCTGTCCCCACAGAGAACCTGTTCTGTGTCCTCCTCCTTGGGGAGATATACCTCAGCATCATTTATACTTTACTATGTTCCTGCTAAGTGAAATGATTCAAGTGATTCCAACAGCAAATGTGTCAGACCCTATTCAAGGCATTGGGATGCACCAACTCTGACCACATAGAGCAGGGGGTGGGGATATGGAGTTGTCAGGAGGGTGAGAGGCTTACATTTTAAACGTAGGTCAATGTATGTGAAGGAAAAATACAAAATCCCATTTAGTTGCATGTATTATTTTATTCCTCTCATTCAAAATAGTAATAGTCAAAAGAGTACTATATATATATATGTATTTTTTTTTTTAATGAAACTTAAGAAATACTGGCCAGGGCCAGGCGTGGTGGCTCACGCCTGTAATCCCAGCACTTTGGGAGGCCGAGGCGGGTGGATCACAAGGTCAGGATATCGATACCATCCTGGCTAACACAGTGAAACCCCGTCTCTACTAAAAATACAAAAACAAAATTAGATGGGTGTGGTGGCAGGCACCTGTAGTCCCAACTACTTGGGAGGCTGAGGCAGGAGAATGGCATAAGCCTGGGAGGCAGAGCTTGCAGTGAGCTGAGGTCACACCACTGCACTCCAGCCTGGGCAACAGAGCGAGATTCCGTCTAAAAAAAAAAACTAATAAATAAAAGTCTAAAAGTTAGCCATGTTACCATCCCCTAGAAATGGTTATAACTATTTAAATATTTAAACTTCTAATGGTATATTTTGAGACAGATTATATTACAAAAATCAGTACAGAGTTGCCTGGTTTTCTGCCTCACCCTTTTAACTTAATTATAAACATTTGTAAATGTGACATTGAAAAAGTAGAATAAAATCATAAAGCATCATATATTTTTTTCTCAAAAATGTCCTAACAAAAGTGCTTTTGAGGCCGATTTTGGGAGACTCTTTTGCATAAAACTTGAGCCAGTTCATAACTGATCTTGGGTGACATTTAAAAGAGGTGACAATTGAGGAAGTTGCTGTTCCCATAAGGATCACATGAGGACAATCCCAGGAAGCCCGGCTGCAAAACCAGAGACATTGGGTACAGCCCACTGGAGCATCAGCCTCACCGCCGGGGACACTGGTCTCAGGGATAGGAAGTGTGTGGAGGGGGTGGGAAGGAGGAATAGCAGTGCCCACAGGGTTTCCAGGGCCCAGGGGAGGCCCTCAAGGGGCCTAGGATCAGGACTGTTTACCAACCAATATTAAAGTATTTTAATATTTTAATAACCAGTGCAACCACACCAGTACATCTCAGCTAAACATCAGCCCTGGCCACAACAGTATTATTTCAATAATTAGGATGTCCACTTCCATGCAATAGTCAAAACTTTGATTTTCTCTACTTCTCCACCTCAGACCTGCTTCAAACTGGGAAGAGAGCTCACTGAGTATGTCTATCTGGGGGAAGAAAGGCATGAAAGAGAGATGAAGAACAGAAAAGGCCCTATTTAATCTGATGTTACAGAATGTTCACAACCGGCTCTATCCCTGAAAGATTCCTACTGAGAGATCCACAGTGATTTCCCATTTTGCACACCCAGTTATGTCTCAAGATACAAGCAATGTGGCTCTTCCTGCTGACTCCTTTCAGGCACCACTTCCAGCATCCGCCCCTGGAGGTGCAACCCACAGCCTCTCCGCTGGTGCCCCTCAACTCTTGGTCAGGGTCCCTTCTGCACAGCTCCACCTCAATTACCTCCTAGACTGTACTTGACTCATGGGACCCCCTTGTCATGCAAATGATGAAAGTGTAGGCACTCACACCACTTTCCTCTCTTCTTACCGTGGTTCCTGGTTCCTCTCAGTGTCTTGGACCTGTGGTTTTCACAGGCAGAGGTCCAACATTTGCTTCTTAATTTGCTCCTAGAATCCAGGGAGATGATACAAGCTCATAGAATAGCCTCCTTACAGGCCCTCCTGCCAGGCAAGGATGTGGGAGAGTAAATATTCAACCGCACCCAGCAACATTCTCCTGAGAAATCTCCCTATTCAACCATTCAATGCAATTGTCTTCTATCCTTGAATGGATCTTGAACAAAGGTCTGTCACAAAGCTATTCACCAATTCATCTGCAAAATCCAAGAAAATGATTAAGCATCATTTTTATAATGACTAAGGACTTGACATCTTTTGTTTCTTTTTTTTTTTTTTTTGAGACGTAGTCTTGCTCTGTCGCCCAGGCTGGAGTGCAGTGGCGCGATCTCGGCTCACTGCAAGCTCCGCCTCCTGGGTTCACGCCATTCTCCTGCCTCAGCCTCCCGAGTAGCTGGGATTACAGGCGTCGGCCACCACGCCCAGCTAATTTTTTGTATTTTTAGTAGAGACGGGGTTTCACCGTGTTAGCCAGGATGGTCTCGATCTCCTGACCTGGTGATCCGCCCGCTTCGGCCTCCCAAAGTGCTGGGATTATAGGCTTGAGCCACTGCGCCCCGCCTGTTTTGTTCTTAAAATAGAAGTCATTCCATGTCATTAAATATTCCACAATATGTTGTTTAGGGTTGAGTATTATTCTAGTCCCCTTTTGATGGACATTTAGATTGCTTCCAGTTTGAGGTTATTATAAATAAGCTGTGACAGTTTTATAGCCAGGTATTTCTGTATATTTACTTTTTTTTTTTTTTTTTTTTGAGTCGTAGTCTTGCTCTGTCGCCCAGGCTGGAGTGCAATGGCGCGATCTCGGCTCACTGCAAGCTCTGCCTCCCGAGTTCACGCCATTCTCCTGCCTCAGCCTCCTGAGTAGCTGGGACTACAGGCGCCCACCACCACGCCCGTCTAATTTTGTTTTTGTATTTTTAGTAGAGACGGGGTTTCACCATGTTAGCCAGGATGGTCTTGATCTCCTGACCTCGTGACCTACCCGCCTTGGTCTCCCAAAGTGCTGGGATTACAGGCGTGAGCCACCGCACACGGTCTGTATATTTACTCTGTTAGGGGAAATTCCTAGATATCTAATTTCTACCAAATTTTCAATGGGTATAAAAGACACTTGAAAATGTAGTGCTTATTGTCATATTGTCCTCTGTTCCTCTGTGAAGATTTGGATATTTATGTTAACGACAGCACTATATGAGTGATTGATTCCCCAGAAACCAGGATTTTTATTTTTCACTTTTTTTTTTTTCTTGAGATGGAGTCTGGCTCTGCCGCCCAGGCTGTAGTGCAGTGGCGCGATCTCGGCTCACTGCAAGCTCCGCCTCCCGGGTTCACGCCATTCTCCTACCTCAGCCTCCCGAGTAGCTGGGACTACAGGCGGCCGCCACCACGCCTGGCTAATTTTTTGTATTTTGTAGTAGAGACGGGGTTTCACCGTGTTAGCCAGGATGGTCTCATCTCCTTATCTCGTGATCCGCCCGCCTCGGCCTCCCAAAGTGCTGGGATTACAGGTGTGAGCCACGGCGCCCAGCCTATTTTTCACTTAAAAAAAAATCATAATGACAGGCAAGAGAGATATCTCATCGTGCTTTCCAATTTGCACATGAAAAATGTGTGGAACCTGGGTCAAGCTCTGTGGTCTGGCCGGTCTCAGCTTCCTGGAGTTCTCTCCAGGTAGAGAAAATGGGGAAAGTACTCTTTTCAGAAAGAACAATGTTAAGTACACGTTTGGGAATTGAATATGAAGACCACTTTGGAAAAAATCTTGAAATTTGGGCATTATTTCTATCAGCTGTGCTCAACCAGAGGAAATTTTGCCGCCTCGGGACATTCAGCAATGTCTGGAGACATTTTTATTTGTTACAACTGTTGAGGGGAGGTGGTGCAGAAGGTCTGAAGAAGAGAATGGAGAGAAAGTGTGTGTAATACAGAAATAAATTGATGGAGAGATAATATGTCCTCAGATATCCTATCAACTGGACATACTCTACTAGACAATGATAGAAAACTGAAAAAATTAAGAATGATGAACTAATAAATCAGAGACTTTAAGAACTTTAACCTTCAGGAAATTACCTAATTAGAAACCACTTAAAAATTAGAAGGAAAAAAAAGGCTGTTACATGTTCAAA
Organism: Homo sapiens; assembly: GCF_000001405.40. Lineage (NCBI taxonomy): Eukaryota > Metazoa > Chordata > Mammalia > Primates > Hominidae > Homo > Homo sapiens. The sequence goes on along the minus strand of NC_000009.12, from coordinate 62,013,072 downwards.
TTTCTTTTTGTCAATAAATGTCCCAGTTACAATTTGGGCAGATTAAAAATCAGAACCTGGAAGAAAAGAAACCAAGAACAGGCTCTCCTGTGCATAAGGAATGAAGCTGAAGTGTGGCTTGGAAACAAGAAAAGATAGAAATCACAGAAGTATTTTGAAGGAAATATAAATAAGACAGATCTGGAGAATCTGTTAAAGAGCCAAGAGAGAAAAATACAGGTTTACATCCCAGTAATATGCTTCACTTTAAAGGCAATGGGATTACCAAGTAAGGATAGCATTATACTTTACTTTCAACAAAATACCTTTATTCTGTTTACACCATTTCTTTAAATGCTCTGGTTTTCATATAGAATATCCGAACACCTGGTGTGCCTGGGACTGAGGTTATACTCAGGGTGCAGGGCTATCGGCAGTAAGATCTGGACAGTGCCAGACAAGCTGGGAGTAAGCAAACTCGCTGTATCTTCGTGGGCTTCGATGCTTCACTTTCTTATATGCTAAGCATTTCTTATTTTCATTTTATTTTTTAATTTCTCATTGTGATTTTAAAAACACATACAGGCCAGGCGTGGTGGCTCACGCGGTAATCCCAGCACTTTGGGAGGCCGAGGTGGGCGGATCACCTGAGGTCGGGAGTTCGAGACCAGCCTGGCTAACACGGTGAAAAACCCCATCTCTACTAAAAACTACAAAAAATTAGCTGGGCCTGGTGGCGGGCACCTGTAGTCCCAGCTGCTCAGGAGGCTGAGGCAGGAGAATGGCGTGAACCCAGGAGGCAGAGCTTGCAGTGAGCCGAGATCACGCCACTGCACTCCAGCCCAGGCAACAGAGTGAGACTCTGTCTCAAAAAAATTAAAAAAAAATTAAAAATTAAAAAATACATATATATTTTAAAACACATAAGAAATTTACCATTTCAACCACTTTTTAAGTGCACAGTTCAGTAGCGTTCACTGTATGCACAGTGTTGTGTAACAAATCTCCAGAACTTTTTAATCTTGCAAACCTGAAACTAAACCAGTTAAACAACGTCTCCCCATTTCTCCATGTCCCCAGTCTCTGGCAATCACCATTGTAGTTTCTGTTTCTATGAGTTTGTCTATTTTTGAAACCTCCTATAAATGTAATCATACAATACTTGTCTTTTTGTGATTGGCTTATTTCACTTAGTACAATATCCTCAAGGTTCATTCATGTTGTAGCATGTGACAGAATTTTCTTCTTTGTTAAGGTCAAATAGTATTCCATTGTATGTATATTCCACATTTTCTTTATTCATCTTTTAATAGACATTTGGGTTGCTTCCAACTCTTGACTTTTGTGAATAATGCTGCAATTAACATGGGTATGCAGATAACTCTTTGACATAATTATTTTAGTTCTTTTGCATACATACCCAGAAGTGAGATTCCTGGATCATATAGTAGTTCTATTTTTAATTATTTGGGGAACCTCAGATCATTTTTCCATAGCAGCTGCACCATTTTTTCATTCCTACCAACAGTGTAAAAGGGTTCCAGTTTCTTCTCATCCTTCCAATATGTTTTGCTTGGTCTTTTTTTGTAGTGACCATCCTGATGGGTAGGCGATCGCTCATTGTAGTTTTAATTTGATTAAAGGCACTGAACATTTTTTTAATGTTTATACTTCTTCTTGGGAGGAATGTCTATTCAAGTTCTTGGCCCATTTTTTTAACAGATTGTCTTTTGTTGTTGACTTGTAGTGGTTCTCTATAGACAAGTATTCTGGATATTAACCCCTTTTAGATATAATTTGCAAATATTTTCTCTCATTTCACAGGTTGCTTTGTCACTGTTTCTTTGATGTGCAAAAATTTTTAAGTTTGATGTAGTCCTATTTGTCTACCTTTTTCTTTTGTTTCCTATTCTTTTGGTATCATATTCAAGAAATCATTACCAAATTCAGTGTCATGAAGCTTTTCTTACACTTTTCTCCTAGTCATTTTACAGTTGTAGGTCTCATGTCTAGGTCTTTAATCAATTTTAAGTTAATTTTTATATATGATGTAAGGTTAAGTTTCAACTTCATTCTTTTGCATGTGGATATCTAGTGTTTACAACACCAATTATTGAAGAGACTGTCCTTTCCCCATTGTTTTGTCTTGGTACCCTTGTTGAAGATCATGTATGTGAGAGTTTAATTCTGAACTTCCTGTTCTGTTTCATTGGTCTGTATATGTGTCTTTATGCCAGTGTTACACTGTCTTTAATTACTGTAGCTTCAAAATATTCTTAAAATCAAAAGTGTGAGCACTCTAACTTCATTCTTCTTTTTTAAGATTGTTTTGGCTATGCAGGGTCCCTTGAGATTCTATGTAAATTATAGAATGGTTTTATTCCATTTCTGCAAAAAAGTCATTTGCATTTTGTTAAGAATTGCATTGAATCAGTAAATCACTTTGGGTACATGGATATCTTAACACTAAGTCTTTCAATTCATGAGTACAGGATGTCTTTCTATTTATTTATGTCTCTTTAATTTCTTTCAGCAATGTCTTGTAGGTTTTTTGTGTTTTGCTGTGTTTTGTTTTGTTTTGTTGAGACAGGGTCTCACTCTGTTTGCCCAGGCTGGAGTGCAGTGGCATGATCTCGGCTCACTGCAGCCTCGACCTCCTGAGCTCAGGTGATTCTCCCACCTCAGCCTCCCAAGTAACTGGGACTACAGGCATGTGCCACCATGCCTGGCTATTTTTTGTATTTTTAGTAGAGAGGGGGTTTCGCCATGTTGCCCAACTTGGTCTTGAACTCCTGGACTCAAGCAATCCACCCACCTTGGCCTCCCAAAGTGCTGGGATTACAGGTGTGAGCCACTGCACCCAGCCTGTTTCGTAGTTTTCAGTGTGCAAGGTTTTCCCATCCTTGGTTAAGTTTATTCCAAAGTATCTTATTCTTCTTGTTACTATTGTTTATGCTTTTATAAGTTCCTGATGGGATTGTTTTCTTAAATGCGTTTTTGGATTACTGACTGTTAGTGTATAAATATGCAATTACTTTTTGTTCACTTTGGATTATAAAATTTTGTTGAATTTATTAGTTCTAACAGTTTTTAGTGCTTTCTACAATAAGATTATGTCATCTGTAAACAGAGATCATTTTACTTCTTGCTTTCCATTTTGGATAGCTGTTATTTCTTTCTCATATCTAATTTCCCAGGCTAAGACTGTCACTACTATGTTGAATAGAAGTGGTCAGTATGGGCCAGGCGTGGTGGTTCACGCCTGTAATCCCAGCACTTTGGGAGGCCAAGGCAGGCGGATCACGAGGTCAGGAGATCGAGACCATCCTGGTTAACACGGTGAAACCCCGTCTCTACTAAAAAAATACAAAAAAAAAAAAAAATTAGCCGGGCATGGTGGCGAGCGCCTGTAGTCCCAGCTACTCAGGAGGCTGAGGCAGAAGAATGGCTGAACCCAGGAGGCGGAGCTTGCAGTGAGCCGAGATCGTGCCCCTGCACCCCAGCCTGGGGAACAGAGCGAGACTCCGTCTCAAAAAAAAAAAAAAAAGAAGTGGTCAGTATGGACATTCTTGCCTTGTTCTTTTTCTTTTTTTTTTATTATTATTATACTTTTAAGTTCTAGAGTACATGTGCACAATGTGCAAATTTGATACATATGTATACATGTGCCATGTTGGTGTGCTGCACCCATTAACTCATCATTTACATCAGGTATATCTCCTAATGCTATCCCTCCCCCCACCCAACAACAGGCCCCAGTGTGTGATGTTCCCCTTCCTGTGTCCAAGTGTTCTGATTGTTCAATTCCCACCTATGAGTGAGAACATGCAGTGTTTGGTTTTTTATCCTTGCGATAGTTTGCTCAGAATGATGGTTTCCAGCTTCATCCATGTCCCTACAAAGGACATGAACTCATCCTTTTTTATGGCTGCATAGTATTCCATGGTGTATATGTGCCACATTTTCTTAATCCAGTCTATCATTGATTGACATTTTGGTTGGTTCCAAGTCTTTGCCATTGTGAATAGTGCTGCAATAAACATACATGTGCATGTGTCTTTATAGGAGTGTGATTTATAATCCTTTGGGTATATACCCAGTAATGGGATGGCTGGGTCAAATGGTATTTCTAGTTATAGATCCTTGAGGAATTGCCACACTGTCTTCCACAATGGTTGATCTAGTTTACAGTCCCACCAACAGTGTAAAAGCATTCCTATTTCTCCACATCCTCTCAAGCACCTGTTGTTTCCTGACTTTTTAATGATCGCCATTGTAACTGGTGTGCGATGGTATCTCATTGTGGTTTTGATTTGCATTTCTCTGATGGCCAGTGATGATGAGCATTTTTTCATGTGTCTGTTGGCTGCATAAATGTCTTCTTTTGAGAAGTGTCTGTTCATATCCTTTGCCCACTTTTTGATGGGGTTGTTTGTTTTTTTCTTGTAAATTTGTTTGAGTTCTTTGTAGATTCTGGATATTAGCCCTTTGTCAGATGAGTAGATTGCAAAAATTTTCTCCCATTCTGTAGGTTGCCTGTTCACTCTGATGGTAGTTTCTTTTGCTGTGCCCAAGCTCTTTAGTTTAATTAGATCCTATTTGTCAATTTTGGCTTTTGTTGCCATTGCTTTTGGTGTTTTAGACATGAAGTCCTTGACCATGCCTATGTCCTGAATGGTATTGCCTAGGTTTTCTTCTAGGGTTTTTATGTTTTTAGGTCCAACATTTAAGTCTTTAATCCATCTTGAATTAATTTTTGTATAAGGTGTAAGGAAGGGACACAGTTTCAGCTTTCTACATATGGCTAGCCAGTTTTCCCAGCACCATTTGTTAAATAGGGAATCCTTTCCCCATTTCTTGTTTTTGTCAGGTTTGTCAAAGATCAGATGGTTGTAGATGTGTGGTATTATTTCTGAGGGCTCTGTTCTGTTCCATTGGTCTGTATCTCTGTTTTGGTAACAGTACCATGCTGTTTTGGTTACTATAGCCTTGTAGTATAGTTTGAAGTCAGGTAGCGTGATGCCTCCAGCTTTGTTCTTTTGGCTTAGGATTGTCTTGGCAATGTGGGCCCTTTTTTGGTTCCTATGAACTTTAAAGTAGTTTTTTCGAATTCTGTGAAGAAAGTCATTGGTAGCTTGATGGGGATGACATTGAATCTATAAATTACCTTGGGCAGTATGGCCATTTTCATGATATTGATTCTTCCTATCCATGAGCATGGAATGTTCTTCCATTTGTTTGTGTCCTCTTTTATTTCGTTGAGCAGTGGTTTGTAATTCTCCTTGAAGAGGTCCTTCACATCCCTTGTAAGTTGGATTCCTAGTATTTTATTCTCTTTGGAAGCAATTGTGAATGGGTGTTCACTCATGATTTGGCTCTCTGTTTGTCTGTTATTGGTGTGTAAGAATGCTTGTGATTTTTGCTCATTGATTTTGTATCCTGAGACTTTGCTGAAGTTGCTTATCAGCTTAAGGAGATTTTTGGCTGAGATGATGGGGTTTTATAAATATACAATCATGTCATCTGCAAACAGGGACAATTTGACTTCCTCTTTTCCTAATTGGATACCCTTTATTTCTTTCTCCTGCCTTATTGCCCTGGCCAGAACTTCCAGCACTGTGTTGAATAGGAGCAGTGAGAGAGGGCATCCCTGTCTTGTGCCAGTTTTCAAAGGGAATGCTTCCAGTTTTTGCCCATTCAGTATGATATTGGCTGTGGGTTTGTCATAGATAGCTCTTACTATTTTGAGATACATCCCATCAATACCTAATTTATTGAGAGTTTTTAGCATGAAGGGCTGTTGAATTTTGTCGAAGGCCGTTTCTGCATCTATTGAGATAATCATGTGGTTTTTTGTCTTTGGTTCTGTTTATATGCTGGATTACGTTTATTAATTTGTGTATGTTGAACTAGCCTTGCATCCCAGGGATGAAGCCCACTTGATCATGGTGGATAAGCTTTTTGATGCGCTGCTGGGTTCAGTTTGCCAGTATTTTATTGAAGATTTTTGCATCAATGTTCATCAGGGATATTGGTCTAAAATGCTCTTTTTTGTTGTTGTTGTGTCTCTGCCAGGCTTTGGTATCAGGATGATACTGGCCCCATAAAATGAGTTAGGAAGGATTCCCTCTTTTTCTGTTGATTGGAATAGTTTCAGAAGGAATGGTACCAGCTCCTCCTTGTACCTCTGGTAGAATTCGGCTGTGAATCCATCTGGTCCTGGACATCTTTTGGTTGGTAGGCTATTAATTATTGCCTCAATTTCAGAGCCTGTTATTGGTCTATTCAGGGATTCAACTTCTTCCTGGTTTAGTCTTGGGAGGGTGTATGTGTCCAGGAATTTATCCATTTCTTCTAGATTTTCTAGTTTATTTGCATAGAGGTGTTTATAGTATTCTCTGATGGTAGTTTGTATTTCTGTGGGATCAGTGGTGATATCCCCTTTATCATTTTTTATTGCATCTAATTCTTCTCTCTTTTCTTCTTTATTAGTCTTGCTAGCAGTCTATCAATTTTGTGGATCATTTCGAAAAACCAGCTCCTGGATTCATTGATTTTTGAAGGGTTTTTTGTGTCTCTATTTCCTTCAGTTCTGCTCTGATCTTAGTTATTTCTTGCCTTCTGCTAGCTTTTGAATGTGTTTGCTCTTGCTTCTGTAGTTCTTTTAATTGTGGTGTTAGGGTGTCAATTTTAGATCTTTTCTGTTTTCTCTTATGAGCATTTAGTGCTATACATTTCCCTCTCCACACTGCTTTAAATGTGTCCCAGAGATTCTGGTATGTTGTGTCTTTGTTCTCGCTGGTTTCAAAGAACATGTTTATTTCTGCCTTCATTTCATTATGTAGCCAGTAGTCATTCAGGAGCAGGTTCTTCAGTTTCCATGTAGTTGAGTGGTTTTGATTGAGTTTCTTAATCCTGAGTTCTAGTTTGATTACACTGTGGTCTGAGAGACAGTTTGTTATAATTTCTGTTCTTTTACATTTGCTGAGGAGTGCTTTACTTCCAACTATGTGGTCAGTTTTGGAATAAGTGTGATGTGGTGCTGAGAAGAATGTATATTCTGTTGATTTGGGGTGGAGAGTTCTGTAGATGTCTATTAAGTCTGCTTGGTGCAGAGCTGCATTCAGTTCCTGGATATCCTTGTTAACTTTTTGTCTCATTGATCTGTCTAATGTTGACAGTGGGGTATTAATGTCTGCCATTATTATTGCATGGGAGTCTAAGTCTCTTTGTAGGTCTCTAAGGACTTGCTTTATGAATCTGGGTGTTCTTTTATTGGGTGCATATATATTTAGGATAGTTAGCTCTTCTTGTTGAATTGATCCCTTTACCATTATGTAATGGCCTTCTTTGTCTCTTCTGATTTTTGTTGGTTTAAAGTCTGTTTTATCAGAGACTAAGATCACAATCCCTGCCTTTTTCTGTTTTCCATTTTCTTGGTAGATCTTCCTCCATCCCTTTATTTTGAGCCTATGTGTGTCTCTGCACGTGAGATGGGTCTCCTGAATACAGCACACTGATGGGTCTTGACTCTTTATCCAATTTGCCAGTCTGTGTCTTTTAATTGGAGCGTTTAGCCCATTTACATTTAACGTTAATATTGTTATGTGTGAATTTGATCCTGTCATTATGATGTTAGCTGGTTAGTTTGCTCATTAGTTGATGCAGTTTCTTCCTAGCATCGATGGCCTTTACAATCTGGCATATTTTTGCAGTGACTTGTACCGGTTTTTCCTTTCCATGTTTAGTGCTTCTTTCAAGAGCTCTTGTAGGGCAGGCCTGGTAGTGACAAAAATCTCTCCGAATTTGCTGGTCTGTAAAGGATTTTATTTCTCCTTCTCTTATGAAGCTTAGTTTGGCTGGATATGAAACTCTGGGTTGAAAATTCTTTTCTTTAAGAATGTTGAATATTGGCCCCCACTCTCTTCTGGCTTGTAGAGTTTCTGCCGAGAGATCCTCTGTTAGTTTGATGGGCTTCCCTTTGTGGGTAACCTGACCTTTCTCTCTGGCTGCCCTTGACATTTTTTCCTTCATTTCAACTTTGATGAATCTGACAGTTATGTGTCTTGGAGTTGCTCTTCTCAAGGAGTATCTTTGTGGCATTCTCTGTATTTCCTGAATTTGAATGTTGGCCTGCCTTGCTAGCTTGGGAAAGTTCTCCTGGATAATATCCTGCCAAGTGTTTTCCAACTTGGTTCCATTTCTCCCCGTCACTTTCAGGTACACCAATCAGACGTAGATTTGGTCTTTTCACATAGTCCCATATTTCTTGGAGGCTTTGTTCGTTTCTTTTTACTCTTTTTTCTCTAAACTTCTCTTCTCACTTCATTTCATTCATCTGATCTTCAACCACTGATCGAATCGGCTACTGAAGCTTGTGTGTTCGTCACGTAGTTCTTGTGCCACGGTTTTCAGTCCATCAGGTCCTTTGAGGTCTTCTCTACACTGGTTATTCTAGTCAGCCATTCGTCTAATCTTTTTTCAAGGTTTTTAGCTTCTTTGCGATGGGTTCAAACTTCCTCCTTTAGCTTGGAGAAGTTTGATCATCTGAAGCTTTCTTCTCTTGTCAAAGTCATTGTCTGTCCAGCTTTGTTCCATTGCTGGAGAGGAGCTGCATTCCTTTGGAAGGGGAGAGGCACTCTGATTTTTAGAATTTTCAGCTTTTCTGCCCTGTTTTTTCCCCATCTTTGTGGTTTTATCTACCTTTGGTCTTTGATGATGGTGACGTACAGATGGGGTTTTGGTGTGGATGTCCTTTCTGTTTGTTAGTTTTCCTTCTAACAGGCAGGACCCTCAGCTGCAGGTCTGTTGGAGTTTGCTGGAGGTCCACTCCAGCCCCTGTTTGCCTGGGTATCAGCAGCGGAGGCTGCAGAACAGTGAATATTGCTGAACAGCAAATCTTGCTGCCTGATCGCTCTTCTGGAAGCTTCATCTCAGTGTGGTACCTGGCCGTGTAAGGTGTCAGTCTGCCCCTACTGGATGGTGCCTCCCAGTTAGGCTACTCAGGGGTCAGGGACCCACTTGAGGAGGCAGTCTGTCTGTTCTCAGATCTCAAACTCCATGCTGGGAGAACCACTACTCTCCTCAAAGCTGTCAGACAGGGACATTTAAGTCTGCAGAGGTTTCTGCTGCCTTTTGTTCAGCTATGCCCTGTCCCCAGAGGTGGAGTCTACAGAGGCAGGCAGGCCTCCTTGAGCTGTGGTGGGCTCCACCCAGTTCGAGCTTCCAGGCCACTTTGTTTACCTACTCAAGCCTCAGCAATGGCAGGTGCCCCTTCCCCAGCCTCACTGCCGCCTTGCAGTTCAATCTCAGACTGCTGTGCTAGCAATAAGTGAGGCTCCGTGGGCATGGGACCCTCCGAGCCAGGCACGGGATATAATCTCCTGGTGTACTGTTTGCTAAGACCATTGGAAAAGTGCAGTATTAGGGTGGGAGTGACCCAATTTTCCAGGTGCCTTCTGTCACTGCTTCCCTTGGCTAGGAAAGGGAATTCCCTGACCCCTTGTGCTTCCCAGGTGAGGCGACGCCTTGCCCTGCTTCAGCTCATGCTCAGTGGGCTGCACCCACTGTCCTGCCCCCACTATCTGACAAGCCCCAGTGAGATGAAGCCAGTACCTCAGTTGGAAATGCAGAAATCACCCATCTTCTCCATCACTTATGCTGGGAGCTTAGACTGGAGCTGTTCCTATTCGGCCATCTTGGAACCGCCCCGCCTTGTTCTTGATCTTAGGGAAAGTTTTCAGGTTTTCATCATTGAGTATGGTGTTAGCCCTGTATGTGTGCACACATATTATATTTATATAACATTTATGTGTATATCTATACATATACATACATACTTATTCAAACCCACACATAACATTTATTATGTTGAGGTAATTTTTTTCTACTCTTCGTTTCTTAATTTTGTCATGAAAGGGTGTTCAATTTTGTCACATGCTTTTTCTGAATCAATTAAGATGATTGTGTGCTTTTTGTCTTTTATTCTGTTAATGCAATGTATTACACTGATTTTCATATATTGAACTATCCTTGCATTAGGAGGAATAAAACCTGGTCACAATATATAGTTCTTTGAATGTACTGTTAAATTCAGTTTGCAAATATTTTGTTGAGGATTTTTCATTAATATTCATCAGGTGTAATAATCTATAGTTTTCTTGTATCTTTGTCTAGGTTTGGTATCAGGGTAATGTTGCCCTTATAAAATAAGTTTAGAAGTGTTTTCTCTCTGCGATTTTTTTGGAAGAGTTTAAGGATAATTATTAATTTTTCTTTAAATGTTTGGTAGATTCTCCAGTGAAATCATTTGGGTCTGGTCCATTTTTTGTTGGGAGATTTTTGAATACTGATTTATTCTCCTTACTAGTTACACATCTGTTCAGATTTCTTTATTTCTTCATGATTCCATCTTGGTAGGTTGTATCTTACCACGAATTCACCCATTTCTTCTAGTTTGCCTAACTCGTTGGCTTATAATTGTTCTTAGTAGTCCCTTATAATCCTTTCTATTTCTGTGGCATCAGTTATAATATCTGATAAAAAATGAATGAGGCATTCATTTCTGATTTTAGTTATTTGAGTATTCTCTCTTTTTCTTAATCTAGCTAAAGGATTTTCAATTTTGTTGTTATTTTTTAAATCTAACTTTTATAAAAGTTATTCTTTATTCCATTTATTCTTACTCTAATCTTTATATTCTTCCTTCTGCTAACTTTGGATTTAGTTTGTTCTCTTTTACTGGTTCCTTTGTGTATAAAATTAACTTGTTGATTTGAGACCTTTCTTTTCTTTTTTTTGAGACGGAGTCTCACTCTGTTGCCCAGGCTGGAGTGCAGTGGTGCCATCTCAGCTCACTGCAAGCTCTGCCTCCCGGGTTCACACCATACTCCTGCCTCAGCCTCCTGTAGCTGGAACTCCAGGCACCTGCCACCATGCCAGGCTAATATTTTGTGTTTTTAGTAGAGACGGGGTTTCGTCGTGTTAGCCAGGATGGTCTCAATCTCCTGAACTTGTGATCCGCCCACCTCAGCCTCCCAAAGTGCTGGGATTACAGGCATGAGACACCGCGCCCTGCCGAGAGGCCTTTCTTTTTTTTATGGCATATTCCACTATAAAATTCTCTCTTAGTATTGCTTTTGCTGCTTCTGTAAGTTTTAGTGTGTTGTATTTTTGTTTCTTTTTTACAAATTATTTTGCAATTTTCCTTGTGATTCCTTCTTTGATTCATTGGTTATTTAAGAGTGTGTTGATTAAATTCTGCATATTCATGAATTTTCCAGTTTTTCTTCTGCTATTGATTTCTAGTTTCATTCTATTGTACTGGGAAAAATACTTGATATTATTTCAATCTGCTTAAAACTGTTAAGACTTGTTTAGTGGTCTAGTATGTGGTCTTTCTCGCAGAATGTTCCAACTGTGCTTGAGAAGAATGTGTATTCTGCCACTGTTGGGTGAAATGTTGTATGGATGTGTATTTGGTCCATTTGGTCTATGATGTTATTCATGTCCTCTGTCCCATTATTGATCTTCTGCTGGCTGTTCTACCCATTATTGAAAGTGGAGTATTGAATCCTACTATTATTGTATGCTGTTTATTTCTCCCTTGAATCCTGTCAATGTCTGCTTCCCATATTTGAGAACACTGACGTTAGGTGTGTATATATTTATAATTATTATATTTTCCTGGTAAATGGACCAGGTTATTATATATTGTTCTTTGTACCTTGTGATATTTTTTACTTAATGACTATTTTTTTTTCTGGTATAGATGTAGCCACCTATACTCTGTTTTTGTATACTCTCTTTTTGTTACAATTTGCAGGGAGTATCTTTTCTATTCTTTTACTTTCACCTTATATGTCTCCTTAGATTTAAAGTGAGTCTCTTGTACACAGCATATAGTAGAATTTTTTAATCCATTCAGCCAACCTGTCTTTTTATTGGGGAAACTAGTCTATTTACATGAAAGATATTACTAATATGGAAGAACTGCTATTGACATTTTATTCATTGTGTTTTTGTATGCCTTGTAGCTATTTTGTACCTCTTTTTCTCTGGCATCCTTCCTTTTTGTTTCATTGATTTTCTTTTTGGTAGTATATGCCTTGATTTCTTTTTCATTTTCTTTTGTGTATTTTCATTAGCTATTTTCTTTGTGGTTACTGAAAGGATCACATTTTCTTTTGTGTACATTCACAAGCTGTTCTCTTTGTGGTTACCATGGGGATCACATAAAACATCTTAAAGTTTCAACAATATATTTTAAACTGGTAACAACTTCAATCACATGCAAAAACTCTACTTCTTTACGTCTTGCCTCCCACTTTATGTTTCTGATATTCCAAATTCTCTCTTGAGCATACTGTGCTGTGCACACTAGTTGAAGGGGGTATCACAAGTAAATATAATACACTTTCTTATCCACTTCAATACAGCTCTTCTTGGCTTTGGATTTACCTGGGGTGCTGCAACATAAGTTGTTTCTGGAGTTCCAAAAAAGGTAATTTGTTCCATATATTGTTGTTAAGTTGCTGTCTCTATTGGGGAACAAGGCCTAGGGCTCCCTATTCCACCATTTTGGTGACAACACTATTATCATAGTTTTAACTGAAGACACTAATTGTCTTCCTGACCAAGCCAAGAATTGTTTCAAAATTTCTTTTCCATCTTTTGAAGGGTGATTTCACAATTAATCATTAAAATGTGTCTTAAATATCTATCTTTAGTCTTGATGCTTAATTTAAGAACCTATTTTTGTTTCTCTTTTATCATTTAATTCCATGAAGAAACAGGTAAAAGTTAAACAAAAGACTAGATAATACTATACACTTTCCCTTCTCAGTCATTTCTTGGATGAGACAAATCAAAGTTAGGCAAGTAGTCTAGGAAATTAATAGTACAATGTTATCTGTGCCTCCAAATTAAGCCCTTTTTATCTCCAAACTGGATTCTGGCAGGCCATAGTCAAGGGCCTATTTATTTCTTTTTCCCTGAATTTTTTGTTCAGATGCTGTAATTTAAAAGACTCATGTTCTTACAGATTCAAGAATAGCCAAGTATTTTACTTGAAAATATCTGTCAGGCCAACATTTTATTTGGGAGCAGGAGTGAAAACTTCTGATCATGATTCTGTGACATGTAGATATCATGTAGTATAATTTAATTGTATCTTTCTGAGATTTTGTACTTACAAGTTTCATAGAAATCCATTTACAAATGAAAGGTTTTAAATTTGGAAACTTTTATTGGTTACCACTTTGAGACAATTAAACAAACTAAAGAACCATGGAAACATGAAGTCTACGCACTAAACTAGTCAGTGGCCTACTAACTAAAAATGAAATTAAATTTTCTGGCAGCAGCAAATGGATTAAAATGAAAAAAGAAAAGCCTGGAACCTGATGATAGCTTTACTGCTGAATTTTGCCAGACATTTAAAGAAGAACTAATACCAATCCTACTCAAACTATTCCAAAAAATTGAAGAGGAGGGAATACTTCCAAACACATTCTACAAGGCCAGTATTACCTTTATGCCAAAGCCAGACAAACACACAACAGAAAAAGAAAACTACAGGCCAATATCTCTGATTAATGTTGATGCAAAAATCCTCAACAAAATACTAGTAAATCAAATTCAACAACGAATTTAAAAAATCATTTAATATGACCAAATGAAATTTATTCCAGGAATGTAAGGATGGTTCACCATATGCAAATCAATCAGTGTGATACAACATATCAACAGAATGATACATCATATCAACAAAAACCATATGATAATTTCAAATAATTCTGAAAAAAATTCAATAAAAATCTACACCCTTCATGATAAAAAAAACTCCCAAAAAGATTGGTAAGGAAGGAATGTATGTAAACATAATAAAGCCATATACAACAGTCTTACAGCTAGTAACATTCTGAATGGGAAAAAACTGAAAGCTTTTCCTCTAAGATCTAGAAGAACATAAGGATGCCCACTTTCACTTCTATTATTCATCATAGCACTGGAAGTCCTAGACAGAACAATTAGACAAGAGAAAGAAATAAATGGCATCCAGATTGGGACAGGAAAAGTCAAATTATTCTTGTTCACAGATGATATAATCTTATAATTTAGAAAAACCTAAGGACTCCACCAAAAAATTATTAGAGCTGATTGACAAATTCAGCAAAGTTGCAGGATACAAAATCAGTATACAAAAAACAGTAGCATTTCTATATGCCAACAGCAAACAATCTGAAAAAGAAATCAAGAATGTAACCCAATTTATAATTGCTACAAATAAAATACATAGAAATAAACTTAACCAAAGAAGTAAAAGATCTCTATAATAAAAACTGTAAAATACTGATGAAGGAAATTGAGGAGTACACAAAGAAATGGAAAGATATTTTATGTTTATGGGTTGGAAGAATCAATATTGTTACATCCATACTGCCCATATGGTAAGACTGTTGTATATGGCTTTATTATTATGTTGTCTATGTTTCCATTATATCTTTTAATTAAGATTTTAGGCCCGGCGTGGTGGCTCACGCCTGTAATCTCAGCACTTTGGGAGGCTGAGGCAGGCAGATCATGAGGTCAGGAGTTTGAGACCAGCCTGGCCAACATGGTGAAACCCTGTCTCTACTAAAAATACAAAAATTAGCAGGGCGTGCTGGCGAGCACCTGTAATACCAGCTACTCGGGAGGCTGAGGCAGGGAGAATCACTTCAACCCGGGAGGCAGAGGTTGCAGTGAGCCTTGATTGCACCACTGCACTGCAGCCTGGGGTACACAGCGAGACTCTGTTGCTTGACCGATAAAGGTACACGCTACAAACACATGGAGAAAAACGTGCAGAGCTATTCGTGCAAGAAATTAGTGGCCATTTAAATTCCTCACTTACCAACAAAATAATAGATTCCTTCATCCTAAAGAGTGCAAGTGTATTTTAGGTCCATGCCATAAATATTTAAAACTATCTCATCTTACTGAAAATTTATATAACACATGACCTTTGCAAAATTGCAACCTTTATTCTTCAAGCAAAACTTGGTTTCTGCTGGTCACCACAATGTGCTTCTTTTGGACACCATGTATAACTGAGATTGAATTGTAACTGTTAGCAGTGGAGAAAGCCTGCGGCAAATCAACTCAATTGAATTTTGTGTTCATGGATGCTTTGAGTTTTACGGAGTCTTATATTCCATTTTCAAGTGCATCATTCAGGACACAGGCCCATTTTCCATATCCCAGATCACCCAACCAGTCCAGGGCTATTTCAGAAACTTTCCTGAGCATATAATATAGACCAACGCTAGGTTGTAAACTAAGTATAAAATTCTAAGCCCCCCCAACCAACTGAACAGAAACTTCTTGGCCAAGAGGACCCCAGAGAAAACTGAAAAGCTGTTTCTGGCCCTGAAAGAAAGGGAGGTCAGACACACCTCATCATACCTCCTCTGTTTTGGAGTTTGGACTCAACAAGTAACCAGCAGCGGTGTTAAAATAGAGATCCTAAGACTGACAGAACAGACCCCGTGTGGCCATAAGATAACAAATTATGAACAAGCCCTAAGGCCATGCAAGGCAGGTGTAAGTCAGGCCTGCAGGCCATCAGGCTTGCTAACCAGGGCATTTTATTGTGGCTGACTCTGACAGAGCATTCTTACCTTCCTTTCTGTCAACTCTAAGCTGTAGACAGGGCCTTACTCCTTTAACCAATCACAAACCAGAGAATCCCCAAGTCCACCTACAACCTATAAGACCTCTCCTGAAGATAATCCCCCTTTTTGAACCGAACCAGTGTATACCTTCCATGTGTTGATGTTTTTGCCTGTAACTCCTGCCTCCCTGAAATGTATAAAACCAAACCAACCCGGCCACCTCGGAACCACTTACTCAAGCCTTCTTGGTTGCGTGTTTTCTCCAGGCCTCAGTCACTCATATTGGTTCAGAATAAACCTCTTTAAAATATATTACAGTTTGTTTTATCCATTAACAAAGTCAAGCAATTAGTTCTTAGATCTGAAAATATAACTATTACTGCACTAAAATAGATTAATGAAAGAAGATATACTAGATACAGGAATATGAATAGCACAAAATGTGGCACATTTGTGGAACACAGAAAAGGGATTCTATGAGTTAGCCAGTTAAAATAACTAAGGCCATGGCCATTTCACATCCCAGGTCCAGAATTTGAAAGATCAAAGTATCTCCATAAAAAAATATATATTTTCCCCTTCGTGCTTGAAAATGCAATAGGCAATGTTATAGTAAAGTCAGGAAACATGAGTCTGTCTTATTTCGTTTCGGACCCTGAGTTGGCTGTTTCACATCTTTCCACAAATTCACAGGCGTGACTTTAACTATCACTCATACCCTGTACTTTTTTTTTTTTTTGAGACGGAGTCTTGCTTTGTTGCCAGGCTGGAGTGCAGTGGCAATCTTGACTCACTGCAACCTCCAACTTCCCAGATTCCAGCGATTCTCCTGCCTCAGTCTCGCAAGTAGCTGGGATTACAGGTGCATGCCACCATGCCCAGCTAATTTTTGTATTTTTAATAGAGACAGGCTTTCAGCGTACTGGCCAGGATGGTCTCGATCTCCTGACCTCGTGATCTGCCCACCTCAGCCTCCCAAAGTGCTGGAAATAAAGGAATGAGCCACTGCAACTGGCCGCCCTATTTACTTTTAAATATATATTTCCAGTCCAGACTTTTCTTCCACGCCCATACTTGAATATTCATGCATCTTCTGAATTGTTTCCACTTGGATTTTTCTCAGACACCTAAAATTCAGCCTGTCATCAATTCTATCCATCATTCTTCCAAATCCTCTTCCTGCCCCTGAGCTCCGCCTCCAAATGCCTAGCAGCATCATTCCCTCCTGACACTTCCTTCTTACCACCCCCCACCTATGCCCTCCTGCCACAATTAAGCCTCCTACACCAGATGAGCTCTTTTCCTTTAGTGACACCACTAGCTTCCAGGGTCTGGTCAGCTGTCCGGCAGGATGCAGCATAACCCGGACTGGCCCAGCATGAAATTCGGGTGTGGTGTTTTGTGCAGCAACACTCACAGGAGACGCTGTCCTCTGCCCGTCACAGCAGGGGACATGTCAGCTGTCCCTCCCAGGTGATGCTACATCCAGTCATGGGGGAAGGACTGTCGCCAGCTGCTCCTGCGTAAGTCCCCCTCCCCTTTGTAACTGGTGGTCCTAGGAGCGTGAATATCCTGTTCCCCAACAGCCCTTAACTCAATGGCTTTGGCACCCGAGTTAGTTGCCTGTGGCTGCTGTAACAGATTACCACAAACAACACAGGTGTGTTCTCTCCCATCTCTGTAGACCGGAAGTCTAAAATGGGTCACACCGGGCCGAGATCGGTGTCGGCAGGGCTGCATTCCTTCTACCAGTGTTCCTGGGTACATGTGTGGCCCTTTCCTCCGTTTCCAAACCCCATCCCTCCAAGCTCCGCGTCCATCACTGCATCCCCTCCTCAGGCTCTGACCCTCCTGCCTCCCTCTTAAAAGGACCCTGAAGATCACCAGGGCCCACCTGGATAATCCAGGGTGGCCTCCCCATCTCCAGGTCCCTCACTTAGCCACATTTGCAAAGCCCCTCTTGCCATACAAGGGGACCTGTGATTACAGGTTCTGGGGCTTAGGATAGGCACTTGCCTTGGGGATGCTATTCAGCCGACTTCAACATCCGCTGCTGATCTTCACCTGAATGGGTTCATTCCAGGGGGAGTGCACAAATGGGGACTTTCAAACCCATCGCCTCTCCCACGTTGGCTGGATTGTTCTAGGAGGAAGTGCTCCCTCCTTCTAGGGCCGCCATGGACTATACTGTTCATCCAATGCTCTTCATCCTGTCTCAAATTTGGCCACCAGAGCCCCTTCCACCTGGCCTTTTTGGCCTGTTGAGGCATCCCCGTCTGTCCTCAAGTGCATCCGCCCTCCTGGCGCGACGCGATCCATACTCTGGCTCATCCTGTGCCCACCTCCACCCAGATCTGGACTTAGGCCCCATTGTGCCACACAGCTTCGGAAACCACCCGTGTGCCTGTGTGCTTGGGTAGCACCAGTGTTAGCTCCTTTCAGTGGTTAGAGACAGAAAATGGATTTTTTTTGAATTATGAGTTATTGCTGCCGCTTCCGGTCCAAGCACAAGCCCCCAGGAACCCTCTTTGTTTCCCGTTCCACATCCCTATCTCCCGCCTCCCAGCGAGAGAAAGAGTCCTGGTTCCGAGGAGGACCACCAAGCTGCTGGGGGTGACCAGCCCTTAATCCACAGACAGTGGTTTCAGACGACCACAGCAGCGCTGCTGCTGCGACAAAACCAGCCTGCGACGCGGAGCTGCGGGTCCCCACAGCCAGAGGCCCCTTCGAAAGCCACTTCCATTCTTGTTTCCATCTGGTGTTGCTGTCAATTGTTTTAGGTTCATTGATTTCTGTTTGAATTCAATGTTCAATTTTTTTGTGCTTGTCAATTTAATTCTATTTCTGAACGTGTAAACATTTACGTGTTTCAAAAGTCAACACATATGTAAAGGATTCTCTGACTTCTCACTCCACCCAGTCCTCCCACCTGGTGGTTATTTATGTGTGTGTGTAGTTTCTGTATGTAGTTTACATGTGTGTGTAGCTCGTGTGTATGGTTTATATTGTGTGTACAGTTTGTGTGTGTGGTTTATGTGCATGTGTATACTTTGCATATATAGTTTATATGTGTGTAGTCTGTGTGTTTAGTTTATGTGTGTATAGTTTGCATGTGTAGTTTATATGTGTGTAGTTTATGTGTGTATACTTTGTGTGTGTGGTTTATATGTGTGTGTGTAGTTTGTGTGTGTATGATTTATATGAATGGGTAGTTTGTGTGTGAAGTTTATGTGTGTATAGTTTGTGTGTGTGGTTTATATGGGTGTGTATAGTTTGCATAGTTTGTATGTGTGTGTATAGTTTCTGTGTGCAGTTTATGTGTGTGTAGTTTGTGTGTGTGTTTTATATGTGTGTGTAGTTTGTGTGTGTATCATTTATATGAATGTGTAGTTTCTGAAGTTTATGTACGTGTAGTTTGTGTGTGTGGTTTATATGTGTGTGTAGAGTTTGTGTGTGTAGTTTGTGTGTGTGGTTTATATGTGTGTGTAGAGTTTGTGTGTGTAGTTTGTGTGTGATTTATGTGTGTGTAGTTTGTGTGTGTGGTTTATATGTGTGTGTAGAGTTTGTGTGTGTAGTTTGTGTGTGATTTATGTGTGTGTAGTTTATGTATGTGTAGTTTGTGTGTGTGGTTTATATGTGTGTGTATAGTTTCTGTGTGTAGTTTATGTATGTGTAGTTTGTGTGTGTGGTTTAAATGTGTATCATTTCTGTGTGTAGTTTACATGTGTGTGCTTTGTGTGTGGGGTTTATATGTGTGTGTATAGTTTGCATGTGTAGTTTATGTGTGTGTACTTTGTGTGTGTGATTTATATGTGTGTGTATAGTTTGTGTGTGCAGTTTACATGTGTGTACTTTGTGTGTGTGGTTTATATGTGTGTATAGTTTGTGTGTGTAGTTTATGAAAGTGTACTTTGTGTGTGTGGTTTATATGTGCGTGTAGTTTGTGTGTGTAGTTTATGTGTTTGTGTATAGTTTGTGTATGTGGTTTATATGTGTGTGTGTGGTTCGTGTGTACTTTGTGTGTGTGGTTTATTTGTGTGTGTATAGTTTGTGTGTGCAGTTTACATGTGTATACTTTGTGTGTGATTTATATGTGTGCGTATAGTTTGTGTGTGCAGTTTACATGTGTGTACTTTGTGTGGTTTATATGTGTGTATAGTTTGTGTGTGTAGTTTATGAATGTGTACTTTGCGTGGTTTATATGTGCATGTAGTTTGTGTGCGTAGTTTATGTGTTTGTGTATAGTTTGTGTATGTGGTTTGTATGTGTGTGTGGTTTGTGTGTAGTTTATGTGTGTGCACTTTGTGTGTGTATAGTTTGTGTGTGCAGTTTACATGTGTGTACTTTGCGTGTGTGGTTTATATGTGTATGTAGTTTGTGTGTGTAGTTTATGTGTTTGTGTATAGTTTGTGTATGTGGTTTATATGTGTGTGTGTAGTTTGTGTATAGTTTATGTGTGTGTACTTTGTGTGTGTGGTTTATATGTATGTGTATGGTTTGTGTGTGTACTTTGTGTGTGTGGTTTATATGTATGTGTATGGTTTGTGTGTGTACTTTGTGTGTGTGGTTTATATGTGTGTGTGGTTTGTGTGTATAGTTTGGGTGTACTTTGTGTGTGTTTTTATATGTGTGAACAGTTTGTGTGTGTAGTTTATGTGTGTGTGTTTTGTGTGGTTTATGTGTGTGTGTGGTTTATGTGTGTAGTTTGTGTGTGAATAGTTTGTGTATCATTTATATGTATGTGTAGTTTGTGTGTGAAGTTTATGTGTGTGTAGTTTGTGTGTGTGGTTTATGTATGTGTGTAGTTCACAGGTGTAGGTGTAGTATGTGCCGTGTGTGTGCATGTGGGTGATTTGTGTGTGTATAGTGTGTAGTTTATATGTGCATGTATAGTGCATGTATGATTTGTGTGTATAGGTTGTGTGTGTAGTTTATGTGTGTGTAATTTACATATGCATGTGTAGTGTGTCTGCCTGTGTGATTTCTGTGTGTAGTTTATATATGCCTGTGTAGTGAAAGAATGTGTGATTTTTGTGTGTATAGTTGACGTGTGTGGTGTGTGTGCGTGTATATGATTTGTGTGTGTGTGGTTTACATGTGCGTGTATGGTGTGTGCCGTGATTTGTGTGTGTGTGTATTATGTGTGTGTATGATGTGTGTGATATGTGTGTGTGTGGTGTGTGTGATTTGTGTGTGTGGTCCCCATGTGCATGTGTGGTGTGTCTGATGTGTGTGGTTTGTGTGTGCGGTTTAAGTGTGTGTGTAGTGTGTGTGATTTGTATGTGGTTTACATGTGCGTGTATGGTGCATGTGGTGTGTGATTGTGTGTGGTTTACATGTGCATGTGTGGTGTATCTGATGTGTGTGATTTGTGTGTGTGGTTCACGTGTGTGTGGTGTGTGATTGTGTGTGTGGTTTACATGTGCGTGTGTGGTGTGTCTGATGTGTGTGATTTGTGTGTGTGGCTTACGTGTGTGTGTGGTTTGCATGTGCATGTGTGGTGTGTGTGTGTCCCCTTACACCCCCTTCTCACCCACCTGCAGACGCCCTCGGCGCTGCACCTGCCACACTGAGCAGCCTGTCTGTCCTCCCGTGCTCCGACTCCCTGAGTTCTCCCCAGTCCCCCCAGGCCCCCTAGGCTCCCCAGGTTCCCCACGGCCACATGATGCCCCGCGCTGTGGCTGTTCCCATTTGCACAGCCCTGCCTGGTGAATGAGCACTCAGGTCGTTCCCAGTGTCTCGCTGTGACAAATGAGGCTGTGCTGCATCCCTCAAGCATGCACTGTTCCCTATTTGCAGAGGTGTCACCTCGGGGGAAATTCCTAGAAATGGAGTCGCTGGGTCAAGGGGCAAAGCCAGTGTAATTTTGTTAGCTACTGCCACCTTCCGCTCCCTCGGGTGAAGGACAGTTTCCCTCCTAGTGTCTGAGGGAGCCAGTTTCCCACGGCCTCCTCCACCGCAGTCGCGCTTTTGAATCGCTGCCAGTCTGATGTGTGAGAAACTGCATCTCTGCATAGCTTGTATTTGCATTTCTTTACTACGAGCCTCTTTCCCTATATTTCAGAGCCATTTGTAATCTTGTTCTACACACTCTGTCCATGGATTTTACCTACTTCTCTGTAGAGTTTCCAGGGTTTTCCCATTGGCTTGAGTGAGCCACGCACACAGGGAGCCAGAGGCAAAGGGGACGTGAGACCTGCCCACGGGAGGATCAAGGAGGCCCCACAGACGGCCTTGGGAAGCCCACCCAGCTGGGAGACAGTGGGCGCGTCGCCTTGGCTCTGGAAGCAGGGGGAAAAGCAGAAAAAGGTCACCCCAGGAAATTCCAGTCACAAGCCCACCTCAGGGGCAGTGTGGCCAGAACTCACGCTCACTGGATGACTGGAAAAACCCCAGGCCAAAAATTTAGTTTGAGGGAGTCCTGGCAACCCAAGCTTCTGGGAGAAGCAAAGGCAAAACCTTTCCAGAGAAAGGCGTTGGAAACTTGGACCTCAGAGAATCCTCGCAGACGGGGGTCCGGGGAACGCAGCCTTGCCACCTTACAAGTTACCCACACGCAGGAGAAAATCTGCCCTTCCCAGGACAGGAGCCCCCAGCAACGGCGTCTGGGAAACGTCAGGTCCACTCTGCCAGCCACAAGGCCCCTGGAAGCAGCGTGGCCTGGGTGCAAAGCAGCCGACACCTCACCCGCGCCCCTGGGCCTCCTGAGGAAAGAAAGCCCCAGGTCCCCAGAGTGCCTGTGTGGCCCCTCATCTCCCTGCATGACAGCCCCTTTGGCTGTGACCTGGGGGAAAGAAATTGAATTCCATCATTTGGGACTTTCACTTAAAACTCAAAGTTCTGAGCTTTGGCTTTTAAATGGTGAGGGCAAGAAAATGCATTTTCACTTTAAAGTCTAGCAACTGTAATTGGCAAGGGCGTTTGACCTACAGACTTCTTCGATCAAGTAATACAGGAATGGAAGAGCCCCCCACGTTTGGGCCACTGTGTGTCACAGTCTTGCTGTCACCACGGCAATGCTGCAATGTCGTGTGACTGTGCAGTGGACACCGCTTGGGGCCGCCATGTGTCACAGTCTTGCCGTCACCACGGCGGAGCTGCAATGCCGCGTGACTGTGCAGTGGACACCGCATGGGGCCGCCGTGTGTCACAGTCTTGCCGTCACCACGGCGGAGCTGCAATGCCACGTGACTGTGCAGTGGACACCGCGTGGGGCCGCCGTGTGTCACAGTCTTGCCATTGCCACGGCAGTGCTGCAATGTCGTGTGACTGTGCAGTGGACACCGCGTGGGGCCGCCGTGTGTCACAGTCTTGCCAACGCCACGGCACAGCTGCAATGTCACGTGACCATGCAGCTGGACACCGCATGACTGTGCAGCTGGATACCACGTGGACGGCGGGTGGGAGGCATGAGTTCCAGCTTTGGCACAAAGGAGCTTTGCGTCAGTTTCATTAATCCTGGTGTAACCGCCCAGTGTGTTCACCTCACCGGCTGCCTAGACACAGCCGATTTATCAAGACAGGGGAATTGCAAAGGAGAAGGAGTAACTCACGCAGAGCCAGCTGTGCGGGAGACCAGAGTTTTATTATTATTACTCAAAAGGGTCTCCCCGAGCATTTGGGGATCAGAGTTTTTAAAGATAATTTGGCAGGTAGGGGCTCAGAAAGTGGGGAATACTGGTTGGTCCGTTTGGAGATGGACTCATAGGGGGTCAAAGTGAGTTTTTCTTGCTGTCTTCTGTTCCTGGGTGGGATGGCGGAACTGGTTGAGCCAGATGACTGGTCTAGGTGGTGTCAGCTGATCCATGAGTGCGGGGTCTGCAGAATATCCCCAGCACTGATCTCAGGTTTTACAATAGTGAGGTGATCCCCAGAAGCAATTTGGGGAGGTTCAGACTCTCACAGCCGGAGGCCACAAGACCCCTAAACCATAATTTCTAACCTTGCAGCTAATTTGTTAGTCCTACAAAGGCCGACTGGTCCTCAGGCAAGAAGGGGGTCTATTCGGGAAAGGGCTGTTACCAATTTTGTTTCAGAGTCAAACCATGAACTGAATTACTTCCCAAAGTTAGTTCGGCCTACGCCCAGGGATGAATAAGGACAGCTTAAAGGTTAGAAGGAATGTGGAGTCGGTTAGGTCTGATTTCTTTCACTGTCATCATTTCCTCAGTTATAATTTTTGCAAAGGCAGTTTCATGGGGGGTAAACCCAAACGGCCCCCTGCAGTCCTGGGAGTGGCTTCATGAAGGGGACCCCGACAGTTCTCCTCTCCCTAGGGGCGGCCCCCCAGCTCACCACAAGTGTGACCACGAGGCCCTTGGGTAGGGCAACAAAAGGCCGGGGAAGGTGGGGGTGTCCTCCCCAACTCCCGAGCCTCCTTCCACGTGGAGAAAACTGACTTCTCTGACCCCTGCCTCTCTCCCACCATTTGTCACCCACCCCCACGCAGGGAGGGATTGGCAAATCCAGGCAGGGTCTGCAGGGCAGGCTGAGCTCACTCTCCGCTGCTACCTGCAGGGGTGGCCTGCTCTGCTGAACAGGTGGGGGCTCCCTGGAGGCTGGCCTGGGCTGCGCCTTTGGGCAGGTGGCCCCTCCACTCTGGGGTTCAGGGAAGGCCCCCTTGGCCTTCACTCTGAGCCACGTCCTCCGACCAGCCTCCATTGGGAATAGCGGGCAGCCTGGCATTACAGCCTCTGTGGGCCCCTCCTCTGGGCTAAAGTATTACCAATGATGTTTCATAACTGCGTTGGTAGAAAGATGACTATAGCCCAGGCTGCACTGTGTTTATTCTGATTTTAGAAGGCATTAAACCACTTTCCTGATGCCTAAAAGTCTTCTGGGCCCTGGCACTAAGCCTGCTACACCCTGTGAAAGGAAAATCCATCTCAGGCCCCAAAATTACCAAGCCAAGGGAAGAGTCAAGCTGGGTACTGCTCAGGCAAACCTGCCTCCCAGTCCACTCCTGAATAAGATGGCTACGGAGACTAAAAAGCCACCACCTCCCTCAAAATTTGCCCAGAAGGAAATTCCTCGTAGACAAATGACAGACAGGACCCAAAGCCATCCCTCTGCTCCCCTGAGACAAATCCATATCTGATGGCTTCCTCTGCCCTATTGTTGATATAAAAATACAGATTCCCTGAGCCAGACTAAATTGTGTTTCAGTGGGAGGCCGATCAAGGTCTCGAAAGAATGCAACAGTTTGTCTCTTACCTACTTATGACCTGGAAGTCCCCCACCCCCGCAAGTTGTCAAGCTGCCCCGCCTTACCTGACCAAACAAATGTACATCTTACACATATTGATTGATGTCTCATGTCCCCCTAAAATGTATAAAAGAAAGCATGGTGGCTCATGCCTGTAATCCCAGCACTTTGGGAGACCGAGGTGGGTGGATGACGAGGTCAGGAGCTCGAGACCAGCCTGGCCAAGATGGTGAAACCCCGTCTCTACTAAAAATACAAAAACTTAGCCATGCATGGTACCATGCGCCTATAATCCTAGGTACTGGGGAGGCTGGGGCAGAGAATTGCTTGAACCCGGGAGACGGAGGTTGCAGTGAGCCGAGATCACACCACTGCACTCCAGCCTGAGCAACAGAGTGAGACTCTATCTCAATAAAATAAAATAAAATAAAAATAAAAGCAAACTGTACCCTGACCACCTTGGGCACATGTCGTCAAAACCTCCTGAGGCTGTGTCACAGGCCCTTACTTCACCTTGGCAAAATAAGTATTTTAAATTTATTGAGACCTGTCTCAGATACCCTTTGGTTTACAACCTGATGGAGGGGTTGGCATTGTTAGAAGGGTTTTGGGTTTCCAGCACCTGCCTTCATGCCTTACTTCTCGGTGGGCTCAGGACTCAGAATGGAAAAGAGTCCCAGGAGACCCCAGTAACTCTTCAACTCTTTTACTCTCACTGTTTTCTCTCCTTTACAGCAGACACCACTATCTGCAAAGGGTCCTGTTCGCTGCTCCTGCCTGCCAGGAAGCACAGCCTAGATGGCAGTGTCCATGACTGTCCTGAGTAACCACTGGGTCCCCAGCATCTCAGCTTCACAGCTGTTCTGTAAAGACCTTCAGACGGAGGGACGAGGCGGGTGGGTGGGTGGATGGATGGATGGATGCATGGATGGGTGGGTGGGTGGATTGATGGATGGATGCATGGATGGGTGGATGGGTGGATAGGTGAGTGGGTGGGTGGATGGATGAGTGGGTGCATGGGCAGGTATGTGGATAGATGGAAGTATGGGTAGATGGATGGGTGGATGGATGGGTCAATAGGTGGATGGGTGGGTGGGTGAATGGATGGATGGATGGATGGATGCATGGATGGATGGATGAGTGGATGGATGCATGAATAGATGGATGGATGGTGGATGGATGGGTGAGTAGGTGGATGGAGAGATGGGGGAATGGATGGATAGATGAACAAATAAGTGATGGATGGGTGGATGTATGTATGGATGGGCGGGTGGATGGGTGGGTGGGTGGATGGATGGATGTGTAGATGGGTGGATGGATAAGTGGATGGATGGGTGAATGGGTGGATAAGTAGATGAATGGGTGGGTGGAGAAATACATGAGTATGTGGATGAATAGGTTACAGAGTAAAATGCCACCACCAGAGCAGTGCAACAGCGTGCTTTGCACTCAGCTCTGCCATGGAAAAAGTGGTTCCTTCCCAGGCTCTCACCAGGCTCACATGGGCTCCAGACCCCTGCACCCCCAACCAGACTGGGGACACAGGGACTGTCTGCTCAGCTCTGCATCCATGCACCTGGTCAACACCAAGTGAGTCACAGGGAACCAGGTGGCCTGAGAGAAGGACCCATGACAGATGGCCTCAGCCATGTCGCTAGGAGGCTTGGGTCCCAGTCCTGTGGCCCCACCAGCCAAGAGCTTGTGGACATTCAGAATCAGGCTTATTGGTTTAAGCCCGGGCATGCAGCACCAAGACTGTCTGCCCATGGGCTCTCTGGGTCAGGCCCTGCCTGACTCAGTCCCTGCATCACCAGTGCCAGGCCAGGCACAGACAGGCTCAGTGGGGTGGGCTAAGTAGTGCTGGGGACCCAAACCAGGCATCAGAGGGATTGAGATGCCCCCAGGCTGACTCCCATTCAAGCGGGTCCCCCCGCCTCCCCCCGAGCCCATCCCCTCTGTCCACCTGCTGCCACTCTGACAGCTACAACCCACCCAGGCTTGGGGCTGCCTGGACTCTGCCTATAACTTCACAGGCTCACTCCCATGCTGTCCTTCACACCTGGAGAAGTGCCAAGGTTACCAGTGCCACAGAACAAACAGCCGCATGCACTCTGCACCCTGCTCAGCCATTGAGACAGCAGATCCTGTAGCTTTGGGCAGTTCCCACATCCTTCCAGTCCTGATCTTTCCCCTGGAAGCCAAGGAGCATTCAGTGCCTTCTCTACATGCTCTTGGCCCCTGTCCACAACAAAGGCCACAGGTCCCTTGTTGTGGAACTATGAGTGAACCCAGCGTTCTCCCCAGGGACCCCAGCACAAAACGAGCTCTCAACACACATGAGTGAATAAAACTGTCCCAGAAAGCGGGAGACTTTACACAGTGGCTACAATGTCCCTAGTACACTGCCACAGTCCAGAAGGGAGAGAAGGGGCTGTGCACACCAGGAAGCCAGAAGCCCACATGCACCTGCCCAGGGTCTGTGCATGGAGCTCCGGCAGGTCTAATCTCTTGGCCTTCAGAATAATGATGTAAATACAGGGACAAAGATGGAGCAGGTGCCACTCAATGTGCAAACCCTCCCCCTTCTTCTGGTGAGGCCAGAAGTACCTAGGTAGGAGCAGCCCCTACCTCCAACCACCTCCCTCCCTGCAGTGGGAATAGCAGCCCAATCCCCAGGCTGCAGGGATCCACAGGCCATGCAAGTGTGGCTCTACCCCCAGCATGCCCTGGTGCAAAGCTGTGCCCAGAGAGATGTTATCTGCACCCCAGACTGCCTGTGGTGCTGCAGAGTGGTGCCGAGGAGAGAGCAGGGCACACCTGGAGTCTGTATCAACTGCCTTCCCTAGGGAGTCTTGGGCCCTCTCCACATTCAAGGTGAGGGGAGCAGAGGATCTCCACGAAGACCCCCTGAGCACATCCCTTCTCTTTTTGCTGATAGACAACCCAAGGCTTAAGGGGTTTTGGAACCAAGACATGGTCACTGACGTTAGAGGAATGGCTCGCTCTCCCTCCTGCATCCCTACCTGGTAAGGTGGGGCAATTGACCCTTTCCAAAGAACCCTGGTTGCTGTAGGAAGGAGAATGGAGACATCAGGCTGAGCCCACTGGCCTCCTTCAGCGCTTGGGCTCTCCCCTGCAGACAGCCTTCCTCAGCAGCCGCACAGCTCAGGGCTTCTCCTCCCTGGGTGCCAGTAAGCCCAGGTAAGCCTCTGGCTGCCCAGCAATTCCAATACCCAGAGGGAGGAGCCAACAGGGCAGGCCACGTTCTCACCAAGCCATCTGCAGAGGGGTCAGGTCCACCCTGAGTCCTCCCTTCTCAGTAACAAGCTGCTGCTGTGTTTTCCATTGTCCCACAGCTGATTTGTCAGTTGGTGCAATCACAGCGAGGACAAACACTAATGCCCCTCCTGAGACCTCTCTTCCAGCTGATGGTGTGGACCTTGACTCCACAGCAAGTGTCTGCAGGCCCTCCAGCTGGCCCTCGGTAGCCTGGAGTGGCTCGTCCTGGACAGACTCACCGCTATGACACAGGGGGAACTGCCAGGAGTCCCTGAGCGAGGTGATCTGAGAAATGCCATGGCAGTGTTCTAAGCCAGCAGCCTGGCTTACCCACAACCTCTCTGCTGTGTGACCTTGAGCAAGTGCCTTAACCTCTCTGAGCCTCAGCTTGCCCCTCTGTTAAAGAATGATCATATATGACACCTAGCAAGGTTATGTGGAGTATCAACAACAAGGAATCCACTGCAGCCAGTGTTGCAGGTGCAACTGGCTGGGGCTGGTGTCACGGGTGGTAAAAGAATTTACCGAGACAGTCATGGGTAAAGAAAGTCTGAAGACACCTTGCAAGAGAACAGCAGGCAGCATGGCAGAGAGAAGGCCACCTCCCCAGGGGCAGAGGCCAGGGGGAAGTTTGATAGGGTCACATTGGAGAGGCGACATGCAGACAGGGTCATGCTGGAGAGGCCACATGCAAACAGAGTCATGCTGGAGAGGCCACATGTGGATACGGTCATGCTGGAGAGGTGACATGCAGACAGGGTCACTCTGGAGAGGCCACATGCAGACGGGGTCATGCTGGAGAGGCCACATGCAGACAGGGTCACTCTGGAGAGGCCGCATGCAGACAGGGTCACGCTGGAGAGGCTACATGTGGAAACGGTCACACTGGAGAGGCGACATGCAAACAGGGTCGTGCTGGAGAGGCCACATGCAGACAGGGTCATGCTGGAGAGGCAACAGGCAGACAGGGTCACGCTGGAAAGGCCCCATGCAGACAGGGTCACGCTGGAGAGGCCCCATGCAGACAGGGTCACGCTGGAGAGGCCCCATGCAGACAGGGTCACGCTGGAGAGGCCCCATGCAGACAGGGTCACGCTGGAGAGGCCCCATGCAGACAGGGTCACGCTGGAGAGGCCCCATGCAGACAGGGTCACGCTGGAGAGGCCCCATGCAGACAGGGTCACGCTGGAGAGGCCCCATGCAGACAGGGTCACGCTGGAGAGGCCCCATGCAGACAGGGTCACGCTGGAGAGGCCCCATGCAGACAGGGTCATGCTGCTGGAGCTAACGTGCAGAGCTAGGTATTTGGTAACAGGAGGTTGTGCAAGCAGGCTGCTTGTGGTTATCCATTTCTTAGAACAATGGCTCTCCCCCACCCTAGTTCATGTTCTTGCCAGCTAGGGCCTGTGGTGCCATGGAGTTGTGCAGAGGAGGGAACCCCTTCCTCATTTCTATCAGCTGATCGGGACTCCACAGTTTGGTTTCGCTGCATATGACAATCCCAGCAAAAGAAGCATAAACAAGAAAGAAGCTGATTTCTTTCTGAAGGGAGAATCTGGGGATGACTGATTGAGGGTGAGGTGGCAGCTCCTCGATGTCCTCAGGGACCCAGATCCTGGCTGTCCTGCTCCTCATCCTCCACGCATGGTGTCTAGCCTCAAAGCCACTCCATGGTCCAAGGTGGCTGCTGGTGCTCCAGCCATCAAGACCACAGGACAGGTGGAAGGAAGCTGGAAAAGTACAGGGCAGAAAAGGGCCCATCCCAGAAGTCCCAGCTGAGTCAGCTTGTTTTTAGCCATCTTCCTGGAAGTCTCCTACAGCACTTCTGCCTTTAACCCACTGGCCACGACTTAGCAGCTCAGCTCCACTTAGCATCAGGGAGGAAGCTGGGAGATGCAGGTTTTCATTCCGGCCAGCTACATGCCCCGCCACGCATCAGGGTTCTGCTTTCGTGGAGGAAGGGAAGAGGACCATGTCTGTACAAGAGGAGCTAGACCCACGATAAACATGAGCCACGCTAATGTTGTCAGCATCCCCAGAACAGCCGGCAACACAGCCTCGCATCACACCCAACCTCCCGCCAGCCTCCAGCCCTGAGCAGCGTCCTCACTGCACCGCAGCCTAGAGAGGGAGCCAGGGTGCAAAAGGGACAGAAAGGGAGAGAACCGGAGGCCAGGCTGACCCGAGCAGCCAGGGACAGAGGACAGACCCGGGAGGCACATGTGCGGCAGCACATGGTCCTCCCAGGAGCCGTGGCCCAGCACCTCCTGGCCGGAACAGCCATCCTATTCAAATAAACGAGTAACAAAAATGGGCACGCTCTCCACTTCCAAAAGCAATGCTGGCCAGGCACAGTGGCTCACGCCTGAAATCCCAATGCCAGAGGCGTTGGAACCAGAGCAACTCCATCTTGAACAGGAGCTGGGTAAAATGAGGCTGAGACCTGCCGGGCTGCATTCCCAGGAGTTTAGGCATTCTAAGTCACAGGATGAGATAGGAGGTCGGCACAAGATACAGGTCATGAAGACCTTGCTGATAAAGCAGGTTGCAGTAAAGAAGCCGGCCAAAGCCCACCAAAACCAAGGCGGCCACGAGAGTGACCTCTGATTGTCCTCACGGCTCATTATATGCCAATTAGAATGCATTTGCTGCTAAAAGACACCCCCACCAGCACCATGACAGTTTACAGATGCCATGGCAATGTCTGGAGGTTACCTTATAAGGTCTCAAAAGGGCGGGGAGGAGACCTCAGTTCCTCTTCATCCCTTTACTTTCCTGATAAACTTGCTCTCACTTTACTCTGTGAACTCGCTCCAAATTCTTTCTCGCATGAGATCAAAGAGACCTCTCTTGGGGTCTGGATCAGAGCCCCCCCTTTTCCAGTAACACCAGCACTTTGTGGGAAAGACAGAGGCGGGAGGATTGAGTGAGGCCAGGAGTTCAAGATCAGCCTGGCCAACATAAGGAGACCTAAGTGCCTAACTTAAAAAAAAAAAGGCCAGGCATGGTGGCTTACGCCTATAGTCCCAATACTTTGGGAGACCGAGGTGGGCAGGTAACTTGAGCCCAGCAGTTCAAGACTAGCCTGGACAACATCGTGAAACCTTGTCTCTACAAAAAACAAACAAACAAACAAACAAACAAAAAAAAAACGAAGAAATTCCCGGGCACGATAGTGTGCACCTGTAGTCCCAGCTATTCAGAAGGCTGAGATGGGAGAATCGCTTGAGCCCAGGAGGTAGAAATTGCAGTGAGCTGAGATTGCGCCACTGCACTCCAGCCCGGGTGACAGAGGGAGACCCTCTCTCAAAAAAATAGAAAAAGAAACCCAGGCAGGCATGGTGGCACGCACCTGTAGTCCCCAGCTGCTCAGGAGGCAGAGGCAGCAGAATTGCTCGAGTGCAGGCTGTAGGTCAAGGCTCTAGTGAGTTACGATTGTGCCACTGCACTCCAGCCTGGGTCACAGAGCAAGCTGCAGTCTTAAAAAATAAAAAAAAAAAAATAAAAGCAGTGCTATTTTCCTACAAATGAAGAAATCTCATCAGACAAATACTGCCACAAACCAGATGAAAATAATGATCTAATATTCCAACAAGAACTTCAGCTCCAAAGGGAGACTACAGCACAGGATAAGAACAGAGGAGAATAAGCACAGAATAAGAATGCAGGGAAGAGGTGGCCAAACAGCAGCCGAGTCTGTGGTAGGACATGACAGAATTCAGGAAGGAAACTGAAGAAAAAGACAGAACCATTTCAGAAATGAAGAAATGAAGTTACAGGTAATATGAGAGCACAGACACCATGAAAATCACGTAAAAAAGGAAAAAGTGAGCAAATGGAAAGAAAGAGGAAAGAGATTAAAAAGGAGGCCTCCTGAGTAGCTGGGAGCACAGGTGTGCACCACAGCACCTGCTGAACAAGGATTGAAACTATCATTCAAGACCTCTTTATTGAAATGCAGGCAGACTTGCACCTGCCTGTAAAAGTGCAAGCTGTATACTTGTGTGTGTTGGCCCAGAACAGTCAACACAAAACATGCCTTTGTAAAGTCACTGGACTTTAAAGATAAAGAAATAATCCTTTAGGCAGCCAGACAGAAAGACCAAGTATCTTATAAAGCAAAGAAAACCAACTTGACATCAGACTTCTCCAAAGTGACATTCAATACCAGAAGAAAAAAGAAGCAATGCCTCCTTATCTAGAATTTGTGGGTAGAATTCTGTCCCCCAAAAAGGTATGTTACACTTTGGGAAACTGAGGTAAGTGGATCACTTGAGATCAGGAGTTTGAGACCAGCCTGGCCAACATGGTGAAACCCTAGCTCTAATAAAAATACAAAAATTAGCCGGGCATGGTGGGGTGGGTGGGGGCGCCTGTAATTGTAGCTACTCGGGGGGCTGAGGCAAGAGAATTTCTTGAACCCAGGAGGTGGAGGTTGCAGTGAGCCGAGATCGCGCCACTGCACTCCAGCCTGCGCGACAGAGCAAGACTCTGTCTCAAAAAAATAATAAAAATTTTAAAAGATATGTTAAAGCCTCAACCCCTGGTACCTATGAATGCAACCTTTTTGGAAATAGGGCCTTTGCAGATATAATCAAGTGAAGACGCAGTCACACCTGATTGGAGTGGGCCCTGATTCAATACAACTTACCTCCTTATAAGAAGACAAAAAAGGCCGGGTGTGGTGGCTCATGCCTGTAATCCCAGCACTTTGGGAGGCCAAGGTGGGTGGAGCACTTGAGGTCAGGAGTTCGAGACCAGCCTGGCCAACATGGTGAAATCCCGTCTCTACTAAAAACACAAAAATTAGCCAGTTGTGGTGGCGGGCACTTGTAATCCCAGCTCTTTGGGAGGCTGAGGCAGGAGAATGGCATGAACCAGGGAGGCAGAGCTTGCAGTGAGTAGAGATCATGCCACTGCACTCCAGCCTGGGCGACGGGGCAAGACTCTGTCTCAAAAAAAATAAAAAATAAAAAATAGAAGATGATTCGGCTCATGATTCTGGAGGCTGGGAAGTCCAAGTTTCAGGGGCTGCATCTGGTGAGGGCCTTCCTGCTGTGTCATCACATGGCAGAAGGCATCACATGGCAAGAGAGTGTGAGAGAGTGAGAGAACACATACCCAGCCTCGAGGCCTTTTGTTACCTGCATGGATCATCCATGGATCATCCTAAACACCTCCCCTTAGGCCCTACCTCCCAACACTGTTGCATTGAGGACTGAGTTTCCAACACGTGTTTTTAGAGGGACACATTCAAATCACAGCTTCCCCCCTCCACCACCCATTTTAATCCTGGGCTTTGCCTGGCTCCAATTCCTCTCTTATGTAAAGCAATGGATCAGACACACAGCCTTGGGGGATCTGTGAGAACTGAAGGGACTGAGGCCTCTCTCACACAGAACCCCAAAACCCTCCCATGCCTCCAGGACCCCCAGCAGGGAAGAACCCCACCTAACTCAGGGCCCAATCAGAGGCAGGGCCAAGGGTTATCCCTGCCCTCAGACTGGTTTTCCCAGGCTAGGGTCTGAGAACCCCGAGCAGCCAGTCCTTCTTCCCATGGGATGCGACTGGGCAGGGCCAGTGAAGGAACCCAGAGGCATGTTAGTCAAAGCGGGTTTCAGGCTCTGGGTGAGGGGTCCTGCATGGTGAGAAGCTGGGCCCACCTCCCACAGAGCCCACAGAACAGACTCAAACTCAGACACCAACAAGAAGATGCCAAGGCTGGGGAGGGCAGGCCCAGCCCGCAGAGTTCCTGCAAGGACTCTTCCCTGGCTGTGGTCGGAGCAGCTACTCAGGAAATCCCTGGCAGCAGAGTGGGCACCCCCTCCGGGCACCAGGAGGAGAGGTGTGCAGAGGGGATTCCGGGTCAGCCATTGGGATTTGAGACTTGCCTGGACACCCACTTCCACTTCTCCCCCACCAGGCGTTTCTCCCATCAGGGAAGAGGAATGCTCAGATGGGCCCAGAGGCCATGCAGAAAGAAGGAGGCCTCCCCCAGGGCTGAGAAGGCAGTGATGGGAGGCCGGCCCCAGGCTTGGGGTGTGGGTGGTTTCAATTGGAAAACTTTTATAATAAAAAATTGGAAGAAAGAATGTAATTCCCTCTAAAAAAATATGTCCTCGTGATGCCACGTACCCACCTACACCCACCTGACCCCAGGCACCTCCTTCCACAGCCAGCCACTGCAAAGGAGGCCAGGGAATGTGTCTTCCTGATGCCCACAAAGGAGACACAGAGCTGGAGGGCATGGGGACCCAAGGTTCCAGGCTTCAGAAGGGAAAGCATCCACAGCGATCCCACAGTAAGGACAGCCTCTGATGGCAGCCCCCACTGGCCAAACTACATCCCCCTGGGCAGAGTGCACCGGGCCTGGCTTCCCTCCATGCTGGTTCCAACTCACAGCCGGGGTGAGGCCAGGGCGAGGCCAGGTCCCCCCTTCACGGGGAAAGCTCCCTGGGTGCTTCCCTGGTCAGGGCTGTGCATTCTTGTTACCAGTCCCTCCCTGACCCCAGTGACTCTGGCTGGGCCTCCACCCCTGCCCAGACCCACCCCACTACAGAAGACCCTGACCTACCATTCACTCTTTTTTAAATATTTTATTTTTTCAGAGACAGGGTCTCACTGTGTTTCCCAGGCTAGAATATAGCGGCTGTTCACAGGCATGATCATAGCTCACTGCAGCCTGGAATCTCTGGCCTAAAGCAATCCTCCTGACTCAGCCTCCTGCGTAGCTACAGAGCCACAGGCCACGCCCAGCTCTCAGCATTCCCTCTTTTACTTTATTTATTTATTTATTTATTTATTTATTTTGAGGTGGAGTTTCACTCTTGTCACCCAGGCTGGAGTGCAATGGTGGGATCTCAGCTCACTGCAACCCTTGCCTCCCGGATTCAAGTGATTCTCCTGCCTCAGCCTCCCCAGTAGCTGGGATTACAGGCACCCGCCACCACGTCCAGCTATTTTTTTATTTTTATTTTTTTTTTTAGTAGAGATGGGGTTTTGCCATTTAGGCCAGGCTGGTCTTGAACTCCTGACCTCAAGTGATCTGCCCACCTCAGCCTCCCAAAGTGCTGGGATTACAGGCATGAGCCACCATGCCTGGCTGGCTTTCCCTCTTGAGCACATGCATGTAGGCAGGAATCCCAGCCCCCTTTGCAGATGAGCAAACTGAGACACAGAGAGGTTCAGCCACCTGCGAAGGTTGCACAGCCAGGATCCACCGCCTTCTCGCAGCACCCACCCTCTTCCCAAGGAGTGCCCAGTTCAGCAAGGCAGATGACACCAATCCCAACTGGGCAGCCAGGTTTTATGAGGCCAGGACAAACAGCACTGATTTGAAGCCTTGTAGAGGGGTTCAAATCACAGGCCCTGCCACAGGCTGGCCTCAGGGTCCTGGGGGAGCTGTGGGCATGCTTCTGAGCCGTAGCTCCTCTATCCACCCAAGGGAGCTGGTAGCACTGGCCTTAAGAGTGTGCTGTGAGCCCGGGGGGTTGCAGCTGGGCATTGAATGATTCCTACCACCCCACAAATACCACTCTGCCCCTCCAACGGGGGCAACCCCTCATGGCCTGTCTCGGCAGCATGGAAGTTACACTCTATTGCATCACCCCCAGGAAGATGGAGAGAGGCCTCCAGGACCTCATGAGGGTGGTTTTCTGCATAATGAGATGCCTTGGATATTCCTAGAGGTCCGAGCCTAGGCCTCTGTCAGCACATCAGTGAATGCAGCCCTGCTGGACAAGCTCAGGAGGACTCCAGGATCCCGAGTGACACATTCCACATCCATACAGGCAGACCAGGGCCTGCAATTACAGATGGGAGGTCCCAAGGTCCAGGCAGGGGCTCCCACATGTTCCCAGGAAAGCACCAGGCAGGGAGGGTGGTGGGCAGCAGTTCTGGGCTTTGCTCCTCGCCAGGC
The DNA here is from genome assembly GCF_000001405.40 of Homo sapiens. NCBI lineage: Eukaryota > Metazoa > Chordata > Mammalia > Primates > Hominidae > Homo > Homo sapiens. The sequence continues at coordinate 61,977,035 of NC_000009.12, read as the reverse complement.
CCCATTTCTTCATCTGTAAAATGGGGAGAAAATATTTTCCCTTCCTAACTGCATTGGAAAGACGAGATAAGCAGCCGACTGGGGAAGGTGGAACTTCCCACTCAAGCAATATTGGGCGAAATAAGTGGGTTCAGAGACTGAGCGGTGGTGCTGGCCCCAGACACTGGTGTGGATGCAACACGTCGCAGGACTCAGCCCGTCGAACCCCTGCCTGCCGCTGCACTGATGCCCCCTTCCCCCTCACAGAGCCCTGATGCCCGGCCATCCTGATGGCGGGAGCTCCCCTAGGCCTCTACAGCCGTGGTCCAAACGAACCCTGCACTCCACACCGGGGCTCCTCACCACTGGGGCACCCTGGGCTGCCCTCGGGGCTGGCACTCGGTGGTGGGGGCCGTCCGACACCTGGTAGGATGCTGAGCCGCACCCCCGGCCTCCACCCACTAGACGTTGGTAGCATTCATTGTGACAACAAATTTATACCTAAACATTGCCAATACTGCCCCCAGTGGAGAACCAATGACGGGTAGTCTAGACTGTCCATGTCACCTTCTCTTAGTCCTTCCCCGGACTGGGACGTCTCACAACCAAGTCCTTGTCCCACCCCACTCTCTACATCCCGGCATCCAGCACCGCCCCCTGCTGAGGGCTCGGCCAATGTTTCCTGAATGAATGAGTGGCCCCTGGATGTGAGCATGGGTCACACACCTCACGGTGATTGGGTGGGGGTTTCTCATGAGTAGAGGGACCCCCACATGCCAGGGCTGCGCTGAGCAGGGACGTCAGTGACTCCCTCTGTGAAGGCGGCCACTTGAGACAGGATTCTAGGAGCCTCTGTCACACCCGGCAGTGCACAGGATGATTCAGAGAGAGGCTGTCCCAAGGCCTCCCGGCTCACTGGTCGCAGTCTTCCAGGTCCTCCCGCCACCCTCCACACAGCACCACTGCCACCCTCATCCCTGCTGGGCAGGAGAGGCGGTCGGGAGGGCAGACACAGGGCAGTGGGCGAGTCTGATCCGGGTTTTGTGAGGCCTCCCTATAAAGAAAGAATACAAACTTACAAAAACAAAATTAGGTATGACAGTGAATATTTCTTTAGGATGAGGAAAAAAAAAAGCAAACATACAAAATCCAGAAAACCAACATCGTGTTTTTACGAAGGGCCTGCTCCATCTCCATAACACTTCTTCTTGAACTTTTTGGCTGCGTACTTTTTATCTATCTCATTGTTTGAGAATTTTACATCACCTATGATAGAAGGAATAGAAACATAATTGCTCTTCCTCCAGCATGGTTGATTGAAATTTGTTTTTTCTTATTTATAATTAGAACACATAGAACAGATGACTTAACACATGTGCACACAGCTTTGCAGTACAGCTAGAGGTCTGTGTACGTTAAACAACAAGTTCTGATCAATTCTATTTACAAGATTCCTGTTTGCAAAAGGAAGCAGGCCAGGCATAGTGGCTCCCACCTGTAATGCCAGTACTTTGGGAGCCCAAGGTGGGCGGATCACTTGAGCCCAGGAGTTTAAGACCAGCCTGGCCAACATGGTGAGATCCTGTGTCTACAAAAAAAAAAAAAAAAAAGCTGGATGTGTAGTTCCAGCTACTTAGGAGGCTGAGGCGGAAGGATTGCTTGAGCCTGGGAGGTTGAGGCCGCAGTGAGCTGTGACTGCCCTACTGCACTGCAGCCTGGGCGACAGAGCAAGTCCCTATATCAAAAAAAAAAGAGGAAGCAGCAATGCTGGGTGCACATTTATAATTGTATACGATGCATTTATCAACAGACCATTTCTGCTCTGGCGAGGCCCTGATGAGAGCTGAATACTCTGCTTACAAAGGCACACGCCCGAGGACCGTCAGAGAGTCCACCGGGCGCTTGGGCTCCGTGTGTTTCAGACCAGCCTGGCCAACATGGTGAAATCCGCATCCATGTGCGGTGCAGAGCATGGCAGGGTGCATTCTCCTCCTCACCGTCTCTCCCAAGCACCTTCAGGTCGTGATGCCGAAGAAACCATCTATGCCCAGGTCTTAATCCATAAAGGTGCCTAACAGAGGTCAACTCTATTGAAAGGAAAGTCTAACATCGCTCTTGAAACATTCGCTAGAAATGAGAGACGTGGCAGGCCCCGCAGGGCGGCAGGGGGAAGCCGCAGGCAGACCAGGAGGCAGAAAGGAGCTAGGGAAAGGCCAAGCCACAGCCTGTGTTGGCTTCCCTGTGAAAGCCGGGCAGAGCAGGGGAGACAGCTTGGGACGGGCTGATTTGTCTGATTCTGGGTTTCGGGGCTGTCCCTTGTGGTCTGGTTCTGGGCCTGGGTTGACACTGGGCAGGGAAATATTGGCTGGGGGTACGGAAGATGAAGGAAGTGGTTTGGAGCAGGGACTCTGGGCAGCAGGGGAGGTGCTAACAGCCCTGGTCAGGAGGTTGGCCCTGTCATCATGACCGCAAGTACTCAAACGCAGGATCTAAGGAGGCACAGATCAAGGACGAAGCCAGCAGGAAGGTCAGTGGGGATGAGGGGGACTTGGGGTCTTTCTTCCTCTGCCTCCTTCCCCTTCCCACACCGGAGGGTAAATTGTGTTCTTCTGTGAAAGTCACAAGAACCCTCAGACACCCAGAGAGTTCACACACAAACACAGGAAAAGACACAAGTCGTATGACCATCTCAACAGATGCAGCCTAGTGTTTGATGACACTCACTGTCTGTTCTTAAGGAAAAGCTCAGCCCTCTGGGAAGAAAAGACCCATTGTTAAGCTGATGAAGGCCATCTATGGAAAAAGTCAGAGCTGCCAACAGAGCTAACAGGAAAATGTTGAAAGCTTTCTTTACAAGATTGGCAAGGGGGCAAAGAATCCTATTAGTGCCACTGCTATTCAATATCAGCCTGGATGTGGCAGACTGCACAGTGAGTCGGGTAAAGTTTGTGAAGAAGAAAACAAAACTGTCTTTATTCACAGATGATATGGTTGTGTATGCAGAAGAGCCTACATAATCCACAGGGAAATTCTGAGGATTCAGAGGAGTTTAGCAAAGTTGTTGGGTTCAAAATCTATAGGCAAGATTCCATTTTCTTACTATATATTAGCAACAATGTTGGAAAAATAAAATTTATAAAAAGACATAATAGCACAAAATATCAAGAATCTAAGAATAATGTGCAAGGTCACTATACAGAAATGTTATTAGTAGGCATTAAAGATGGTCTAAACAAATGGAGATACCATGTTCATGGATTAGAAGACTCAAAATGAATTCTTCCCAAATTAATTAATTTTTTCCAAATTGATTTGTAGAACTAAAGAAATTGCTATCCAAATCCTAACCAGGTTTTTGTGGAACTTAAAATACTTACTCTAAAATTTGTGTTGTTTTCGTTTTTGATTTTTTTTTTCTTTTTCTTCTTCTTCTTATATTGAGATGGGGTTTCTCTATGTTTTCCATGCTGGTCTCAAACTCCTGGGCTCAAGCCATCCACCCGCCTCAGCCTCTCAAAGTGCTTGGATTACAGGCATGAAGCACTTTATCCAGACTAAAATTTGTATGGAAATACAAATTCAATTTGACAAATATTTGGCCAGGCATGGTGGCTCATGTCTATAATCCCAGCATGTTGGGAGGCTGAGGCGGGTGGATCACTTGAGGTCAGGAGTTTGTGACCAGCCTGGCCAACATGGTGATACCCCGTCACTACTAAAAATACAAAAATTAGCCGGAAATCACTTGAACCCAGGAGGCGAAGGCTGCAGTGAGCCAAGATTGTGCCACTGTACTCCAGCCTGGTCAAGAGAGCGAGACTCCATCTCAAAAAGAAAAAATAATAAATAAAAAATATTTATTGAGCCCCTTAGTCCAGGGACTGCTTCTGGTACTTGGGATGCCTCTAAGAACCCCACCCACAAAGACCCTTCTTCGTAGACCTTAGCAGGAGAGACACACAGTAAAGAGTAAACACAATACATAAGCAAAGTACCCAGTATGGCAGGAGGTCATAACTGTTTTGCAAAAAACCAAGACTACAGAGGGGAGGGTCACCAGGACATCTAGGGGCAGAGGTGGGGTGAGAATCCAACCTTCCACACGGGCCATCTCTGCGACCCATCTCTGTGACCCCAACAAGAGGCCCCTCGCCGGCCATCCTGTTCCAGCTTCTGATGTCCTGATGTAGAAGCGGCTTCTCTGCAGCTCTGAGGTGAGAGGCCAAGCCCTCCGTGACCCCAAAAGGCCAGGGCTCCCCAAGTGTTATCCACAAACACACCTGTGGGGACTGCAGGCTCCTGCAAGGCGCCCTTGCACAGGTCTCTTGCAGAGCTTCTCCACCCACTCTCTGGGCCCTGACACAGTGGGAGGGTGCCTGTCCTTACCCCAGCCGGATGTCCCACCACACTCCTGCCTGGGAACTTCTGGCACGCAGGAGAGGCTGGACACGCAGATGCAGAGAGGCTTGCCCCAACGCCGTTGCCCGTTTTACCTTGAAGTTCGTGGTTCTTTAATTCTTGCTCCAAACTGTGAATCAACCTTTAAAATATATGATATTGAAGTTCTCCTTCAGCCTCCAGTCTTTCATCAGAGTTAAATCCAGAGATTTCACGAGCAGTAGATAAATTTGCAGTAGAGAAAAGTGCTCCAAAGGTGGGCACGCCTGGCTCCCATTTGGAGGTGTTTATAAATGCTTTTATGTAGACCCCTCCTAGATGACAAGGAATGGCCTCAGAGCAACCCTGGGAAGGATGAGGAGGGGTCTGGGGACTCCAGACGAAATTGCACAGCCGCCTACCGTGTGAGTGGAAACCCATGCTGCTTCTGCCTGGCCTCTAGGATCCGCGTTCAGGGGAAGCCGTGTCCCTGCGGTCATGAGACGTGATTGTTCAGACCAATGGATGAGGCTGAGCAGAATCATTTCATTTCCCCCGCACTTGCCAAAGGCAGGGACTTTCCTGTTTGTCCCTGCCTGATATGCAGGAAGGGCTCAGAACTACTTAAGAACAAATCAATGAACCTATGGCTTTATGGCAAATACCACAGAAACAACCTTAGAAATGGGCTGAGGAGGCTGTCTGGCCTCTAACAAATGACCTCATCTCTCTGAACCTTAACTTCCTCATCAGTAAAGTGGCAGTGCAGCCCCTCCCTCACAGGACGCTCCCTGGCAGAGTGCAGCCCTGCCGTGCAGCAGCCGGTATGACCTCGTCCTTGTGATCAGGAGGGCCCTGCTGAACTGTTTCCGCCCCGCAGGTGCCTACGAAGCCTGGGAAATGATGTGGCCTTCCTGGAGCCATGCAATGGCTTTGTTGTCACCAGGAAAAGGGCCTGTGGCACCCGCCTGGCCACTCATGTCCTAAATGAGACAGGCCCTCTTCATCGGCCTCAGTGGCTCATTGAGATGAGGACTTGGGAATTTTGCTGTTTAACAGAGCAACTGAGCACCCAGGTGGCTGCCCCAGCAGACCCTGGAGACGTTTCAGGAGACCTGGCAGGGACCCAAGCCTCTGCCACTGCACCAGGCCCTGGCCAGAGGGCTGGGCTCAGAGCCCTTTATTTTTTTATTTTTATTTTTTATTTTTTAGAGACACAGTATTGCCCTGTCTCCCAGGCTGGAGCACAGCAGTTGAAACCATACCTCACTGCAGCCTCGATCTCCCAGGCTTAAATGATTCTCCTGCCTCAGCCTCCAAGTAGCTGGGACCACAGGCATATGCCACCATGCCAGCCTTATTGTTAAGTGTTTTGGGTAGATCCCATCTCCCTATGTTGCTCAGGCTGGTCTTGAACTCCTGGGCTCAAGCGTTCCTCACATCTCAGCCTCTTGAGTAGCTGAGACCACAAGTGTGTGCCACCGCACCTGGCCCCAGAGCCCCTTTTAAACTGCAACTCACAGTCTCCAAGTTAGACTCACACAGAGAAGATCTAAATATGTGTCTCCTTGAGGGAGGCTGAGGAGTGGAGGAGGATGAACTCTTACAAAACATCAACCTTTTTAAAAATGTGTTTTCAGTAATTGCTGTTCTGCGCCAAGTTTTATCCTAGTGGGAGTTTCATGTCAGAATTACTAAGTAGGAGTTCATAACAGAGAAGTTAATCGCCCTTGTGTAGGGGCGAGGCACCGAGCGATGATCTCTGTGCCCAGGTAGGTGCTTCCTGGATCCGCACAAGCACAGGAGATGGCAGGTGGGGAGTGGGTGGGGGGTTATGAAGGGCAGCCGAGGAGGGGCAGGGGGCAGGGGGAAGCAGGATCTCTGACGGTAGAAGGGAGTGGTCACTACGTCCCCAACACACCCCCTTCATGTCCCCGCTATAGCCACACACCACGGGGGAAAGGCTCCAGGCCAGCCCCCATCCCCTCAGGACCATGATGCGGGCATCTGCAGAAACGTGTGGGGGCTGTCTGGCCTGAGAGGCCTAGAGCCAGGAACAGGTGGTTTAGAGCTGCCCTCCTCCTCCAACTTCAGCCCCAACCCCCTTCCTCAGCAGCAGATCCCACCTGAGTCTCTCCTAGGCCTGTTCTGGATCCGAAGTGGGTATGAGACATTCACCATCTATTCCTTTGCTCCACCGTCACCAGAGGCTTTGTGGTACCTTATTTTTGAGAAGAGGCAACATATTCTAGGACTAGGCTGGGAACAAGGGAGAAATTCATCATGCATCCCTCCATTTATCCATCCATCCATCCATCCATCCATCCATCCATCATCCATTCTCCCACCTACCCACTCATTCCCCATCCAGCTACCCACTCATCCATCCATCCTTTTGTCCATTCACCTACCAATCCATTTATCTATCCATCCATCCCCATCCATCCATCCATCAATCATTATCGATCCATCTATCCACTCATCCATCTATCCACCTACCAATCCATTCATTATCCATTCATTCCTGTACATCCATCCATGTATCTACCTATCAATCCATTCATTATCCATCCACCTACCAATCCATTCATTATCCATCTACCCCATCCATCCATTCACCTACCAATTCTTACATTATCCATCCATCCCCATCCATCCATCCATCCACCCACTCATCCACCTATCAATTCATTCATTATCAATCCCTCCCCATCCATCCACCCACCCACTCATCCATTCATCATCCATCTATCCCCATCTACCCATCCACCTACCCATCCATCCATCCACCCATACATCCATCCACCCACCCACCCACCTATCAATTCATTCATTATCAATCCATCCCCATCCATCTACCCATCCACCCACTCATCCATTCATCATCTATTCCCATCCATCCATCCACTTACCCATCCATCCATTCACCCCATCTACCCATCCATCTATCCACCCCATCTACCCATCCATCCATCCACCCATCCACCTACCAATGCATTCATTATCCATCTATCCACCCACCCACCCATCCATTCATCATCCATCTATCCCCATCCATCCATCAACCCACCCACCCATTCAGCATCCATCTATTCCCATCCATCCATCCACCCACTCATCCACCCATCCATCCATCCACCCACCCATCCACTTACCAATTCATTCATTATCCATCCATCCCCATCCATCTATCCCCCCACTCATCCATCCACCATTCATCATCCATCTATCTCCATCCATCCATCTGTCCCCACCCATCCACCTACCCATCTACCCACTCATCATCCATCTGCCTACCCATCCAGCCACCCATCCATTCTTCATCTGGATGGACAAATCTTCATTGAGCACCAATTCTGTGCTGGGCAACAGGAGACAGAGATGCAGGAAACACAATCTCTGCTCTCAGAGAACATGCTTTCCAGGGACAAGAAGACATGGACAGATGGACAGAAGCACCAGGTGAAGATGCTAGGACATGGCTGATCTGTGGTCCATATCCTGTTGGGGAAAACTGGGGGCCTGGGGACGTTGGTCTAATGAAGAGAAGACTTGGAGGAACTGGCATATGCTGCTGAGAATGTTTGGTGCCCACCATAATACCTGGGAGGGAGGAGGGAGGACAGAGGGGTGACCACAGTGAAAATGTGGAGGGATCAGTGGAGTGTAAGCCCAGCCATTGAAGGAATGTTTAGGTGAGGCACTGCAGAAGTCAGCTGGACACAATCAGGAGTGTAAGTGTTAAAGAAAGAGGAAAGAAACACAAAACGCAGCTTTGGGGCTGACATATCTCTGGCCGGAGGGGAGGTTATCTCGGGGCTGGCAAGCCTCTGGTGAGGGAGGGGTTTGGAATGTTTCTGGTCTGAGATGTTATTTGTGGGTTTTGGTCATGCTGACCAGTGCTTATCCAAGATGGCAATACTCCTGCTGCTGGTTGGCCACTCGGAATTGTCTTCGTGGAGAGAGAAGACTTTATGGTTATGGGCCACAATATCTAGGGTGTGGCCATGGGAGAGGAGGGCTGGGGTAGTTTTGAGGTCAAGACCATGAAAGGAGAGCAGGCCAGGGTTTTGCAGGGATCACCCCCTGGAAACGGAAATCACCAAAAGTTATAAGAAGAGGAGGAGTGCTGGAGAGCGATGCGGTCCTTGAGGGGCGAGCGGGTGTCCATCTCCAGTTACAGCACAGTCAAGGGGATGCTCAAAGTGTTGACAAAAAAGAGTCAAACTCTGTAAAATATTTGAAGAGAGTTATTCTGAACCAAACCTGAGTGATCATGGCCCATGATGCAGCCCCCGGGAGGTCCTGAGAACATATGTCCAAGGTGGTCAGGGTGCAACTTCATTTTACACATTTTAGGGAGACATGAGACCTCAATCTAATACATTTAAGAAATAAATTGGTTCAGAAAAGCAAGAGAACTAGAAGGCGGGGGGTGGGTGAGGGGGGACTTCCAGGCTATAGGCAGATTTAAAAATTTTCTGAGTGACAATTGGTTGAGTTGATTTAAAGACCTGGGATCAATAGAAAGAAAATGTTTGGGTTAAGATAAAGGATTGTGGAAACCAAAGTTCTTATTTGCAGAGGAAGCCTTCAGGTGGCAGGCTTCAGAGAGCCTGTAAAATGTTTCTTATCAGACTAAAGTGTGTTGATGTTAATGCTGGAGCGATAATCATGCAAGTCCGATCCCCACTTCCCATCATGGCCTGAACCAGTCTTTCAGATTACATTATAAGAGTGCCCTGGCAGAGGAGGAGGTCCATTCAGATGGCTGGGGGGCCCTCAGAATTTTATTTTTGGTTTACAAAAAGTTTAGGATATGGGGGACATTGCTCATGGCTGGTCAGGAGCTCGAGAGTGGAAGGGTTTGAGGGAACTGGGGATGGGGGAAGGGGTCTGAGAAGGGGTTATACAGAGCTGTCTGGGGCAAGGGGTGGCCTGGGGGGACTCGAACTTTCCATACAGAGGGAGAAGCAGCATAATGAGCTTCATCCTGGGGTCTACAGTGGCAGACAGTGGGGAAAGCAGTGACAGGGAGTTTGCCAGCAGAGGAGGCAGCTTAGGGTGGTCTTACTCAAAGACCCTCCCTGAATGCTGGGAGCTGGGAAGGGGTTGGTTTTGCCCAAGCACATGGGGTCTCACTTGTCTTCAGGCAATGGTGGCCGCCTGAGGATAGCGGAGGCTCATTGCCCTAGGCCAAGTGGGAAAACTGCCTCACCCAGAAGGTCACACCCTCCCCCACAACCCAGTGCCTGATTGATGAGGGGAGGGAGAGGAGACACAAAATGGTCCTGGCCTCAAGGCAGGGACAGCCGTGAGGTGCAGTGCTCCTGAACTCCCCTTCATCCAACCAGGCTGAAGCAGTCATAGCCTTGCTCAGGTCTCTGCACCGGCTCTCTACCCCCACTCTCCTTTCCTAGGAGCACTCCCTCCATAATCACCTCCACAGGAATTCCATCTCAGCTCTGCTTCCAGGAAACCTGACCCAAGACAGAGGTTGTTGCAAGGGCAGAGGCCACAGGCATCCACGCCAGCCTCTGTGTGTTCAGTCTGTGAGCGGCCCAACGCTCCCCATGCACTCCTCCTTAAAGCCTACTCAACCCTGGGGTCTGCAGGCAAGTTCCTCGCGGGTGCCTTCCCTTGTCCTGGCTGCTGCTCTGCTTCCTTTGCAAGCTCCTTCTCGCACCGTTGCGCTGGCTCCCTCCAGAGGGCTCCATCCCCTGCCCACTGTGCCTTCGTGGGTGGTGCCCAGATCTCTGTCTCCTCTGCCCTGGACCCCTCTGCCCCTGACTGGCAGATCTATAGAGTTCAATGCCCCTGGAGGGCTCCACGTCCATCCCACAGGGACCCGGACTCTCATCTTCCTCCTGAGTGTGCTCTCCCCGGAGACCTGGCATTGGAATTCACCCTGCCACCTTGTGGTCTCCCCAAGTGGAAACCTGGGCGTCAGTCTGGACGCTTGTCACCAAATTCTGTCCCTTCCACCTTCACATGGCCTCTCCATCTTCACCGCCTCGGTGTCTCTATCTCGTCCCGATCACCGTCGCCTCTCCTCTGGCGGAGAGCACCAGCATTCCCACTGGTCTCTGCTTTTCCTCAAACGCATCTCTGTGTATATCTCCCCTCAGGATCACTCTGTGGCCCCCACTGCTCTGGGTGGAACCTTCTTTCCAGTGGTGTTTCAGTCCCCTGGGTCTGCCTCACTCCTCACCACCGTCTTGTGCTTCTGCACTGAGCTCCAGCCAGACCACCTGCCTGCAGCCACCTGGCACTACCTGTTCCCGTGTGCTTCCTGCCTTTGCCTGGAGAGAATAACAATCTATAGTCCAAACTCAAGGACAAAAACAAACTGCTTTTTGGCTGTGGTGGCATGAAACCCCAATAAGTCAATGACAATGCTGCATGCTTCTGAAAGCTGGCCAGTCAGGGACAGCCCCACACTACAGAACAGGCCCAGGCAGCAAGAACCTTGTGCCCCTGAAGTCAGGCTGAACACTCTCACTTCTGAAAGCTGGACAATCCTCAATGCCAGGCTTCCCAAGAGACTTAATTTGTTTTGCTCTGAGAGATGGTCCTATAAGCACAGTTCCCCTTTGCTCTAGTAAGCAAGATACTCAGCTTCAGCACTGACCAGCCTCACAATCTGTCCTCACCAAGTGGAGGGCCCTCCCTCCGGGTTCCTCCACGGCCGTATCTGTCTCTGTTCATACACCTTCCCCTCAGCACTTAGAGACATGGGCTGGCATGGCGGGTGCTGGCAGCAGGGGTGAGAAATAAACTTTCAGCCCTAGATGAGGAGCCCAAGAGGAGAGCATGCCGTCACCTGGAGTCTCTGGTATGTGCCTGGCACCTGTACTGATTGCATTAACCACTGTGATTTTTTAAAAGATGTACTATTTTGAAATGTATAATACATATGGAGAAGTGTATGAAATATGTACAATTTAAAGATAAGGAAAAATGCATGCCTGTGTGCCCACCACCTAGTGAAGAAATACAACCTGGACACCACTTTGGAAGCCTGTCTGTGTTCACCCGTCGCATTCTCCCTCCTCCCCCAGCCCAGGTATCCTCCATCCTTTAGCCATCCCCTGACTTTCTTTAGTTTCATTGCCTGAAGTCTGAGCTACTAGGGAGGCTGAGGCAGGATAATTTCTTGAACCCAGGAGCAGAGGTTGCAGTGAGCCGAGATTGCCCCATTGCACTCCACCCTGGGTGACAGTGCGAGACTCCCTCAAAAAAAAAAAGTTTGTGGGACCAATTCCAATCGAGTCAAGGGGTCTCAATTGGCCAAGGCAGTCTCAAACTTCTGACCCAAAGTGATCTGCCTGGTTCGGCCTCCCAAAGTGCTGGGATTGTAGGCGTGAGCCACCATGCCCGGCCTCCCCTCCTTTTCATTCAGGGATTTTAAATGTTTTATTTGCTCCATCTGTTATGTATGATTGCCTTGACGATTTCAGCTTGAATTAAAATTACATATTTTTGCCTGTGTTTATTAATATTTAAACATATTAAAATAATACATGTTCATAATGAAAATGAAACATTACAAACAAATACACAGGAAAGGCAGTATTCCCCTTCCAGTTCCACTCTTGAAATAACCAGTTAACAAGATGATGAACATCTTTCCATGATGTTCTCCAAGATTCATATAATTATTTGCAATCATACAATGGCATATACAGCTCAGGTGCAGTGGCTCATGCAAGTAATCCCAGTACTTTGGGAGACTGAACTGGGTGGATCATTTGAGGTCAGGAGTTCAAGACTAGCCTGGCCAACATAGTGAATCCCCATCACTACAAAAAACACAAAAATTATCTGGGCGTGGTGGCAGACGCTTGTATTCCCAGCTACTTGGGAGGTGGAGGCATGAGAATCACTTGAACCTGGGAGATGAAGGTTACAAGGAGCCGAAATCGCATTACTTCACTCCCACCTGGGCGACAGAGTGAGATTCCATCTCAATAAATAAATAAATAAACAGAAAGAAAGAAAGAAAAAAAGATGAAAGAAACAAAGAAAAAAGGAAGAAAGAGAGAAAAAAAGACAGAGAAAGGAAGCAAGAAAGCAAGCAAGCAAGCAAGCAACCAAGCAAGCAAGCAACCAAGAAAGAAAGAAAGAAAGAAAAAAAAATAGAAAGAAAAAGAAGTCATGTGCTCAGGTTGCTAGGATCGATGGTAAGAACAAATCCTCTAGCGGTGAAAATGTAAGAAGGAAAAAGAAATTTCTGTTAGTCTTGTTTGTTGCACCCCAAGCTCTAAAAATACAGCCACATGTGTGATAAGTACTTAGTTAAGATGAAAAAGGCATTAAATTTGTGCATGGAAATCATAGACAGAAATGTGTTCTGATTGACAGCAATTGGGTCAATGATAGCATTGGATAGCCTTGGATAGCCAAGGTTCAGGCATCCACTGCGGGTCTTAGAACACATCTCCTGCAGATAAGGGAGGGCTACTATATAACGTTTCTTTCTTTTTTTCTTCAATTATAAAGCATTCTCCTTTTTCATATAACAATTTGCCATTGATATCACTTTAGGTATAAAGATATTAGGATATCTTTATAGTAGATAAAAAGCTAACTCATTATTTGTAAGAGTTAAAGTATCTTCCATTATATCAGCATATAAAATGCTAAAGTACTTTTGCCACCAAAAATAGTGCTTCTGTAAATATTCTTTTACTTATACCTTTATTAATTTTTACTTCTGCTGAAACAAATAGCGTGAGGAAACAAATGTATGTGTATAAAATGTAATATATGTATATATATTTAATATGTGTATATACACATACATACAATAACATACCCAAATTTTTGGTTGTTTTTTGAGGTGGAGTTTTGCTCCGTCACCCAGGTTGGAATGCAGTGGTGTGATTTCAGCTCACTGCAACCTCCACATCTTGGATTCAAGTGATTCTCCTGCCTCAGCCTCCTGAGTAGCTGGGAATACAGGCATCTGCCACCAAGTCCAGCTATCTTTGTCTTTTTGGTGGAGATGGGTTTTCACCATGTTGGCCAGGCTGCTCTCGAACTCCTGACCTCAAGTGGTCCACTGACCTTGCCCTCCCAAGGTGCTGGAATTACACTTGTGAGCCACCGCGCCTGGCCTAACATATACAATTTAATGTATATACAAATATAGGTTGGGTGCAGTGGCTCACTCCTGTAATCCTAGCACTTTGGGGAGCTGAGGTAGGGGATTCTTTGAACCCAGGAGTTTGAAACCAGCATGGGCATCATGGTGAAACCCTGTCTGTACAAAAAACACACAAATTAGTTGGGTGTGGTGGCACGTGCCTGTGCTCTCAGCTACTCAGGAGACTGAGGTGGGAGGATAGCTGGAGCCCAGGTGTTCGAGGCTGCAGTGAGTTGTGATCATGCCACTGCACTCCAGCATGGGTGACAGAGTGAGACCCTGTCTTAGACAAAAACAAATCAGACCAAATATAATGTTTATGCACTACACACTTGATTTCTTTCCAAAGGGTTATATAACACTAATTTCACCAGCAATATATGCGACTACTCATTTCCTACATACTCACTATCACTTGGGTGCAGTCAAGGAAACTTAGTAGGCCTGAATTGCCCAAACCTGGCATACTCCAAAGAATGGTGTGACTCTAGCCCGGCTCCTGGGAAATAACCTCTAAGTCCTTGGAATCTCCTGCCTATGTGGGAGTTAACAATGTGATTTATTGTGGGGACCTTGGACCATGCAGTGTCAGCTTGACCTTGGGAAGGGTGGAGACAGGAAACTAAGGTCATCCAAATGGGTGCTCTTTTCCATGAGACCAACCTCCAGTAAAACCCTCAACCCCAAGACTCAGGTAAGCTTCTTGTTGGGGAGTATTTTCTGTACTTTCTGCCACATATCGTTGGGTGAATTAAGCACTGTTCACATGATACCACTGGCAGAGGACAACTGGAAGCTTGTGCTTGGTTTCTCCTGGACTCTGCCCTATGCACCTTTTTCTGCTGCTGATTTTAATCTGTATCCTTTTGTTGTAATAAACTATAACTATGAGTATAACAGCTTGACTCAGTTTTGTGAGTCCTTCTAATCAATCACTGAACTTTTGGGACCCCAAAACACAATGTTGTTTCTTAATTGAATTTTCCATGTTATGTAAGAAACCTATGTGCATAATTGAAAATCCCACACTAAGAAAGAGCTCTCCATGCAGTCTACTCCCCACCCTGTTTCTCCAATAGTCCCAAGTCTACTTTCTGAATAATCAAATATTTAAATTTTCTAAACTATTTATAATCCATATATCTGAGTGCTTATCTCTGTTATATAATAGGTAGATCCTCCTCCTTCTGTTTTGTTTGTTTGTTTGTTTGTTTGTTTGTTTTTCTGAGACAGAGTCTTGCTATGTCACTCAGGCTGGAGTGCAGTGGCACAATCTTGGCTCACTGCAAGCTCCACCTCCCGGGTTCACTCCATTCTGCTGCCTCAGCCTCCCCAGCAGCTGGGACTACAGGCACCCACCGCCAGGCCTGGCTAATTTTTTTTTTTTTTTTTTTAGTAGAGACGGGGTTTCACCGTGTTAGCCAGGATGGTCTTGATCTCCTGACCTCGTGATCCGCCTGCCTTGGCCTCCCAAAGTGCTGGGATTACAGGCATGAGCCACCGTGCCCGGCCCCTCCTTCTTAATGTATCAACTTGATATATTACCTGATGGCTTCGTGTTCTGATAGCTGATGACTTGGCTGACACTCACCCCTTACCACAGTGCCTGAACCACTTTCCTTATATGGTGCTCTCACTATTTTCTTTTTCTTTTCTTTTCTTCTTCTTTTTTTTTTTTTTTTTTTGAGACAGAGTCTTGCTCTGTCGCCCAGGCTAGAGTGCAGTGGTGCAATCTCAGCTCACTGCAACCTCCACCTCCCAGGTTCAAGTGATTCTGCTGCCTCAGCCTCATGAGTAGCTGGGATTACAGGCATGAGCCACCATGCCCAGCTAATTTTTGTATTTTTAGTAGCAGCGGGGTTTCGCCATCTTGGCCAGGCTGGTCTCAAACTCCTGATCTTGTGATCCACCCACCTTGGCCTCCAAAAGTGTTGGGATTACAGGTGTGAGCCACCGACCCGGCCACTCTCACTATTTTCAATGGCTCTGTTGGTTACTATTCACAACATTCAACAATTAGACTTATACCTCATTTATTTATTTATTTTTAATTTTTTCTGTTTTTAGGTTTAAGGGATACATGTGCAGGCTTGTTACACGGGTAAATTGCATGCCACTGGAGTTTGGTGTACAAATGATGTTGTCACCCAGGTAGTAACCAGAGTACCCAATAGTTTTTTGACCCATAGCCTCATGCCATCCTCCCCACTCAAGCAGACCCTGGTGTCTATTGATCCCATCTGTGTGTCCATGTGTACTCAATGTTTAGCTCCCACTTATAAGTGAGACCATGGGTATTTGGTTACCTGATGCTGCATTAATTTGTTTAGGATAATGGACTCCAGCTGCATCCATGTTGCTTCAAGGGACATGGTTTCTTTCTCTACGGCTATGTAGTATTCCATGGTGTATAATTACCACATTTTCGTTATCCAATCCACTGCTGATGGGCATCATATATGCCACTTCAAACTATACTACTAGGCTACAGTAACCAAAATAGCATAGTAGTGGTACAAATACAGCACATAGACCAATGGAATAGGTTAGAAAACCCAGAAATAAATTCACACACCTATAACCATGTGATCTTTGACATAGTCAACAAAAGTGAGCAATGAAGAAAGGACTCCCTATTCAACAAATGATTCTGGGATAACTGGCTACCCACATGCAGAAGACTGAGTGTGGGCCCCCTACCTTTCACCATATACAAAAATTAACTCCAAATGGATTAAAGATTTAAATATAAGACCTCAAACTATAAAAATCCTGGAAGACAACCTAGGAAACACTCTTCTCAACATCGGCCTTGGCAAATAATTTTTGGCTAAGATTCCAAAAAAGCAATTGCAGCAAAAACAAAAGTAGACAAGTGGTACCTAATTAAGCCAGAAGCTGGGAGGCCAGGTTGGGCAGATCACAAGGTCAGGAGTTTGAGACCAGCCTGACCAACATGGTGAAACCCTGTCTCTAATAAAAATACAAAAATTAGGTGGTGGTGGCACACACCTGTAATCCCAGCTATTCAGGAGGCTGAGGCAGGAGAATTGCTTGAACCTAGGAGGCAGAGGTTGCAGTGAGCTGAGATCGCACCACTGCACTCCAGCCTGGGTGACAGAGCAAGACTGCCTCAAAAAAAAAAAAATTAAAGTAAAATAAAAGCATAAACACAACAAGACAAACTATCAACAGAGTAAACAAACTACAGAATGGGAGAAGATACTCACAAACGATGTATCCAACAAAGGCCTAATAATATCCAGAATCTATAGACAACATAAACAAATGGATCCCTTACTCTGTAGCAAGTTCTGTATGCATAAGCCTCTCTTTGTTCTTATTTTGGTGGCCTCTGTTTATTTACACAAAGAGAAATAACTGCTATTCCCATAAATCATGGCTTTCAAAATGGTCACAGTTCACTGGGCATGCTTGCTCATGCCTGTAATTCTACCACTTTGAGAGACCGAGGCGGGCAGATCACGAGGTCAGGAGATCGAGGCCATCCTGGCCAACCCAGTGAAACCCCATCTCTACCAAAAATACAAAAAAAAAAAAAAGCCGTGATTGGTGGCATGCGCCTATAATCCCAGCTACTCAGGAGGCTGAGGCAGGAGAATCACCTGAATCCAGGAGGCAGAGGTTGCAGTGAGCCGAGATCATGCCACTGCACTCCAGCCTGGATGACAGAGTAAGACCGTCTCAAAAAACCCAAACTGGTCAGGCTCGGTGGCTCACGCCTGTAATCCCAGCACTTTTGGAGGCTGAGGCAGGTGGATCACAAGGTCAAGAATTCAACACCAGCCTGGCCAAGATGGCTTATCCCCAACTCTACTAAAAAATACAAAAATTATCCAGGCACGGTGGCAGGCACCTGTGATCCTAGCTACTTGGGAGGCTGAGGCAGGAGAATCGCTTCAACCCAGGAGGCAGAGGTTGCAGTGAGCTGAGATCTCACCACTGCACTCCAGCCTGGGCAATAGAGTGAGAATCTGTCTCAAAAAAAAAAAAATGGGGAAACTCCATCTCTACTAAAAATACAAAATTAGCCAGGCATGGTGGCACATGCCTGTAATCCCAGCTACTTGGGAGGCTGAGGCAAGAGAATTGCTTGAACCTGGGAGGCAGAGGTTTTGGGGAGGTGGAGGTTGAGGTGAGCCAAGATCGTGGCATTGCACTGCAGCCTGGGCAACAAGAGTAAAACTCTCTCTAACAAACAAACAAACAAACAAACAAACAAAACAAAACAAAGAAAAATACACACAACTTATTTCCTGGTTTGTGATAATCTGTGAAATATATTTTGAAATGAATTGGAATTCAATACAGTACTATTCACACCCCAAATACTCCTAATATTTCCTTTCCCAGATGATGACCTGGTACTCTTCCTAGGGCTTGACTTCTCCCTACAGGTCCCCAGTACAAGTATTTGTGATTCTGAGTCAATTCATTGTCTACATGTGTGACAATGCAATGCTCTTGTTGTAGAGTACCAAGATGAGGCAGGTCCAAACTGCACATTTGTAGAGAACATAGTATATGTGCAATTGAACATGTATGTGGTTGTGATACTGAAAACAATACGAACTTATGCCAGGTGCAATGGCTGATGCCTGTAATCTTAGCAATTTGGGAGGCCGAGGCATGGAGATCACCTGAGGTCAGGAGTTTGAGAGCAGCCTGGCCAACCTGCTGAAACCCCGTCTCTACTAAAAGTACAAAAAATTAGCTGGGCGTGGTGGCAGGCACCTGTAATTCCACCTACTCGGGAGGCTGAGGCGGGAGAATCGCTTGAACCCAGGAGATGGAGGTTGCAATGAGCCAAGATCACACCACTGCATTCCAGCCTGGGTGACAAGAGTAAAACTGCGTCAAGAAAAAAAAAAAAAAATTGGCCTTGGGCGTTTCTTTAGGTTGGCTCCTGTGTTCTATTTATAGCATGCCTTTATCAGGGGGTTGGGGTGTGGGACTAATTACCAACTTTCTGGCACATAAAGTGTTTTGATTCATCTGGTATTTTCCCTGACCCAGACGTGGAATAAACCATTTATTTAAAGATCCTTGGCTTCTTTCATTGAAAAGTATTATTTACAAAGCACCAAAATCTTGGGCTGGGTGAGGTGGCTCAGGTCTGTAATCTCAACACTTTGGGAGGCTGAGGCAGGAGGATCCCTTGAGGCCAAGAGTTTGAGACAAGCTTGGGCAATGCAGTGAGACCCCCATCTCTATTTTTAAAAACCAAACAAAAACAAAATCGCCAAGATCGGGGTGACACGTGTGCTCATTGCTATGGGTGTGTCATTGCTTCTAGGCCCTCTTAGTGGGCAGAACTAGGAAATATATTGTACGTATACTAACACACATGCCACATGCCTAATTTGTATATTTATTTAGCCTTACTGGAAGCATTCTTTTTTTTTTTGAGACAGGGTCTCACTCTGTCACCTAGGCTGGAGAGCAGTGGCATAATCTCAGCTCAATGCAACCTCCACCTCCCAGGTTCAAGTGATTCTCCTGCCTCAACCTCCTGAGTAGTTGGCACTACAGGTGCGTGCCACCATGCCTGGTTAATTTTTGTATTTTTAGTAGAGACGGGGTTTCACCATGTTGGCCAGGCTTGTCTGGAACTCCTGACCTCAGTGGATCTGCCCGCCTTGGCCTCCCAAAGTGCTGGAATTACAGGCATGAGCCTCTGTGCCTGGCCAAGCATTTTTGGTGGGAGTGATATTGCCCCTAAGAGGGTGAACATTGGTTATTGAAGGTAAAATGAATTATAGTTGTTGCAATGGTTTGTGGCCTTCCACAATTTTTTTTTTTTTTTTCCGGAGAGGGAGCCTCACTCTGTCACCCAAGCTGGAGTGCAGTGGTGCAATCTCTGCTCACTGCAACCTCTGCCTCCTGGGTTCAAGCGATTCTCCTGCCTCAGTCTCCCAAGTAGCTGGGATTACTGGCACACACTACCACGGTCAGCTAATTTTTGTATTTTTTGTAGAGACGGAGTTTCACCATGTTGGCCAGGCTGGTCTAGAACTACTGATCTCAAGTGATCTGCCTGCCTCGGCCTCCCAAAGTGCTGGAATTACAAGTATAAGCCACCATGCCTGGCCTATTGCACAAAATTTTACACCTTGGTATTTAATTTCTCTCAAATATGATGGGCAGCATTAATCATTTTATGGAAGATAAAAAAATCCAAGCAAGATCAGGCCATGCACGGTGGCTCACACCTGTAATCTCAGCACTTTGAGAGGCCAAGGAAGGTGGATCACTGAAATTCAGGAGTTCAAACCAGCCTGGCCAACATAGTAAAACCCTGTGTCAACTAAAAATACAAAACAATTACCCAGAAGTGGTGGCACCTGCCTGTAATCCCAGCTACATGGGAGGCTGAAGCACGAAAATCGCTTGAACCCAGGAGGCAGAGGTTGCAGTGAGTGGATCGTGCCACCGCCCTTCATCCTGCGTGACAGAGCGAGCCTCCACCTCAAAAAAAAAAAAAATCTTTGCAAGATCAGTGCTACAAAATGATGGCAAATTGATGGCTATACCTGGAAGACTTTTTCTTGATTGAATGCTCTATCCCAAAGTTATATGAGAGGTGGTCTGTGTGTGTCTGTCTATTGGCTGCCTTGTGGATAGTATTTATGATTGATCCTCAGTGCTTTGGGAATTATGTAAAATAGTTTATATTATGAAAGTAATTCAACCTAGCATTAATTGTGTTAAGTGTTGAAAATGAAAAGTGTTGACTACATCGGAATGAATGAATATCTGGCCAACTGGTTTTGTTTTTTTGTTTGTTTGTTTTTGTTTTTAGAGATGGAGACTCACTCTGTTGCCCAGGCTGGAATGCAGACATGATCTTGGCTCACTGCAACCTCCACCTCCTGGGTTCTAGCAAGTCTCCTGTCTCAGCCTCCCGTGTAGCAGGGACTACAGGTACTTGCCCCCACACCCAGGTAATTTTTTGTATTTTAGTAAAGACGGGGTTTCACCCTGTTGCCCAGGCTGGTCTTGAAATCCTGAGTTCAGGCAATCCACCCACCTCAGCCTCCCAAAGTGCTAGGATTACAGGTGTGAGCCACCGCGCCCAGCCTAGCTTACAGTTTTATTGAAAACCCCATTTAACTCAAAACAGCTTTTTTCTTATAAATAATAGTTTTTGTTTGTTTTTTGTTTGTTTTTACAAACGGCTATGAAATCAAGATTTGTGGATCATCAATAAAAGAAACATCCTGATAAAGTCAAGAAACAGAATATTTAAAAAGTTTAAAATAGAATTTTGAACTGTAACACTGTTACTTCTTATTTAAGAAGGACAAGCCGTGGGGTGAGGTGGCTCACACCTGTAATCCCAACACTTTGGGAGGCCGAGGTGGGTGTATCACATGAGCCCAGGAGTTGGAGACCAGCCTGGGTAATATGGTGAAATCTTGTCTCCACTAAAAACACAAAAACTAGCCTGGCATGCTGTGTGCACCTGTAATTCCAGGTACTCGGGAGGCTGAGGCAGGAGACTCGCTTCAACCTGAGAGGTGGAGGATGCAGTGAGCCGAGATTGCAGCACCATGCTCCAGCCTGGACTATAGAGCAACACTCGGTATAAAAAAAAAAAAAAAGGATAAGCAAACAAATTATGATGAAATAATTGCCTTATAAAATTGCAGAAATAGGCCAGGCGTGGTGACTCATGCCTGTAATCCCAGCAATTTGGGAGGCCGAGGCAGGCGCATCACCTGAGGTCGGGAGTTTGAGACCGGTCTGGCCAACATGGTGAAACCCCGTCTCTACTAAAAATACAAAGTTAGCCGGGCGTGGTGGCACACGCCTGTAATCCCAGCTACTCGGGAAGCTGAGGCAGAAGAATCACTTGAGTCCTGGAGACGGAGCTTGCAGTGAGGTGAGATCATGCCACTGCACTCCAGCCTGGCTAACACAGCGAGACTCTGTCTCAAAAAAAAAAAAAAAGAAAAAAAGAAAAGATTACAGAAATCATTGTAAAACCCCATAGTGCTTTGTACTTGCTGAAACTGTCACAAGACTCACATGAGAGACGGTAACTTCAATAGTGATGTAACACATTACCACTATTTCACAATCACTCCTATTGAGCAATAATTCAATTCAAAGATGCATTAATGAGATGTCAGGTAATACCAAAGAGTAGCTGATTAATCAAGTAAGTTTCCTATTCAGATCAATGAAATCAGTTACTGAGAGTAAGGCCTGACAATAGGACATGTTTGTTATTTCAATAATGACTGCAAACTAAAAGAAGAGATATTGTTTGTAAAATCTTTAGACGCTGACCATACCAGAGTATCTATTCTTGCTGCTATAAAAACTTGGTTTGGGGCTGGGTGCAGTGGCTCACGCCTGTAATCTCAGCACTATCATTTTCTCATATGAATCGGAAAATGCTGACTTCTACATCCTAAATCTAAACTAATTCCCCACTCACTTGCTAAGCTTCAGTCACACCAGGCTGCTTTCTGTTTCCGGAACGCTCCAAGCGCTCTCTGATTTTTCAGGGTCTTCAGTGTAACTGTGCCTCTGCTTGGAATACCCTTCCACACTGCTGGCTCCTCACCACCAAAACTCGAGGGTTATCTCTCAGACACCCGTCCTATCAATGCTACGGGAAGTATCCCTCAAGTTACTGCCTATACCACCTATTGATATATTTCATAGTATTTATCACAATATAAAATTACTTCATCTTCCCCTTTTAATTTAAAATCTTTTTTTTTCTCCAGACTAGAATGTAAACCTCATGTGGGCAGCAGACATGTCTGCTTACTTATTTTTTGAGACGGAGTCTCGCTCTGTCACCCAGGCTGGAGTGCAACGGCGCGATCCCGGCTCACTGCAACCTCCACCTCCCGGGTTCAAGCGATTCTGCTGCCCCAGCCTTCCAAGAAGCTGAGATTACAGGCGCCCACCAGGCCCGGCTAATTTTTATATTTTTAGTAGGGGAGCAGTCGGGCTCTGGACTACATTTCCCGGAGGATTCTGCGGGCCAATACCATGTCTCGCGAGATTTTGGCTTCCTCTTAGCCAGGTGGCAGAATCTTTCGCTGTGCCCAATTAGCTGCTGCCACGCCTTGGAGTCCGGAGT
Organism: Homo sapiens; assembly: GCF_000001405.40. Classification (NCBI taxonomy): domain Eukaryota; kingdom Metazoa; phylum Chordata; class Mammalia; order Primates; family Hominidae; genus Homo; species Homo sapiens. The sequence continues at coordinate 61,954,407 of NC_000009.12, read as the reverse complement.
AACTTGGCCAGGCCGGCCCCGAGCGGAACTAGAGAAAGCTGAGGATGAGGAATCCGGCTCTGGTCCTTTTGTGTGTGGAGGGCTGAGGAGAGGAGTTTGCGTGTGTGATTGCGATGGTTGCCGTGGGTCTTCGTGGTCTGTGACTGTGGCTGTGTGGTGCTGACTCTGGGTGATCAGGTGGGCGCTTGTGACTGTGCGCGCTCGGAGTGGATGTGTGTGTCCTGGACGAGCCGCGTTGTGTGTGCGGATGTGGACAACCGGTGACTGTGTAGTGGGGGCTGCGTGTCCCAGGGTGGGTGTGTGACTTTGCGTGTGTGTGCAGTACTGTGTGTGCATGAGTTGCAGGTCTGTGGCTGTGCAGGTGCAACTTGTGTGGCCCCGTGGTCTGTGTGAGAGAGGAGAGTGTGATTGGCTGTGAGGCAGAGGGTAAGTGGATATAGGGAGGCATGTGTGCGATTGGAAATTTGTGTGTCCCCTTGAGAGAAAAAACCCTTTAGGGAGTTAGAGCGGGTCCTTGGTAAAACTCCTTTCAACAGAGAAACAGCCTGAAAAATCAGGCTGCAGGCACAGAGAAGGAAAACTAGCAAAGGGGGTTGTCCTAAAGACATTCCTCAGCTGCATTGATAAGGGACCGAGGCCCAACATAGAAATGCCTTTGTCCTTTGTGTGACCAGCGGGCTTCCAGGAAATAGTCGCTTTTTTGTGGGCATGTATATGGTGGGCTCTGTTAGATTTTGAAGGGAAGGTGAAGGTTAAAGAAAGAGAGAGAGTTGGCGGCTCTATGGAGGGGACCAACTAAATGCCAGAGCCCACTGCCGCTTACAGGCTGGAGTAATTATAGGCCTGGGCAGGAGGGATCTGGGCAGTATAGCTTGTTGCCTGGGAGAATGTTGATAAGGATGTTTCTTGGGCCTTTCCCCAGCAGGATGTGATAAGGAAGTCAGGCGGTTGGGGAGGATGTTTCTCGCAGCCCAAACCCCAGTGGAATGTTTCCCTCTGACCAGGGTCTGTGAAACGGTGGGGGCTTACAAATCGGTGCAGCTTGGACTAACAGGCTCTGGTGACCACTTTCCTTTTCTGGACATGCTTTGGACTGTGAGCCAAGCCTCTATGAATCATCACTTCAGCCCCTGATTGGTCCTGGGCCAAACTTTCACTTCAGCCCCTGATTGTTCTTGGGCCAAAATTTCACTTCAGCCTCTGGTTGGTCCCAAGCTAAGGTCCCGGGCCAAGCGAAGTTGTGCTTTCTCCAAGACAGCTCACAGACTAGTGAGCACATTCTTCCCCTTCCCAGTTCACAAAACCCCCAGATTCAGCCTCCTAGTTGGCAACCCTCTTTCGGGTCCCCCCTCCGCTGGGGAGAGCTTTCTTCTTTTGCATATTAAACTTCTGTTCCAACCTCATCCTTTGTGTCCACGTTCCTTAACATTCTTGGCTGTGAGGGAAAGAAGGCAAAGACAAGAGCCTTTATCCTAACAACTCAATTGCTGGAGAGAAGATTCATGCATATTCTATGTGGCATCACATGCCATAGCCCTGGGATTGAAAGCCATGCAATTTAAGGGATGGTGTTAATCTCAGTCCAAATAGGTAATAAGATCTTGCACTTTGCTATATTTTAGGGGTAGGAATGAGATTGGGGGTTTGATCAATAATTTGTACCCATAGGACCAGTGATTCACCCAGTCATCTGTGAGTAAATGCTTGGGCCAGTTTCCATGTCTGTATTGAATTAAAAACTCATACGGTTCTGTGATTTTTGTCAAATACAGATTTGGTCTTTGTCCCTATTTCCTGGTATACAACTCCTAAAATCCTTGGAATGTCCTAAGGGCTTGCTTTTTTTTTTTTTTTTTTTTTTTTTTTTGAAACAGAGTCTTGCTCTGTAACCCAGGCTGCAGTGCAGTGGTGCAATCTCCACTCACTGCAACCTCTGCCTCCTGGGTTCAAGCAATTCTTCTGCCTCAGCCTCCCAAGTAGACTACAGGCATGTGCCACCATGGCCGGCTAATTTTTGTCTTTGTTTTCTTTTTTAGTAGAGATGGGGTTTCACCATATTGGCCAGTCTGGTCTCGAACTCCTGACCTCAAGTGATCTGCCTGCCTTGGGCTCCCAAAGTGTTGGGATTACAGGCATGAGCCACTGCACCCAGACTTTGGCTTTTTATATGTTAGGGATTGACCGATAGCTTCAGGATGTGGGCTGGTCATCAGAAAGACCAAGGCAGGATTAGAGGGCTGGGACTTTCAGCCCCTACCCTCCCACCCCTGGGGAGTGGAGGGGACTGAGGATTAAGTTGATGACAAGTGGCTAATGGTTTAATCAATCATGCCTATGTAATGAGGCCACCTTACAAACCCAAAAGGAGTGGATTCGGAGAGCTTCCAGAGAGCTGAACACATGGAGGTTCCTGGAGGGTCGTGCCCAGGGAGGGGATGGAATCTCTGTGCCCCTTCCCCCATACCTCACGCTAGGCATCTCTTCATCTATATCCTTTGGAATATCCTTGTAATCAAACAGTAAATGTGTTTCCCTGAGGTTTGTGAGCCATTTTATTCTAGCAAATTAATCAAACCCAAAGAGGGGATCGTAGGAACCCCAAATTAAATCTGTCAGTCAGAAGTTCCAGAGGCTAGGACTTGTGACTGGTGTCTGAAAGGGGGGCAGTTTTGGGGGCTGAGCTCTCAATCGGTGGGGTGACACTATCTCATGGTAGATAGTGTCAGAATCGAATTGGTGGATACCCAGCTGTTGTCTGCTGCAGAACTGATTCCTTGCTTGCTGATAGGAAGAAATCTCATATTTTGAGGCCACAGAAGTCTTCTGGGTAGATTGTTGTGGTTTTGGTGTGAAGCAGAGGAAGAACACAGGTTGAGTTTTTTCCAAATGGGTTCACATTGGGGGTCCTCAACCTCAAATCCATCAACTCCATCGCTGAATTTTTATTTATGTATTTATTTTTATTTTTGAGGTAGAGTCTCACTCTCTCTCCCAGGCTGGAGTGCAGTGGTACCATCTCAGCTCATTGTAGCCTTCATCTCCGATGCTCAAGTGATCCTTCTACCTCAGCCTGCCAAATAAGCTGAAACCAGAGGCACACACTAGCACTGTGGCATAATTAAAAATAATTTTCAGTAGATAAGAAGACTCACTATGTTATCTGGGCTGGTCTTGAACTCCTGAGTTCAAGTGATCCTCCCACCTCTGCCTCTAAAGTTCTATGATTACAGGCATGAGCTGTCTCACCTATCACTGATTTTCTTTTTCTTTTTTTCTTTTTCTTTCTTTCTTTCTTTCTTTTTTTTTTTTTGACAGAGTCTCACTCTGCCTTGCCCAGGCTGAACTGCAGTGGTGCAATCTTGGCTCACTGCAGCCTCCGCCTCCCGGGTTCAAGTGATTCTCCTGTCTCAGCCTCCTGAATAGTTGGGATTAGAGGTGCCCACCACCACACCTGACCAATTTTTGTATTTTTAGTAGAGACAGGGTTTCACCATATTGGCCAGGCTGGTCACGAACTCCTGATCTCAGGCGATCCACCTGCCTTGGCCTCCAAAAGTGCAGTGGCAGGATCAGGGCATACTGCAGCCTTGACCTCTGGGGCTGAAGGGATCCTCCCTCCTCAGCCTCCCAAGTAGCTGGATTATAGGCATATGGCACCATGCCAGGCTAATATTTGTAATTTTTGCACAGATGGGGTTTTGCCATGTTGCCCAGTCTGGTCTTGAACTCCTGAGCTCCAACAATCTTCCCAGCTGAGCCTCCCAAAGTGCTGGGATTACAGGGAAGAGCCACTGCACCCGGCCTATCACTGCATTTTTAAAGGGAAGGAGGACTATAGTGAGATTCACTAAGGCTTACAGAAAAGGTAGAACCCTAGATAGATTTAAACACAGAGATTATAATATCCTTGAGATGATAATATCCAAATTTAGCTTTCATAGATAGGGAAATTTGAAGTACTTCAGACTACAAGGTGGCATTTTGTGCAACTAGTTAAAACTATGTTTGAAAGAGAGCAATTGCATTTTCATTACTGAATAATATTAAGCAACAATGAAAATAAATAGAAATAACCAAGAAATTGTTATATTTAAATCCTCCTTCCTTTTTTGGAAAGAGAAGTATTGATATTTTTAGGTTCTAATCAAAACTTCTCCTTTAAAAAAATTGATGATTCTGTGGAGATAGGGAGGGAATAACCTGTGTTTATTGAACACCTAATATTCCACTTACCCAAATGTCATTTATTCTATATTCTAGTTTTTTTGTTGAGACAGGGTCTTTCTTGCTCTGTTACCCATCCTAGAGTGCAGTGGGGTTGTCACAGCTCACAGATGTATACCACCATGCCTGGCTTATTATTTTATTTTATTTCATTTTATTTATTTTATTTTATTTTATTTTATTTTATTTTGTTTATTTTATTTTATTTTATTTATTTTATTATTTTATTTTATTTTATTTTATTTTATTTTATTTTATTTTATTTTATTTTATTTTTGCAGAGACTATGTCTCCCTATATTTCCCAGGCTTGACTTGAACTTCTGGGCTCAAGCGATCCTCCTGCCTTGGCATCCCAAAATGCTGGGATTATAGGCATAAGCCACTGTACTCAGGCAATATTAAAGTCTTGATATTAGAAGTGTCTCAGTGTACTGGAAAGCTTTGTCTAAATTTTGAAAAAATATTAAAAAACACATTGGTTTTATTTGGCCAATACTGATTTCTTTGCTCCATCATTATTTATTGGCATTATTAGCCTGTTGACTTTCAATTTCTTTACATCCCTTTCACTCCATTTCTTTTATTTTGTCCCCCAAATAGAAATTCTTTTTTTTTTTAGATGGATTCTCGCTCTTGGCTCTTGTGACCCAGGCTGGAGTGCAGTGGTGCAGTCTCATCACTGTAATCTTCATCTTCCAGGTTCAGGCAATTCTCCTGCCTCAGCCTCCACAGTAGCCTAGATTACAGTCATGCGCTACTACACCCCGCTAATTTTTTGTATTCTTTCTTTTTTTTTTCTTTGAGATGCAGTTTCGCTCTTGTTGCCCAGGCTGGAATACAATGGCATGAACTCTGCTCACTGCAAATTCTGCCTCCCAGGTTCAAGCGATTCTCCTGCTTCAGCCTCCCAAGTAGCTGGGATTAGAGAGTGATCCACCACACCCGACTAATTTTTGTATTTTAGTAGAGACAGGGATTTGCCATGTTGGACAGGCTGGTCTGGAACACCTGATCTCAAGTCATCTGCCTGTCTTGGCCTCCCAAAGTGCTGGGATTACAGGCATGAGCCACTGTGCCCGGCTTTTTTGTATTTTTATATTTATTTATATTTTGATAGAGAGTCTCACTCTGTTGCCCAGGCTGGAGTGCAGTGACACAGTCTTGGCTCACTGCAACCTCTGCCTCCCAGACTGAAGTGATTCTCCTGCCTCTGCCTCCCGAGTAGCTGGTATTACAGGCACCTGCCACCACGCCTGGCTACCTTTTGTATTTTAGTTAGAGACAGGGTTTCACCATGTTGGCCAGGCTGGTCTTGAACTCCTGACCTCAGGTGATCTGCCCACCTTGGCCTCCCAAAGTGGCCTTGCTTGAGGCCAGGAGTTTGAGGCCAGCCTGGCCAACATGGTGAAACCTGCTCTCTACCAAAAATACCAAAAAAAATTAGCCGGGTATGGTGGTGTGTGCCTGTATTCCAAGCTACTTTGATGGCTGAGTCACAAAAATCACTTGAACCCAGGAGGCAGAGGTTGCAGTGAGCTGTGATCACCTCACTGCTCTGTAGCCTGGGTAACAGATTGAGACTTGTCTCAAAAAAAAAAAAAATTCTTGGCAGGACATGGTGGCTCACACCTGTAATCCCAGCATTTTGGGAGGCCAAGGTGGGTTGATCCCCTGAGGTCAGGAGTTTGAGACCAGCCTGACTAACATGGAGAAACTCCATCTCTCCTAAAAATACAAAATTAGCTGGGCGTGGTGGTGCGTGCCTTTAATCCCAGCTACTCGGGAGTATGAGGCAGGAGAATCACATGAACCCAGGAGGCAGAGGTTGCAGTGAGCCGAGATCACACCACTGCACTCCAGCCTGGGCAACAAGAGCGAAACTCCATCTCAAAAAAAGAAAAAAAATCTTTACTTTGGATGAATACTTAGAAATGGAATTTCCAGGTCGGCCTTTAGATATTATTAATGGATTTAATATGAAAAACCTTTACTTGAGGATGTATAAAGCTTTAAAAGACAGGGTCCCTGCTCTTAAGCTATAAATAAAGCAGCATTTGTAAGGTAATATTCAGAAAACATCAGATAATATCCTATAAAGTCCTCCTGTTCATGCTGATGACATTAGATGGCCAGTTAAGGATGACACTTCATTCTTTCCCCTGCAACCACGGTCCTGACATGTCTAAATGATACTGGCCCTATGAGAACACTGTGGATGTGAAATCATTTCCTCAAGTTATCTTTTTGGCCTGCTGGTTTTAATCTAATAATGGGATATCCAAAGTGAATCTAACGGAGTGGCATGATTGTGCATCTGTTGGGGTGAATCAGAGACAGCTAGAGCAAGGGCAGACACGTGCTAAATTCATCTGTCTTAAGAGCTGAAGCAAGCAGCAGTGTTGCTAGCAGAGCTACTGCACATCTGTACACGTGGCTCCAATGGCTCTGACCTGTTTTTTTCCTAGTATGAACCTAATACACGAGACAAGTTAAAAAATCAGAGTTGGCCAGGCATGGTGGCTCATGCCTGTAATCCTAGTACTTTGGGAGCCAATGTGGATGGATCACTTGAGGCCACGATTTCGAGACCAGCCTCGGCAACACAGTGAAACCCCATCTCTACTAAAAATACAAAAATTAGGTGGGTGTGGTGGCAGGCACCTGTAATCCCAGCTATGGGAGGCTGAGGTTGCAGTGAGCCAAAATCAGGCCACTGCACTTCAGCCTGGTTGACAGAGCAAGGCTGTCTCAAGAAAAAAAAAAAAGGGAAAGGAAAGGAAAGAAAATCACAGCTTGTTAGCCACTTGCAGCTAAACACATATGCACAAAAATTATTCAGTAAAAGCAAAACAGTTTTGGTGTATCTTGAGATTTTGTTTTATATCCAAAGGAAGACTATATCTTTCATCTTTGAACTAGTCTTTGGAAAATGCCGTCTATATAACAAATGTTATAGTTTTCTTCTAATTGGGTCTTGAGGTCTCTCAGGAGAATGGCTATAAACTCTACCTCACTCTAATGGGGCTCTAGGGGAGGGGCCTGTGGGTCTTTAGAGTAGCCTTTCACCAGAAATTTCTTTTTTCTGGACCACAGCCTAATGCTCAAGTATCTGACCCATGACCAGGTGTCTCACAGGAAACTTGTTTATACTAGCAGATGGCCTTGTAACTTTTGTCTGACCTGTGTGCAGTTTATTCCTACCATGATACCACTCTTTTTTTTTTTTTTTTTTTGAGACGCAGTCATGATGACCAGGCTGGAGTGCAGTGGCACGACCTTGGCTCACTGCAATCTCCACCATCTGGGTTCAAGCAATTCCCCTGCCTCAGCCTCCCAAGCAGCTGGGACTACAGGCTTGCACCACCATGCCCAGCTAATTTTTGTATTTTTAATAGAGTCAGAGTTTCACCATGTAGTCCAGGATGGTTTTGATCCCTTGACCTCATGATCTGTCCTACTCAGCCTCCCAAAGTTCTGGGATTACAGGCATGAGCCACCACACCTGGCCTTTTTTTTTTTTTTTTTTTTTTTTGAGACAGGATCTTGCTCTGGTGCCTAGGCTGGAGTGCAGTGGCAGGATCAGAGCTCACCACAGCCTTAACCTCCTAGGCTCAAGCAATCCTCCCACCTCAGCCTCCCAAGTAGCTGGGACTAGAGGCATGTCCCACTACATCTGGCTAATTTGTATATGACATATGTTTTTGTAGAGGTAGGGTTTTGCCATGTTGCCCAGGTTGATCTTGAACTCCTGAGCTGAAGCAATTCACCTGCCTTGGCCTCCCAAAGTGCTTTGATTACAGGTGTGGGTTACCACACCCAGCCAATGTACATTTAATTATCAAAGTACTATCTATACTATTTTATGGAAGTACTAATTATCAAAGTGCAATAGAGGTTTTGTTGTTGTTGTTGTTGTTGTTTTTCTTTTGAGACAGAGTTTCACTCTTATTGCCCAGGCTGGAGTGCAGTGGTGCAATCTCGGCTCACTGCAACCTCCACCTCCCAGGTTCAAGCGATTCTCCTGCCTCAGCCTCCCAAGTAGCTGGGATTACAGACATGTGCCACCACACCCAGCTAATTTTATATTTTTAGTAGAGACTAAAATGGTCTCTCCATGTTGGTCAGTCTGGTCTTGAACTCCTGACCTCAGGCGATCCATCCGCCTTGGCCTACCAAAGTGCTGGGTTTGCAGGTGTGAGCCACTGTGCCCGGCCAATAGAGGTTTTCAAACTTTTTGTAGATATTTTTGAAAGATACAGTCTTCCTTTAAGAAAAGAGACAAGGCTGGGTGTGGTGGCTCATCCCTGTAATCCCAGCACTTTGGGAGGCCAAACAGGTGGATTGCTTGAGCTCAGGAGTTTGAGAGTAGCCTGCCCAAATGGCAAAACCTCGTTTCTACTAAAAATACAAAACAAATTAGCTGGGTATGGTGGCGCATGCCTATAGTCAAAGCTAATACAGAGGCTGAGGTGGGAGGAACACCTGAGCCTGGGAGGTTGAGGCTGCAGTGAGCTGTGATTTTGCCACTGCACTCCAGCCTGGGCAACAGAACGAGACCCTGTCTCAAAGTGAAAACAAAAACAAAAACAAAAAAATGAAACAAGAGAAAAAAAAAACAAGAAAGAAAATGGTAAGGGGGAAGTGCCTATTTATTAAGCTTTTGTTGTAAATAGTAACTTGCATATCAGATGTTTACTGTAATATTCTTGAAGCCTTGCCAGGCCTACAGCTTGCTGTGTGCTTTTCAACTCTATTTCATTTATTTGGGAAATCATATATCAATGTATTTATTCATTCCCAGCTCTAACCATGGAATACTGGGAATGTCCCTTTCTATGAAGGAGGTTTGCTGGCCACAACAGGAATATTCATGAACATGGAGGTACTTTGTTGAAGTTACACTAATTTTTTTACTCTTCCCCACTCTCAGCCTAGCTGGTCTGCTCACTGTATTCTCTCCATGCTTCAGCACCCTTCCATCTCTTCCTTCATCTTAAAAATCTTTCCTTTAATTTCAACAGTGCTGCCTGGGTTTGTCATTTCAGGGGTTGGGCATGTTCCAGGATCTGTCTATAGACTTCTCTCAGGAGGAATGGGAGTGCCTGGACGCTGCTCAGAAGGACTGATACAGAGATGTAATGATGGAGAACTATAGCAGCCTGGTCTCACTAGGTAAGGATGTCTATCCCCAAATAACTCATGAATTTTGGGTGTAGCTTCCACTTGTCTGGGTGACTTTTCACCTGCTGCTTAGGGAATTGTTTTGTGTTTTGTAGATTAATAGATGGGCAGCTCTTTGGGGTCCCTCCATCTTCTCCATGCTTCAGACCTTTACACCTTCCTCTAGTCCTTCGTGACTACTAAGGGACTAACTTTGAATTCAGGAACAGCACGAGTATGTCTTACTTTTCTTTCTTTCTCTCTTTTTCTTTCTTTCTTTCCTTCCTTCCTTCCTTCCTTCCTTCCTTCCTTCTTTCTTTCTTTCTTTCTTTCTTTCTTTCTTTCTTTCTTTCTTTCTTTCTTTCTTTCTTTTTCTTTCTTTCTTTTTTGAGATGAATTCTCACTCTATCACCCAGGATGGAGTGCAATGGCACGATCTCGGTTCACTCCAACCTTCATCTCAGGTTCAAGCGATTCTCATGTCTCAGCCTCCTGAGTAGCTGGGATTACAGGCACCCGCCACCACACCTGGCCAATTTTTGTGTTTTTAGTAGAGACGGGGTTTCACCATGTTGGTCAGGCTGGTCTTGAACTCCTGACCTCAAGCAATCCACCTGTTTTGGCCTCCCAAAGTGCTGGGATTACAGGAGTGAGCCACTATGCCTGCCTGGCCACCTTACTTCTTTTCTTATAAACAGGTCTCTCTATCCCAAAGCCTGATGTGATTTCCTTACTGGAGCAAGGGAAAGAGCCCTGGATGGTTTCAAGGGACGTACCGGGAGGATGGTGCCCAGGTGAGTAAGGACTGAGCAGATGGGGAAGGCACTGCTGTTTAGAACCCAGCCCATCAGGGAGGCAGCGCCGTAAAGGTATTGGTTGGGGAATCTCTTCTGCAAGGTCCCACGTAAGAGTTGTGGCCTAAGACACATGGAGAAAAGTCAAGATACCACCCCCCCCCCCAACAAACACACTCTTTTTTAAATTTTTTTTTTAATTTGAGAGAGAGTCTTGCTCAGTCACCCAGGCTGGAGAACAGTGATGCGATTTTGGCTCACTGCAACCTCCGCACCCAGGTTGAAGCGATTCTCCTGCCTCAGCCTCTAAAGGAACTGGCATTATAGGCACCTGCCACCATGCCCAGCTAATTTTTGTATTTTTAGTAGAGACGGCATTTCACCATGTTGGCTAGGCTGGCCTCGAACTCCTGACCTCAGGTGATCCACCTGCCTTGGCCTCCGAAAGTGCTGGTATTACAGGTGTGAGCCACTGTGTCTGGCCGAGAACCCCCTTTTACCTCCACCTCTTCAGTCTGTGCTACCCTCTTGTCATAATTTCTTTCCATTTCAAAGAATAACATTCCCTTCTTCAGAAGCCATCCTGTTTCCTCTATCTTGGAGCTACTTCTTTCACTTTAAAATTTAAACCCGTGTTGTTGCTTTAAAAACAAATCTTTTAAAATATATTTATTTTTCATACTGATCCTTGACTTTTTTTTGCCTTGTATTTTCTTGGCTAGTTTTCCTTTAATGCAGCCACTTCATGCATCAATAGATATTCATTCACTATTTTTTTTTTTTTGGATACAGAGTCTCACTCTGTAGCCCGGGCTGGAGTGCAGTGCGCGACCTCGTCTCACTGAAAGCCAATAAGAAGAGCTTGGGGATGACCTCCCTACAAGCACAGCAAAACCTTTCCTGCGCATTTCTGCGCTGGAACGCCTACGCGCCTCGCCAAACCAAAACTTTACTACCACCCTTAGTGCCGTTTCCTGCACTTTCTTGGAGAGTTGTACCAGGTGCTGGAGACCCTCCCACCTGGTCCATGCCCGCCTCCCGGTGAGCACCGAGACACAAACTTGTGCACTGCCAGTCTTGTTATCAACAAACAGGCTAGTAAATTATAAAAAATAAAATAAAGGAAATGTAGCTGGGCGTGGTGGCATGCGCCTGTAATCCCAGCTACTCCGGAGGCTGATGCAGGAGAATCGCTTGAACCCAGGAGGTGAAGGTTGCAGTGAGCCGAGATCGCACCACTGCACTCCAGCCTGGATGGCAAGAGCAAAACTCCTTCTCGAAATAATAAATAAAATAAAGGAAATGGGGCCGGGCATGGTGGCTCACGCCTGTAATTCCAGCACTTTTAGTGGCCGAGGCGGGCGGATCACTTGAGGTCAGAAGTTCGAGACCAGTCTGGTCAACATGGTGAAACCCTGTCTCTACTATAAATAAACAATTAACCAGGCATGGTGGTGGGCGCGTGTAATCCCAGCTATTTGTAAGGCGGAGGCACAAGAATCGCTTGAATCCCAGAGGCAGAGGTTGCAGTGAGCCGAGCTCGTGCCACTGCGCTCCAGCCTGGGCGACAGAGCGAGACTCCATCTTAAAATAAAATAGGCCGGCTGAGGGTGCTCATGCCTGTAATCACAGCACTTTGGATGCTGAGGCGGGTGGATTGCCTGAGCTCAAGATTTCAAGGCCATCCTGGCCTACATGGTGAAACCCCATCTCTACTAAAAATGCAAAAATTAGCCGGGCATGGTGGAGCATGCCTGTAATCCTAGCTACTTGGGAGGCTGAGGCATGAGAACCGTTTCAACACAGGAGGCGGAAGTTGCAGTGAGCGGCGACCGCCACATTGCACTCCAGCTTGGGCAAGAGGATTGAAACTCTGTCTCAAAAAAAAAAAAAAAAAAAAAAAAAAAAAAAACAAATAAATAAATATAAAAGAAATAGACAAAGCAAACCTTAATGCATGAACTCAAACAAATGCTTTCACTGCCAGGCTCCATCTTTGCAAAACTGAACCTAGGACAATGTGCACGTTTCTAACTAGCAATTCTGGAGGATCAGGGAGGCAGCGTGAGCTTGCTTTTCTGCAATTTAATTGACTGGTCAGTAAAGTCAGTGTTTGCAGGCATTTTCAATGTTCTGTAGTGGGCTTCAGTTCCTATGGCAGTGTGGCAGGCCAGGTTTCCAATAGCAACCAGAACAGTTTCTACTAACCCTTTACTATAATTTTGATGAATGCATAAGTTAACGTTAAAGAAACGGAGAAACTTGTGCCTGAGTATCAGGGATGGAATGTGAAAACAAACCCATTGAGACCCCACCTGGGTTTTCTCAGACCCTAAAGTCTGATCGAATAATGATAGCATTGGTACACATTCACCTCGGCCTGTCTTAAGATTCAGAAACTTTCCAAGACTCTAGAGAAATCTTTCCAGACGCTAGACCCGAGTTAAAGATAAGATGTTGATTGAATGAAACACTCCTACTTGTAGGTGCAATCCCACGTGGAGCTTAAGACGTATATAAGCACTAGAAAAAAAAAACTTGTAACTTTGAGTTGATCTGGTGAATTACCTGGCGCTTCTCCCTGTAAGTGGCTGCAGAAATAAACTTCCTTCTTTCCCAGTCTGTCTGTGTCTTGTTATTGAACAATTGCAATGGACCTGCCCAGCAAAGTCCTCTTTTGTGTGGTTATCTGGGACTCCTTTTGGAGGGAACATTTAAAATTTTCCATTTCAAAGCATTCTGTTGGCACTCTTACACTGTTTTTCTCTGCCTACCCTCGGACCTGAGTTCTCCTGGACGCGAATCTCCAGCCACAGAGCCTAGAAGCCCATTCCTCCACATTCTGTGACTGTTCCCCAAACACAGGGAGAATTTTCAGAAAATAAGCCTAAAAATCTTGCCATTCTTTGCAATAAAACCCCACATTACAAACTGCTGAAAACAGGATTTTAGCCTGAATAGGTTTTTCCTCTATTTGAAACCCTTTACAATTTTGGAGGGAAGTTTCCAAATCAATCAGTAAGTACCCCCCATCCCAGGTTTATCCTTATGTAAAGTGCCCCCTTTGCACATGCAAGATTGAATAAACCTTGAAAATATTATGCTAAGTGAAAGAAGCCGGTCACAAAGGACCACATGTTATGTAATTCCATTTAAATAAAATGTCCAAAATAGACCAATACATAGAAGCAGAAAGTAGATTTGTGGTGGCCCAGGGTTAGGGGAGTTGGGGGGAAATGGAGGGATATGGTGTTTACTTCAGGGTAATGAAAATGATCTAAAATTTATTGTGGTGATGTTTGCATAACAGTGCAAATATACTGAAAAACATTGAATTTTACACTTTAAATCAGTGGCTTCTGTGGTATGTTATCAATATTTCTCAATAAAACTTCAAAAAAAAAAGCGCCTATGTGTCTTTTTGTGTATTATTCCTCCAGAGTCCAGTCCATAGTTTTTACATTTGATGAAGAAATTAAGATTTTGTTTCTTCTTCTTCTATTTTTTTTTTTTTTGAGACAGAATCTCCCTCTGTTGTCCAGACTGGAGTGCATTGGCACAATCTTGGCTCAGTGCAACCTCCAGGATAATTTTTGTATTTTTAGTAGAGACAGCGTTTCACCATGGTGGCTAGACTGGTCTCAAACTTCTGACCTCAAGTGAGTCCCCCACCTTGGTTCCCAAAATTGCTGGGATTACAGGCGTGAGCCACCGCACCCAGCCCAAGATTTAGTTTCCGTTGTTTTGATGCCCTAGGGCCATCTTATTCTACCTTAATTTCTGACGCATCATCTCAGTGGAAATTTTACATTAGGCCCCAAAGTATTTTCCTCTTTTTAAGATTTTATCAGCTGAGTACAGTGGCTCACACCTGTAATCTCAACACTTTGGGAGGCCAAGGTGGGAGAATGAGTTGAGCCCAGGAGTTCAAGACCAGTCTCTGCAACATAGTGAGACACACATATCTACAAAAAAAATTTTAATTAGGTGGGCATATTGGTGCATGCCTGTGGTCTCAGCTTACTACATAGGCTGAGGGAGGATCACTTGAGCCCAGGAGGCTGAGGTTACAGTGGCCATGATTATACCACTGCACTCCAGTCTGGGTGACAGAGCGATAGCCTGTCTTAAAAAAAAAATTATTGGAATTTTTTTTTTTAGAAAACAAAGTATACACTTAGTGACTTGATACAAATGAATGAATTTGATAATCTACAGAAAAAAACAAATAAATAAATAAAAACTCAATGCCATTCTTCTTATGTGAATCTCTGGTGTCTCTGAATTATAAGAATTGTGAATTATGATTAATAACAAAAATGCATGACAAGGACTCATTAAGGGATAGGCATTAATAAACTGCAATGCACACTTACTGGAGTAAGGCCTTTAAAGATGTACAAGAAAAAGAAAGAAAAGGCATTGAAAAATTGCGTTGCCTACCAAAACGCTAAAGTTTACCTAAGTCCATTAATCGGCACACACAGGCAATGGGTGTGTAAAAGGGTCAACACAGTCTCCTATGAATGTATCCTTTTATTAATAGGTCTGTGGGGGTAAGAGATGAAGTTCTATAGATCCTGGAATCAGGGATGGGGAATCTGTGAGGTCCCTGAGGTGAGAGATGACGATCTGTAGATTAGTGATGGGTGGTCTTTGGGATAGTGATGAGGTCCATGGAATCAATGATTGTGGGTATTTAGGGTCAGTGATGAGGGAATCTGGTGTCAGTGATGGGATGTGTGTGGAATCAATATGTGAAAGCCAGATTTGTGGAGTCATCTCTCAGGCTGACACATCCTGATCTGTGTGTCAGTGGTGGAAATTCTATGGGGTCAGAGTGTGACTGTCAGGTCCCTGACACTGTGTGTTCTGGGTCTGGCCAAGTGCACAGATTCCCTTGCCTTGTCCTGGCTGGGGAGGCCCTTCTCAAGGACTCCTCACATGAAGGGTGGGTTGGTGGTGGGTTTTGTTTTTGTTTTTGTTTTGCAGTGGAGGTGGGGGTGGGTTAGCTTTTTCTTTAGGGTTTAGTTTTGCCTCTTAGAGACCACAGACACATGCAGCTTTTAGGAAGAAATTTTTGTCTGGGTGGTTGCTAGGTCCTTTGGGCCAAGCCATCTAATGGGAGTAAAACTGACCATTCCCTCAGCGAGGTTCAGATCTAGACGGTCATTTTAAGGTGTCCTCAAGGTGGCGTGCAAGTGGGTTGTGGCTTCGAGTGGCAGGTGTGCGGGAAGAAACAACTGAGAAGACCCAGGAGCGCTCCTAGGCTGGATCTGTCACAGCTGGAAGAACAGCCTCCCAAACCCATCAGGCGCCAATGGGAGGTACCTCTGGGCTGTGAGAGGCTGGTGGAGTTGGGACCTCCAGACCTAGAGATTCTGGGTACAGAAGCCTATTACTGCCAGACGCTGAGGCGTTGCCATGGGATCCAAGGGCGTTTCGGGTCAGCTCAGAGCCTTTCTCAGATAATTGTTTCAGTAACTGGGGAGCTGCTGTCCAGCGCACGCCTCTATGAAGGCTTAATGTTCTGTCTCCCGCAGAGTCTTCTTTGGTCTGAGAGCCACTTGTTTCTTACATCCTTGTGCTAATCTCACCATCTGCTCCTACATACCCCAGGCATTTGCCACATGCTGGTCCTCTCTTTCCTGACAGGCGGGCCATCTCTCCAGCTTCTGTGAGGACAGTTCAAATTATGGAGGAGGGGGCAGGTGCAGGGCAGCAGTGCTGAGGGGAGTACCATGCAGTTGGGGGAGCAGGGACTCATTTTTCTTTGTAGCTCAGATTCCTAAGCCTGTGACTTTGAGTATCGGTGTCTTCCTTGCAATGTTTCAATCTGAGGTTATTGGGGAGAGTGCAGAATTGGAGCCCGATGGAAGACTGGTGGGGAGAGGGGTGGGTGGAGGGAACATGGAGAATGTGTCAGGTGGTGTCTATTCCTGACACCTTACTTTGCCTGCTGGAGTTTCCCAGTCTGTTCCAGATGCACTCTCTCGACCCTGAAGGGACCTGATGGAGGATGTTTGTTGCCAGTGTGTGCTCCCCTGGACTCAATTGGAATTGGTCCCACAAAGTGTTTTTATTTATTTATTTATTTATTTATTTATTTATTTATTTATTTATTTGAAGGGAGTCTCGCTCTGTCACCCAGGCTGGAGTGCAGTGTGGCAATCTCAGCTCACTGCAACCTCTGATTCCCAGGTTCAAGTGATTCTCCTGTTTCAGCCTCCCTAGTAGTTGGGACTACAGGTGTCCGCCACCACACCTTGCTAAATTTTTTATTTTTAGTAGAGGCAGGGTTTCACAATATTGGTCAGGCTGGTCTCGAACTCCTGACCAGGTGATCGACCCACCTTGGCCTCTCAAAGTGCTGGGATTACAGGCGGGAGCCATCACACCCCGCCAATCCCACAAATTTAGGCATTATGGTGAATTGCTACTTTTGAGTCACTTATTTTTTACTTGTGTTTTTCCCCCTCCTTTTATTGATTGATTGACACAGAGTCTTGCTGTGTCACCCAGACTGAACCACAGTGTCACAATCTCGGTTCATTGCAACCTCTGCCTCCCAGGTTCAAGCGATTCTCCCACCTCAACCTTCCAAGTAGCTGGGATTACAGGCGCATGCCATCATGCCTGGCTAATTTTTGTATTTTCAGTAGAGACAGGGTTTCACCATGTTGGCTAAACTGGTCTCGAACTTCTGACCCCAAATGATCCGCCTGCTTTGGTCTCCCAAAATGCTGACATAGGCATGAGCCTCCTTGCCCGGACTTCCCTCCTTTTCCTTCAGGGATTTTAAATGTTTTCTTTCCTCCATCTATTTAATTATATGTGATTTCCTTGAGGATTTCAGCTTGAATTAAAATTACATATATTTACCTGTCTTTATTAATATTTAAACATATTAAAATAATACATGTTCATAATGAAAATGAAACATTACAAATAAATACACAGGAAAGGCAGTATTCCCCCTCCAGTTCCACTCTTGAAATAACCAGTTAACAAGATGATGAGCAACTTTCCATGATGTTCTCCAAGATTCATGTAAGTATTGGCCAGCAAACAACAGAATATACAGGCCAGGCGTGGTGGCTCATGCCTGTAACCCCAGCACTTTGGGAGACTGAAGCGGGTGGATCTTTTGAGGTTAGGAGTTCGAGACTAACCTGGCCAACGTGGTGAAACCCCATCACTACAAAAAATACAAAAATTATTTGGGCACGGTGGTGAGGGCCTTAATCCCAGCTACTTGGGAGGCGGAGGCACGAGAATCTCTTGAACCCGGGAGGAGAAGTTTGCAGTGAGCCAATATCGCATTACTGCCCTCCAACCTGGATGACAGACTGAGATTCCATCTCAATAAATAAGTAAATACATAAAATAAATAGAAAAAAAGAAAAATGAAAGAAAGATAAAGAAAGAAAGAAAGAAGAAAGAAAGAAAGAGAGAAAGAAAGAAAGAGAAAGAAAGGAAGAAAGAAAGAAAAAGAGAGAAGTCGTGTGCTCAGGTTGCTAAGATCGATGGTAAGAACAAATCCTCTAGCGGTGAAAATGTAAGAAGGAAAAAGAAATTTCTGTTAGTCTTGTTTGTTGCACCCCAAGCTCTAAAAAGTACAGCCATATGTGTGATAAGTGCTTAGTTAAGATGAAAAAGGCATTAAATTTGTGAGTGGAAATCAAACAGAAATGTGTTCTGATTGAAAGCAATTGGGTCAATGCTACCCAAGTTTCAGGCATCCACTGCGGGTCTTAAACACATCTCCTGCAGATAAGGGAGGGCTATTATATAACGTTTCTTTCTTTTTTCTTTAATTATAAAGCATTCTCCTTTTTTAATATAAAAATTGGCCACATATATCACTTTAGGTATAAAGATATTAGGATACCTTTATAGTAGATAAAATGCTGACACATTCTTTGTAAGAGTTAAAGTATCTTTCATTATATGAGCATTTAAGATATTAAAGTACTTTTGCCACCAAAAATAGTGCTTCTGTAAATATTCTTTTACTTATAACTTTGTTAGTTTTTACTTCTGCTGAAACAAATTGCATGAGGAAACAAGTGTATGTGTGTAAAGTGTAATATATGTATATATATTTAATATGGGTATATACAACTTAATATATACACATACATACAATAACATATACAATTTTTTTGTTTTGTTTTTTGAGATAGAGTTTTGCTCTCTCATCCAGGCTGGAGTGCAGTGTCATGATCTCGGCTCACTGCAACTTCCACTGCTTGGTTCTCCTGCCTCAGCCTCCTGAGTAGCTGGGAATACAGGCATCTGCCACCATGTCCAGCTAACTTTGTTTTTTTAGTGGAGATGGGTTTTTACCATGTTGGCCAGGCTGCTCTCGAACTCCTGACCTCAAGTGATCCACCCACCTTGGCCTCCCAAAATGCTGGAATTACAGGTGTGAGCCACCGTGCCCAGTCTAACATATACAATTTAATGTATATACAAATATAGGTTGGGTGCAGTGGCTCTCACTCCTGTAATCCTAGCACTTTGGGGAGCTGAGGTAGGGGATTGTTTGAACCCAGGAGTTTGAAATCAGCCTGGGCAACATGGTGAAACCCTATCTGTACAAAAAACACAAAAATTAGCTGGGTGTACTTGCAGGTGCCTGTGGTCCCAGCTACTCAGGAGACTGAGGTGGGAGGATAGCTGGAGCCTGGGAGGTCGAGGCTGCAGTGAGTTGTGATCATGCCATTGCACCCCAGTGTGGGTGACAGAGTGAGACCCTGTCTCAGACAAAAACAAAAACAAACCAAATATGATGTTTATGTGCTACACACTTGATTTCTTTCCAAAGGGTTATATAACACTGTATTTTCACCAGCAATATATGCAACTACTCATTTCCTACATACTATCACTTGTGTGCAGTCAAGGAAACTTAGTAGGCCTGAATTGCCCAAACCTGGCATACTCCAAAGAATGGTGTGACTCTATCCTAGTTCCCAGGAAATAACCTCTAAGTCCTCGGACTCTCCTGCCTATCTGGGAGTTAACAACGTGATTTATTATGGGGACCTTGGACCATGCAGTCTCAGCTTGACCTTGGGAAGGGTGGAGACGGAGAAACTAATGTCATCCAAATGGGTGCTCTTGTCCATGTGACCAACCTCCAGTAAAATGCTCAACACCAAGGCTCAGGTAAGCTTTTTGTTGGGGAGTATATTCTATACTGTTTGCCAAATATCGCTGGGTGAATTAAGCACTGTCCACACGATGTCACTGGGAGAGGACAACTGGAAGCTTGTGCTTTGTCTCTCCTGGACTCTGCCCTGTGCACCTTTTTCTGCTGCTGATTTTAATCTGTATCTTTTCGTTGTAATAAACTATGAGTAAAACAGCTTCACTCGATTTTGTGAGTCTTTCTAATTAATCACTACACCTTTGGGACCTCAGAACACAATGTTGTTTCTTCTTTAATTGAATTTTCCATGTTATGTAAGAAACCTATGTGCATAAATGAAAAATCACAAACTAAGAAAGAGCTTTCCATGCAGTCTACTCCCCGACCCTGTTTCTCCAATACTCCCAGATCTACTTCCCGAATAATCAAATGTCTAAATTTTCTAAACTATTTCTAATCTATATATCTGAGTGCTTATCTCTATATTATATAATAGGTAGATCCTGCTCCTTCTCAATATATCAACTTGATATATTACCTGATGGCTTCCTGTTCTGATAGCTGATGACTTGGCTGACACTCACCCCTTACCCCAGTGCCTGGACCACTTTTCAAACATGGTGCTCTCACCATTTTCTTTTTCTTTCCTTTTCTTTTCTTTTTTTTTTTTTTTTTTTTAGACAGAATATTGCTCTGTCACCCAGGCTAGAGTGCAGTGGCATGATCTGGGCTCACTGCAACCTCTACCTCCCAGATTCAAGTGATTCTCCTGCCTCAGCCTCCAGAGTAGCTGGGATTACAGGGGCACGCCACCACGCCTGGCTAATTTTTGTATTTTTAGTAGAGACGGGGTTTCACCCTCTCAGCCAGGTTGGTCTCGAATGCCTGACCTCATGATCCACCCATCTTGGCCTCCCAAAGTGCTGGGACCGCACCCGGCCACTCTCACTATTTTCAATGGCTCTCTTGGTCACCTTTCACTTGGGGGAGTAGCTGAGGCAGGAGAATCACTTGAACCCGGGAGATGGGGGTTGCAATGAGCTGAGATGGTGCCATTGCACTGCAGCCTGGGCAAAACGGTGAAACTCTGTCTAAAAAATAAATAAATAAATAAATAAATAAATAAATAAAACAGAAAAGGAAAGAAAAGAAGCTCTCCCTCCATATACCTGTAAGGATCATTGTATTAATTTTCTTCATGTCTTAACATGATTCTTGCCTTGTCAGAGATCATCCTATCTGAAATTGAAACTATTTACCACTTCCCTTTTTTTTCCATAGCACTTAAAACTTTTTTTTTTTTTTTTTTGAGATGGAGTCTCGCTCTGTCACCCAGGCTGGAGTGCATTGGTGTGATCTTGGCTCACTGCAACCTCCGCCCCCCAGGTTCAAGTGATTCTCCTGCCTCAGCCTCCCAAGTAGCTGGGATTATAGGCATCTGCCACCATGCCTGGCTAACATTTTTTTTTGTGTGTGTGTGTTTTAGTAGAGACGGGGCTTCACCATGTTGGCCAGGCTGGTCTTGAACTCCTTACCTCAGGTGATCCAAACCACCTCGGACTCCCAAAGTGTTGGGATTACAGGGGTGAGCCACCACACCCAGCCCTGGCTAATTTTTGTATGTTTAGTGGAGGCAGGTTTTCACCATATTGGCCAGGCTGATCTCGAACCCCTGACCTCAAGTGATCTCCCTGCCTCGGCCTCCCAAAGTGTTGGGATTACAGGCATGAGCCACTGTGCCCGGACTGCTTTTTGACAAATCATCTCTGTTCTTACATTATGTCCACTAGAATGTAAACTTGATGAGAGCAGGAGATATTGTCAATTTTGTTCAATGCTATTTATCCCTAGAGCCTAGAACTGTACCATGCACATGGTAAGGAGACAAATAGTTGTTGAATGAATATATTGAGCAGCTGTTCTCAGACTTTTTGGTTTCAGAAAATCTTTACTCTCTGTTTCTTTACTCCCGACCTCAGGTGATCTGCCCACCTTGGCCTCTCAAAGTGCTAGGATTATAGGAGTGAGCCAAAACACCCACCACCCAAATAATTTTTGTATGGTAGTAGGCACTGGGTTTTGCCATGTTGGCCAGGCTGATCTTGAACCCCCGAACTCAAGCGATCCCCCACCTCAGCCTCCAAAAGTGCTGAGATTACAGGCTGAGCCACTGCACCTGACTAAATAAACCAAAAACTTTAGATAAGTGAATTTGGAGGAAATACTTATAACAGATAAAATGGACAAACAGATAATTCTAATTTACTGTCTCTCCGGCTTAATAAAATATTAGTCAATACCCTAAGAAGAAAGGAACAAAATCTAAAAATTCACCATTCACAAACACAGATAGTCAGAAAACAAAGTCAAAACCTAAGAACTTGTTGACCTTATGTCTCCTCTGAAATCAGCTCTTGAATGTAATGTGTTGAACTAGTATTGACCTCAGATTAGGAAATTTTTAAAATATTTTTTAAAGTTGCACTTTTTGGAATTTAAAATTAATCCAGATTATGTAATATATAACATTTGGAATTTACCAATCAATACTCTATCATTTTATTTTTCACTCTTCAAATAATTTCTTGTTCAAGAGTTTAAAATGCTTTTAAAATTAATAGAATCTGCAGGCTATGGTCTGTAGAGACTGTCTCTACAAAAAATAAAAATATATATTATTTTAAAATATATATAAAATATATATTTATTTAAATGTATATGTTTCAAGTATATAAAATATATTTTTAAAATTTCATTTTTTTGCCGGATCGTATGGTAAGCGTATGTTTAGTCTGGCAGGAACTTGCAAAACTGCCTTCCACAGTGGCTGACCCACTTTGCATTCTCAGCAGAAATAGAGATGAGTTCCTGTCGCTCCGTATCTTCACCAGCATTTGGTGTTGGTGTTTGCATTCAAGCCAGTCTAAGAGATGTGTAATGGTATCACATCGTTGTTTTAATTTGAATCCCCTAGTGACATACGGTGTTGAGCATCTTTTCAGAGGTCTAAGAAATGTGCTGGGCATGGTGGCACATGCCTGTGGTCCCAGCTACTCAGAAGGCTGAGGTGGGAGGGTTACTTGAGCCCTGGAGGTTGGGGCTGCATTGAGCCATGATTGCACCACTGCACTCCAGCCTGAGTGACAGAGCTAAACCCTGTCTCAAAAAGATAAATAAGGCCAGGCGCAGTGGCTCATGCCTGTAATCCAAGCACTTTGGAAGGCCAAGGCAGGTGGATCATGAGGTCAGCAGATCAAGACCATCCTGGCTGACACAGTGAATCCCCGTCTCAACTAAAAATACAAAAAATTAGCCAGGCGTGGTGGCTGGTGCCTGTAATCCCAACTACTCAGGAGGCTGAGGCAGGAGAATCGCTTGAACCTGGGAGGCGGAGGTTGCCATGAGCCGAGATCGGGCCATTGCACTCCAGCCTGGGTGACAGAGTGAGACTCCATCTCAATAAAAATAAATAAATAAATAAATAAATAAATAAATAAATAAATAAATAACTGACTTAATTTTTAGAACAGTTGTAGGTATACACAAAAATAGAGCAGAAGGTATATTGAGCTCTAATATCCACCTCACACCATAGTACACACACTTCCTCTATTATCATCTTGTTAGTGTGGTAATTTGTTATGCTTGATGAGCCAATATTGATATTATTAAGTTCATGGCTAATATTAAGATTCACTCTCTGTGTTCTACCATTTATGGGCTTTGACAAATGCTTAAGAACATATATCCACAATTATAGGGTCACACAGAAAAGTTTCACTGCCCTAAAAATCTTCTGTGCTCCACCTATTCATCCTTCCCTCTGCTCAAGCCTCTGGCAACCACTGAACTTTTTATAATTCCATCTGCCTAGTTTTCCCTTTTCTAGTATTCCATATAATTGGAACTCTATACTATGTGGCCTTTTTGTATTGGCTTCTTTCACTTAGAAATACATGTTTAAGATTCCTCCATGTCTTTTCATGCCTTGGTAGTTCATCTCTTTTTATTCCTGAAGAATATTCCATTGTATGAATGTTTCAGAGTTAGTTTATCCACTTCTCTATTGCAGGATATCTTGGTTACTTCCAATCTTTGTCAGTTGTGTATAAGCTGCTATAACATTCATGTGCAGGATTTGAGTGGATATAAGTTTTCAAATATTTGGGTATATACCAAAGAATGCAATTGCCAGATCGTATTTAAACATACAAGGATGCAGGTGTCATGCACACAAATATGTATGTATATGTCATGCTCATATACAATTTTAAATGCATATATGTGTTCTATGGATATGTAAGTATTTCTCTATTTTCACAGAAATGTCACTCTAAATCAGTACCTAGGGAGGGTCATCATTTTCTTTATCTACAAATCAAGACACAGTATGAGTGGCTGCACCCAATTTGGTAAGTCCTCTATTATTGAGGATGTTTTCCTGTTTCCCTTGTCATTGTTGTTGCTGTTTTGTTTTGAGACAGAGTTTCGCTCTTTTGAGTCAAGTGGTGTGATCTCAGCTCACTGTAGCCTCCCGAGTAGCTGGGATTATAGGTGCCCACCACCACGCCTAGCTAATTTTTGTATTTTTAGTAGAGATGAGGTTTTACCATGTTGGCCAGGCTGGTCTTAGCTCCTGACCACAGGTGATCCATCTGCCTCAGCCTCCCAAAATGCTGAGATTACAGGCGTGAGCCACCATGCTTGGCTGCTTTCGTCATTTCAGACTGAGCTTGGAGAAGAACCTGAGGAAAAACATGACTTTAAAATTTTGATGAATGGAGAAATCTCTTTCCATTCACCTTCCTTTCCTCTATTTCATTCTTATTTTAAAATATGCAAACAAAGGTATGGATACATCAATTATTAAATAAACATCTGTGTGATATCTATCCAGGTGAAGAAATAGAGCACTATCACCACCGAGAAGTCCTCTGTATGCCCCTAACTGATCCTAAAGTCTTCCTTCCCCTTATTAGTAACAGATATAACAGATATCCACATTACCTGTGGATATCTGCCATCCTCTCCTTGGTTCTCTTTATAATTTTATTATGTATTTTATATATTTTTTTCTGTTTTGGAGATGGAGCCTTACTCTGTTGCCCAGGCTGGAGTGTAGTGGCATGATCTTGACTCACTGCAACCTCCGCCTCCCAGATTCAAGCGATTCTCATGACTCAACGTCCCAAGTAGCTGGGATTACAGGCATGGGCCATGTGCCTCCATGCCTGGATAATTTTTGTATTTGTAGTAGAGATGGGGTTTTGCATGTTGGTCAGGCTGGTTTAGAACTCCTGAGCTCAATGCCTGGCCTTATTATGCATTTTTTATATGCCTAAAGTAAAGTCTGATTTTGCCTGGTTTTTCTCTTACATAATTGGAGTAAAAGTCTGTATCCTGGTGCATCTGGCACCTTTTACTCAATATTAAGTATTTAAGATTCACACTTAGCATTGTTTCTGCATTCTATTAAAACAGTACACCAGCCAGGCATGATGGCTCACACCTATAATCCCAGCACTTTGGGAGGCCGAGGCAGGCAGATCACTTGAGGTCAGGAGTTCCAGACCACCCTAGCCAACATGGTGAAACTCCATCTCTATTAAAACTACAAAAATTAGGCCACGTGGTGGCTAATGACTGTAATCTCAGCACTTTGGGAGGCCAAGGCAGGTGGATCACAAGGTCAGGAGATGGAGACAATCCTGGCAAACACAGTGAAACCACATCTCTACTAAAAATAGAAAAAATTAGCCAAGTGTGGTGGCACATGCCTGTAGTCTCAGCTACTCAGGAGGCTGAGGCTGGAGAATCACTTGAATCTGGGAGGCAGAGGTTGCAGTGAGCCAAGTTTTCACCACTGCACTCCATCCTGGGTGACAGAATTAGACTCTGTTAAAAAAAAAAATTAGCCAGGTGTGGTGGTGTGTGCCTGTAATCCCAATTATTTGAGAGGCTAAGGCAGGAGAATCAGTTGAACCTGGGAGGTGATGGAGGTCGCAGTGAGCCAAGATCACGCCCTGTACTCCAACCTGGGCAATAGAGTGATAGTCTCAAAAAAAAAAAAAAAAAAAAAAAAAAGCCCAAGCGCAGTGCCTGCCACCTGTAATCCCAGCACTTTGGGAGTCCGAGATAGGTGGATCACCTCAGAACAGGAGTTTCAGACCAGCCTTACCAACAAGGTGAAACCCCATCTCTACCAGAAATACAACAATTTACCAGGAGTGGCGGCACATGCCTGTAATCCCACCTACTGGGGAGGCTGAGACAGGAGAATTGCTTGAACCCAGGGGGCGGAGTTTGCAGTGAGCCGAGATCGCACCACTGCACTCCAACCTGGGCGACTAAGCAAGACTCTGTCTCAAAAAATATATATAAATTTATATTTATATACACAAAATAAATAAAAAAATAAAAATAAATAAAACTACAGTACACCAGTGTGTATCCCTTCATTGTTGGTGGACATGTGGGTTGTGTTCATTTTCATCAGTTACAAATGATGCTGTTGTGAACATGTTTGTATTTCTATTTGGTTACCATTAGTGTGTATTTATGTACAGTATAAACCAAGAGGTGAAATCACGGTTACAGGGTAAACATATCTTCAGTTTTACCAGTTATTATGGGTTTCATCCCAATGTTAACACAGCAACTGACAGTCTTACAATGTCTGATAATTCCCAAATCTTCGCATTCTTCTTGACACTTAATTTCGTCAAAATTTTAATCTGAGTCTTTTGGTGGGTATGTGGCAATGATTGTGATATTAATTTACTGGGCCTTTTCTTCTCTATAACAGGCCCTGTCAAGATATATGTGTGGTGTGGCAGGGGTAGGAGCCCCTAGAGGTAGCATGGGCTCTGGAATCCTTAATCATCCTATGTGAAAAAGTTGGTGGGGCCGTGATTTTTTTTTTTTTTTTTTTTTTTTTTTGAGACAGAATTTCGCTCTTGTTGCCCAGGCTGGAGTGCAATGACACTATCTCAGCTCACTGCAACCTCCACCTCCCAAGTTCAAGTGATTCTCCTGCCTCAGCCTCCCAAGTAGCTGGGATTAGAAGCATGTGCCACCACACCCAGCTAATTTTTTGTATTTAGTAGAGATGGGGTTTCACCACGTTTGTCAGGCTGGTCTTGAACTCCTGACCTCAGGTGATCCACCTGCCTCAGCCTCCTAAAATGCTGGGATTACAGGCATGCACCCCTGCACCCTAATATTTCCTATGTGCAATGGTGTAGCCAGGGTGCAAAGCCAGTTCTTAATGATTCTGTCATCCAAATATTATACCTTCTCAATTCCCCTTGAGATATGCTCATTCCTCCATACAATTAAACAATCTCAATTACTCTTGAAGGAGCATAAAATCCTCCCTGTCTAATCATGGGTCTTTCCAAATTATTTGTTGGCTTGTGTTTAAAATATAAAAAAGAGAATGTAGATTTTGTTTTCTTCTTCCTGCTTAACCTGAACAAAATGTCATAGTTACCTCCTAGCCTGTTGCTAGACCAAGGAGAGTCACTTGAATAATGAACAAGACTGGAGGGAAACCACATGGATAATTTATCATTACACTATCATCACATACATGGAACTCATCAATGAAGCTTACGAAAAAAATTGAGTCATTTGTGGAAAAGTGTAAAGAGAATATAGGAGATGCCTCAAGTGAAGAGAAAAAAGCTGCAGAAAATAATTACAAAAAAGAGTGTTAAGATGTAAACACAAATTCAGAGATTCAGGAGCACAAAGGATTAAGTTAAGGGAAAAAAGAGTTATCAGTATTTTCTTATTCATTATGGAGAGCAGGATGAATTCTTAAAAGGTCAAATAATTGTGAGTCTGATATATCTGACGATAATTTGTATTTTGTATTTCTAATGTTGTAAATGGTTGTTAATTCACAGTCATTATTCCTATTTTCTTTAGACTAGTGACCATGAGTTTGACTGACAAAAACCCATTGGGTTAGTATTGTTATCTATGTGTGTTCATCATGCTAAGTGTTAAAATAAGTCCATCAATTTTTGTCTTGTGTTTGTTTTCATTTCATTTTAGTTTAGTTTCTTTGGGACAGGGTCTCACTGTGTCACCCAGGCTGGAAGTGCAGTGGCATGATCACAGCTCATTGCAGCCTCTACATCTCCAGGCTCAGGTGATCCTCCTACCTCAGCCTCCCAAGTAGCAGGGACTACAGGCATGAGCCACCACACCTGGCTAATTTTTGTATTTTTTGTAGAGATGGGGTTTTGATATGTTGCTCAGGCTTGTCTCAAACTCTTGGACTCAAGTGATCTGCCCACCTTGGCCTCCCAAATTGCTGGGATGACTGGCATGCACCACTGTCCTGGCCTGTTTTCATTTTATTAATTGGCTGATTCATTCAGAAACATAATTATCAAGTAAAATCTCACTCTTTCCTTAGCATTTCCCTTCCGTTTAGCTGAGAAAATCTATTCCTATTTTAAAACATATACGATTATTCGAGTGTGGTGGCACATGCCTGTAATCCCAGCTACTCAGGAGGCTGAGGCAGGAGTATCACTTCAACCCTGGAGTGATATAGTGATTATATATAATATATAACTATATAGTGATTATAGTTTATAATTTTAACTATATCATGTCTCCTGCCTCATAAGTACCACTGGACAAGTTCCCTTTTATGAACTCAGCTGCTGTCAGAGGTAAATGTATTTTGAAGTGGAGAACAAAGATAAGTGCAAAATTGGCATGGAGAACTAAGGTAATTATGAAAGTTCCAGATACAAAGAGAGAGGGCTCAATATGCCAGCAGTTCTCTTCCAATCCATCCTAGTGGCCTTCTGTTAGGATTGCCTAAATAATGGAGGAGATGGGTGCAAGACACACAAGTGTTCCAGAAGCATGTAAACAAGGTACAGAGAAGAGGATAAGATAAAATAAGATGAGATAAGAATATTAGGAATGCCTTGTTCAGAAGATTGCCTACAGAGGCAAAAGGGACAGTTTCATTTTGCTGAGGGAAACAGGGTGGTAAGAACCCTCCTGGGGAAGATCCCCACTTACCCTGATACAGAAAGAAGGTGTAAAATTTTGTAATGGGAGAGCATTAGGCTGAGATAGCTCCCATGGCCAGGGTTCCTGCATAGACAAAATGAAACAAGCTTAGCCCACCCACAGGTGGCCTGCTGAGTATTAGCTGGGTAATGAGAGACCTACCACCAGGATAGTTCAAATAATGCAACTGCCCACATTTTTGCCAATCAAATAATTTCTCTACTTTACTTCTATATTCACCCTGTAAAAGCCTTCCTTACAAACACCTCCAGTAGATCCTCCAACCACTTTCAGTTTGGAGCTGCCTGATCCATGAATCTCTGTTTGCTTAAATAAACTCTTTAAAATTTTAATATGCTTAAGTTTATCTATTTTTTTCTCATTTTAAAAAATTGAGATGGGATCTTCCTATGTTGTCCAGGCTGGTCTTAAACTCCTGAACTCAAGGGATCCTCCTGCCTCAGCCTCCTGAGTAGCTGGAAT
Organism: Homo sapiens; assembly: GCF_000001405.40. NCBI lineage: Eukaryota > Metazoa > Chordata > Mammalia > Primates > Hominidae > Homo > Homo sapiens. Next base: position 61,925,545 of record NC_000009.12, on the reverse strand, counting down.
TATAGACGTGTGCCTCCACACCCAGCTTACATTTATCTTTAAACAAGGGTTTGACGTCTTTCTGAAATATATTTCTGTGAAGACCTGTACCCTCAGTGATATGGCAGGCTCATTTTAGACCACTGAGCACTTTTGCCTCTGGACTACAATTTGCCCTTTGTGACCTGCTCTACTAAAAAATTCAAGTGTAATTCAAGTTAGTTTACCCTCTGCTGATCAGGGGAGATTGCTCTCGGTGCAAGTTCAAAACAGGCACTCACACTTTCATTCATACCCCAAATCTCAGCATCACACAATACACCCATGTAATAAACCTGCAAAGGTACCCTCCGAAATCTAAAATGAAAGTTGAAATTCATTAAAATTTTAATTTCATCTTATTACAAAACAAAGATAAATTTACTGCTTTCCAATTTTGATATATATATTATACTGACATACACACTGTATTCTATGGTGAATTATGTTGATTGAATTTCACATTTTAAACTAACACTGAGTTACTTTGAAAAACTCTATTGGGTGATAATGTATTATGTTTTTAATATATTTTAATATAATTTGAAAATATTGTTTTAAAATTACATCTATGTTCCATAAATAAATAAATATGTAAAAATAATAAATGTTTGTATTATTCAAGTGAAGATTATAGCAATATTTTTGAATATCTACTTAATCTCAACTAGTTTTAATTCAGAAGTAGCAACTCCATAGAAATTCAGCTTATTACTACCTTATTACTCATACTTGTCTCCTTGAAGAAGCTTCATTGCTATCATCCAGTTTAGACTGGGATGTCATAAATCTCTAGACTGAGTAGTATAATATCCACTGTACAAATAAAATCAAATTATTATTATAATGTTATGACACCTCCAAATACAAAAAGCAAGCCCATGGATGTCAGGTTAAGGTATAGAGACAAATATTCCTACTTACTGTCTTTTAGGGCAGACATATCCCAGCCAATCTGATTGCAAAATGAAATGGAAACCATATGGTGGAAGGGGACTTGGGACTCACACAGATTGGATTTTCATTCCAACCCTTACATACACAAGCTGCATGACTCTGGGTAGATTGCATATTCTCTTAGACTTTCAATTTCCTCATCTGTGCAATGGCAGTTAATGCTTATGGGCTATGGCTGATGTGGGGATAAAAGAACCAACATGGATGCATGGGCAGGGCCTGGTCCATGGAGCAGCTGGCATCAATAAATGGAAGCCCCTTCCCATCTTGTCTTTGCGTGCACCACAAAATCTGGAATATGTGGGTATAAAAAGTACTCTTAAAAGAGACATAATTGGAAACTTTTGCAAAAAGAGATTGGAAAGGTGTCACATCTTGTGGCATGAGGAGCTGTGGGCATACACTTGAACTTTGTGCTGTGAGATATCCACAGAACTTCAGTAGCTGAAGAGAACAGTTTAGATGTCATCTTATTCATCTACCATAGAACTTCCTCTTCTTCTCTGAGATTTCTAGACAATAACTTTTACAGCTCTAATAATGCAGTTGTCTCACAATTGTTTGGACTATTCTAATAGATACAAAGCAGTATTTCACCAGCAGATGCTACTGCAGTTTGTATGATGATTTCAAACTGAGAATCTATTTAAAGTTATGCAATACTTTTTTTTGGAAATAGGGTGAAAGTAGTTTAAGTTTAAAATCCTATAAAATAGGTTTACAGTAAATAATTACTTGTTGCAATATCTATCATACTATCTTATATTCACACATGTGTTGGTGTCCTAATACATATGTATGAGAGTGAAAGTTACCTGAGGTCAGACACTGTGCCATATGTTCCCTGCACCACTGGTGCCTATTTCAGCACATGATATACAGTAGATGCTCAATAAATACTTTCACTTAAAAAATGCACTGAGAATAAATCTTATTAGACATCAAAATACATATGAGTACAATCTAGGGACATGGTCAGGAGCTCAAAATTCAATCTTATTTATTTTTTATTTGGAGACAGAATCTCACTCTGTTGCCCAGGCTGGAGTTCAGTGGCATGATCTCAGCTTACTGCAACCTTCCTCTCCTGGGTTCAAGTGATTCTCCTGCCTCACCCTCCAGAGTAGCTGGGATTACAGGTGCACACCAACACACCTGGCTAATTTTTTTGTATTTTTAGTAGGCACAGGGTTTCACCATGTTGGCCAGGTTGGTCTCAAACTCCTGAGCTCAGGCAATCTGCCCACCTTGGTCTCCCATAATGCTGGGATTACAGGTGCCAGCCACCACGCACAGCCACAAAATGTTTTAAAGTAGCTTCAAAACCCATTTGCAAATAGATGTATTCATAACAAGCTGCAAACAAGAAAACATTGAGCTTCATATAATAGAAGGATTCTGCCTGGATTTGCATGTGGCCCCATCATTTGTTTGCTGTTGGGCCATGGTCAGGTTACGTAGCTGCTCTCTGCCTCCACATAGGCTTTATGCCTGTGTATCCCTCATCTACAAAATGGGAATAATAAGAATATCTAACAGTTAGAAGTGGAGAAAATATATGTAAAGACCTTTGAAAAGGGCTTGTGAAAGCTCAATAATTGTCCTCAATAATTGCTCTCAATAATTGTCAGCTATCATTCAATAATAATCATAATCATGAAAATGTATGACTCAAAGAAAGATTCTGACTTCATATCCAGCTTCCCAAAAGAATCAGACACTGGACCTGCGAAAAGAATGACATTGAGATGTATTTTCACATTGCTAAGTTGGTTTTTTCTTTGCCATTCAATTTCTGCAGTCCCTACTCTAAGCCCATGGTCCACCTTTTTATTTTTCCTCCTAAGATGTCTTCCCTTCTTGTAAGATTTACTTTTCCTTAAAAAGGGCCCTTTTCATCCACCCACTCTTTTGCCCTTCCCAGAAGTTGGTTAATGGACACAAAAATACAGTTAGATGGAAGGAACAGAAAAATTTCTAGTGTTCAATAGCACAGTAGGGTGATGATCATTAACAATAACTTATATATTTCAAAATGAGTAGAGGAAAGATGTGGAATGTTCTCAACACAAATAAATGATAAATGTTTGAGGTGATGGATATGCAAATTATCCTGATTTGATCACTACACATTGTATGCATGTATCAAAATATCACATGTACCCTACAAATATGTATAATTGTCATGTATCAATAAAAATAAAAAGGCCTATTTCTCTTTCCTTCCTCCCCGGATTCCCTCCTGTCCCAGATGTGTGTTGTTCCTGGTGCTCTCCTACCCCCCGTTCAGCCAGCACTGAGCCAGCAGGAAGGATCTCACAGGTCATATCCTGAGATCAACCTTCCACCACTTCAGGTAATAATCCTTCTGCTTTTAGTCATTTATATCCTTTGGTTCATACATATTTTGAGTCAAGTACCTTCTAACTACTGATCTACATAATATTCCTTGGTTTTTAAAGATAATACAAAGTGGATTTTAGTAACAATCTTGAGTCACCACAGAAGCTAATGAAGTTGGGGATTCCACAAAGCCATCCAAGCATATAAAGCCCATTTCCTTGGGTCCCTTTTCCTTAGCTCAAGGCCACAAAAAATCAGAACGTAAATTCCAGCCCACATTTGCATTATGTCTAAATAATTATGAGTTATAAATGAAGCTAACAAATAGTTAAATATGTTCTATTCTCCTATTTCGATAAATATACTGCCATAATAACCCACAAGGTCAAAGTTGAGTGTAGAATTCTCTGATTTCTTGGTGCTCTGCACAGGAATGTGGTAGTAAAGGGAGAGCTGATCATCAGCCCCAGGCTAAACTTTTTTCTTTCATCGTAGGTAGCCCTGTCCTCACTTGAGAAGCTTTGCAAACCCTTGTGTGGGGAACTCCCTAGGCCCCATGCAAGCTCCATCCACAATTCTCACCCCTTCAGAAAGCAGATCCTTGGGCACCATTTGGACAAGCACAGTTTGCACTTTGAAATGGACCCAGGGAAGAGGCCATGCAGGCTCAGGCACATTTCGCCAGGTCCCTGAGTGCCCAGCATGTGCCCTAGAAGAGAGGGTGAAGCTCTGAGTGGGCCAGGGTACAGTCAGTGGAGGGCCAGAGAGGCACCTTCTCAAGTGCAGGATTCAGGGCAGGGGTCCTCTTGCCCAGATCGATGGCTATGATTGCTTAGTGCAATGGCGCCTGCGTCATGTTTTCTCAGCTCACCTTTCATTCAGTCTCAGACACCGTGAGAAGTTCCATGGAAGCACAGGCTTCTCTTGTGCTGCCAGCAAACTCAAGATACACTTTCTGCCCTAGGGAATCTCCATTATTGTACGATTTTGCCTGAGCACAAATACAGCCCAGAAACACTTGCAGGTTAACAGCCTCAGGGGAAGACCTCAACCAGTGTGGGACAGGTGGACAAATGCTCCAGGCTCATGTTTCAGGTGGGCATTTCTGGATAACTTTCCGGAGCCTCTCGGAAGGTCCTGCAGAAAAAACTGCATGGCAGGAGCCTCAATAGCATGCCATTATTTTGGCTTTTCTTTCTTGCCTGGCTCACTCTTCCCACTTCTGACTCTTGCTTCTTGGAATCACTTTCCAAATAAACCACCCACACCGAAGTCCTTACTCCAGCTCTGCTTCTAGGGATACAGGCACACCTTGGAGATATTGCAGGTTTGGTTCTAGGTAACACAATAAGGTGAATGTCACAACAGCGCAAGTCACACGAAATTTTTTGCAAGTCACACGATATTTTTTGCTTTCTGGTGCATATAAATGTTATGTTGCCAGGCATGGTGGCTCACGCCTGTAATCCCAGCACACTGGGAGGCCGAGGTGGGTGCATCACCTGAGGTCAGAAGTTCAAGACCAGCCTGGCTAACATGGCGAAACCCTGTGTCTACCGGAAATACAAAAATGGTGGTGCGCACCTGTAGTCCCAGCTACTCAGGAGGCTGAGGCAGGAGAATTGTTTGAACCTGGGAGGCAGAGTTTGCAATGAGCCAAGATTGCACCACTGCACTCCAACCTGGGCAACAGAGCCAGACTCCATCTCAAAAAAAAAAGTTATGTTTAAGTTACTGTAGTCAATTAAGTGTGCAATAGCATTATGTCTAAAATATAATGTATATACCTTACTTTGAAAATACGTGATTGCCAAAAACTGCTAACCATCATCTGGGCCTTCAGTAAGTCATCATCATTTTGCTGCTGGATGGTCTTGTCTCAATGTTGATAGCTAGTGACTGATCGAGGTGGTGGTTGCTGAGGGCTGGAGAGGGAGTGGCAATTTCTTAAAATAAGATGACAATGAAGTTTACTGCATTGACTGACTCTTCCTTTCACAAAAGATTTCACTGTAGCATGCTATGCAGTTTGGTAGCATTCTACCTACAGTAGAATTTATATCAAAATTGGAACCAATTCTCTCAAACCCTGCCACTCTTTTATCAACTAAGTTTATGGGATATTCTAAGTCCTTTGTTGTTCTTTCCACAATGTTCACAGCATTTTCACCAGGAGTAGATTCCATCGCAAGAAACCACTTTCTTTCCTCATTCATAACAAGCAACAATAATATAGTATTTTATATATGTTATATATGTATTATTATATAATATAAATTATATATTATATAACATTATATAATAATATATAATATTATATATTGTATATTATTATATTAATTATATTATATAATATTATATATTGTATATTATTATATTAATTATATTATATTATATATTTTATCATAATATAATATGTATTATAATATATATTATATAAGCAGAAATGATATCCCTTGGTTTTTAAAGATAATACAAAGTGGATTTTAGTAACAATCTTGAGTTGTCACAGAAGCTAAGGAAGTTGGGGATTCCATGAAGCCATCCAAGCATATAAAGCCCATTTCCCTGGGTCCCTTTTCCTTAGCTCAAGGCCACAAAAAATCAGAACATGAATTCCAGCCCACATTTGCATTACGTCTAAATAATTATGAGTTATAAATGAAGCTAACAAATAGTTAAATATGTTCTATTCTCCTACTTTGATAAATATTCACAGTATATTATGATAAATATATTGCCATAATAACCCACAAGGTCAAAGTCGAGTGTAGAATTCTCTGATTCCTTGGTGCGCTGCACGTGAATGTCGTAGTAAAGGGAGAGCCGATCCTGAGCCCCAGACTGAACTTTTTTCCATCTAATTCCATTTATTTCCATTAAGATTGCAGCAATTTGGCCGGGTGCGGTGGTTCATGCCTGTAATCCCAGCACTTTGGGAGGCTGAGGCAGATGGATTATCTGCAGTTGGGAGTTTGAGACCACCCTAACCAACATGGTAAAACTCCTTGTCTACTAAAAATACAAAATTAGCCGGATGCAGTGGCACATGCCTATAATGCCAGCTACTCAGGAGGCTGAGGCAGGAGAATCAATTGAACCCAGGAGGCGGAGGTTGTGGTGAGCCGAGATTGCGCCATTGCACTCCAGCCTGGGCAACAAAGCAAAACTCCATCTCAAAAAAAAAAAAAAAAAAAAGATTGCAGCAATTCACTCACATCTTCAGGCTCCACTTGTAATTCTAGTTTTCTTGCTATCTTCACCACAACTGTGGTTACTTCCTCTGCTAAGGTCGTGAACCCCTCAAAGTCATTTATGAGGGTCAGAATCAACTTCTTCCAGACTCCTATTAATGCTGCTATTTTTACCTCCTCTGGTGAATCATGAATGTCCTTAGTGGCATCTATCATAGTGAATCCTTTCCAGAAGGTTCCGAATTGACTTTGCCCAGATCCATCAAAGGAATCATGACCTGTGGCAGTAACAGCCTTATGAAATATATTTCTCAAATAATAAGACTTGAAAGTCAAAATGATGCCTCAATCCATGGACTACAGAATAGATGTTGTATTGGCAGGCATGAAACCAGCATGCATTTCCCTGTACATCTCCATTAGAGCTTTTTAGTCACCAGGTACACTGTCAAAAAGCTGAAGTATTTGAAATCAATCTTTTTTTCTGAGCTGTAGGTCTCAACAGTGGGATTAAAATACTCAGTAACCCATGCAGTAAACAGCTCTGATATCATCCAAGTGTTGTTGTTCCATTTATAGAGCTTGGGTAGTGTAGATTTAGCATAATTCTTAAGAGGTGCCCTAGGATTTATGGAATAGCAAATGAGCATTGGCTTGTAACAAGAAAGTCAGCCTGTCCTTTAAATCTTTTTCTTTTTCTTGATATAAGGTCTCACTCCATTACCCAGGCTGGATTGCAGTGGCATGATCTTGGCCCACTCCATACTTGACCTCCTTGGCCCCACAATCCTCCCACCTCAGCCTCCTGAGTAGCTGGGACTAGTAGCATGCACCACCATACATGGCTTATTTTTATTTATTTATTTATTTATTGTTAGAGACAGGGTTTCACCATGTTGCCCAGGCTGGTCTGAAGCTCCTAAGCTCAAGCCATTCCCCCACTTCAGCCTCACAGAGTGCTGGGATTACAGGCGTGATCCACCCTGTCTGGCCTCTAAATTCGTGTTATGGAGACTCATTTTCATGGTTAAAATGTCCTGAATTGACTGTGGCCTGTTGGGAGGCGGGATGGAGGAAACTACTTATGGAAAATGAAGAAGAAAGGGAAGCACACCAGAAGCAAGAAAGTGTCATCAATTTTTACATCAAGGACTCCATGATAAAGAGAAAGTACAGGTGGCCTGTTATCAAGGCTGACCATTGGACTGTGGACTGCACCTGCATCTACCAGGTTCTTCTGGATAGTCCCAGTTTTAAATTTTTGACCTGACATTCATGAACACAGTGCTACTGGTCAGACCTTTGTCCAGGTTTAAGCTTCAGAACATAATGTCTCATGCAGTGGGAGGCCTGATTATGGTTATGATTCTGCCCTGGGGCATCTGCCCCTTCTTACCTGGAGGTAAACTTGGCATCTACTACTTACCTCTACACTTGAACAGCCAAGGATGGACTGAGCACAGAGGCTCACATCTGTAACTCCAGCACTTTGGGAGGCCAAGGCAGGAGGATCGCTTAAGGCCAGGAGTTCAAGACCAGCCTGGTCAATATAGTGAGACCTCGTCTCTGTAAAAACAAACAAACAAAACCGAGGATGGGTGGGTGACAGGGAGCAGTTCAACATCGGAAACCATAAATCTGAGAGGTGGAAGGACCCTTAGACCAGCCCCACATTAACAGATGAGACTCTGCCCTGAGATTATAGCCTAAGGTAATGCATTGAGCTTTTCTAGAGATTTGAAAATAATCAATCCTAAAACCCCCAAGCATACTGCTACTGTTTGCTATTGAATAATGTTTTCTAGTCTGGGTGTGGTGGCTCCTGCCTGTAATTCCAACACTTTGGAAGGTCGATGCAAGTGGATCACCTAAGGTCAGGAGTTCGAGACCAGCCTGGCCAACATGGTGAATCCCTGTCTCTACAAAAATACAAAAAATTAGCAGGCCATCGTGGTGTGCACTGGTAATCCCAGCTGCTTGGGAGGCTGAGGCAGGAGAATCCTTTGAACCTGGGAGGCAGAGGTTGCAGTGAGCCGAGATCACACCATCACACTCCAGCCTGGGCTACAAAAGTCAAATTCCATCTCAAAAATAATAATGATAATAATAATGTTTTCTACAAGCAAGGAGTTACTTTGTACTGTGAACTGGTGTGAAGGGATCTGCCATGTGTAAGCTTTTGGATTGATGACAGTTATTTCTAATTTTAAAAATAGCAACCCAACAGAAAATTGGGAAAATGCATTAATAGGGATTTCACAAAAGAGAAAGCCTGCAAAACATAAAAATTTTCTCAACCTCATTAGTAATCAGGGAAATGCACAAGATACTACACATCTATTCTCTCCACAAATATTAAGAAGTTTGACAATACAAAATGTATTAGTCCATATTCACACTGCTGATAAAGACATAACCGAGACAGGGAAGAAAAAGAGGCTTAATTGCATTAAGGGTTCCACATGGCTGAGGAGGCCTCAGAGTTATGGTGGTGGATGAACAGCACTTCTTACATGGCAGTGGCAAGAGAATATGAGAAGGAGGCAAAAGAAGCAAAAGACAAAACCACTGATAAACCCATCAGATCTTGTGAGATTTATTCACTATCACGAGAATAGCATGGGAAAGACCGGCTCTAAAGATTCAACTACCTCCCCCGGTTCCCTCCCCGAACACATGGGAATCCTGAGCAATACAATTGAAGTTGAGATGTGGGTAGGGACATAGTCAAACCATATTATTCTGCTCCTGGCCCCTCCAAATCTCATGTCCTCACACTTCAAAACCGATCATGCCTTCCCAACAGTCCCCCAAAGTCTTAACTAATTTCAGTATTAACCCAAATGTCCACTGTCCAAAGTCTCATCTGAGACAAGGCAAGTCTCTTCTGCCTATGACCCTGTAAAATCCAAATCAAGCTAGTTACTTCCTAGATACAATGGGGGTACAGGTCATTGAGTAAATACAGCCGTTCCAAATGGGAGAAATTTGCCAAAACAAAGGGGTTACAGGCCCCATGCAAGTCCAAAATCCAGCAAGGTAGTCAAATTTTAAAGTTCCGAAATGATCTCCTTTGACTCCATGTTTCACATCAAGGTCATGCTGATCCAAGAGGTGGGCTTCCACAGCCTTGGGCAGTTCTGCCTCTGTGGCTTTGCAGGGTATAGCCCACCTCGTGGCTGTTTTCATGGGCTGACGTTGAGTGTCCACAGCTTTTCCAGGCTCATGGTGCAAGCTGTCAGTGAATCTACCATTCTGGGGTCTGGAGGAGAGTGGCCCTCTCCTCACAGCTCCACTAGGAAGTGCCCCAGTAAGGACTCTGTATAGGGGCTCTGACCCCACATTTCTCTTCTGCACAGCCCTAGCAGAGGTTCTCCATCAGAGCACCACCCCTGCAGCAAACTTCTGCTTGGACATCCAGGTGTTTTCAAACATCCTCTGAAATCTAGGTGGAGGTTTCCAAACTTCAGTTCTTGACTTCTATGCATGTGCAGGCTGAACACAACATGGAAGCTGCCAAGGCTTGGTGCTTGCACTCTCAAGGCCATGGCCTGAGTTCTATGTTTTCCTCTTTCAGCCATGGTTGGAGGGGCTGAAACGCAGAGAAACAAGGCCCTAGGCTACACACAGCACAGTCAACCTGGCCCAGCACAGAAATCCATTTTATCCTCCTAGGTCCCAGGCTTGTGATGGGAGGGGCTGCTGTGATGACCTATGACATGTCCTGTAGACATTTTCCCCATTGTTTTTGGGATTAACATTCAGCTTCTTGTTACTTATGCAAATTTCTGCAGACAGCTTGAATTTATCCTCAGAAAATGGGATTTTCTTCTCTATCACATTGTCAGGCTGCAAATTTTCCAAAACTGTATGCTCTGCTTCCTTTATAAAACCAAAGGCCTTTAACATCACCCAAGTCACCTCTTGAATGCTTTACTGCTTAGAAATTTCTTCCAGCAGATACCCTAAATTATCACTCTCAAGTTCAAAGTTCTACAAATCTCTAGGACAGGGGCAAAATGCTGCCATTCTCTTTGCTAAAACATACCGAGAGTTACCTTTGCTCCAGTTCACAACAAGTTCCTCATCTCCATCTGAGACCACCTCTGCCTGGACCTTATTGTTCAAAACACTATCAGCATTTTTGTCAAAGTCATTCAGCAAGTCTCTAGGAGGTTCCAAATTTTCCCACATTTTCCAGTGTTCTTCTGAGCCCTCCAAACTGTTCCAACCTCTGCCTGTTACCAAGTTTCAAAGTTGCTTGCACATTTTTGGGTATCTTTTCAGGAGCACCCCACTCCACTGGTATCAATTTACTGTATTAGTCTGTTTTCACACTGCTGATAAAGACATACCCAAGTCTGAGAAGAAAAAGAGGTGTAAAGAAAAAGAACTGTAATTGGATTTACAGTCCCACATGGTGGGGGAGGCCTCAGAGTCATGGCAGGAGGTAAAAGGCACTTCTTACATGGCAGCAGCAAGAGAAAATGAGGAGGAAGCCAAAGCAGAAACTCCTGATAAACCCATCAGATCTCATGAGACTTATTCACTATCATGAGAATAGCACAGGAAAGACTGGCCTCCGTGATTCAATTACCTCACCCTGGGTCCCTCCCATAACATGTGGGAATTCTGGGAGATAGAATTCAAGCTGCGATTTGGGTGTGGACACAGCCAAACCATATCACCATATATGGAGAGACTGTGGATCAACAAGATCATCTCGAACTAATACAGGAGGTGAGCGTTTAAATTAGAACAACCACTTTGGAAAGCAATTTGGATTATCTTATAAATTTGAGCATTCTCATATGTTATGGCAAAGTAATTTCTCTACCATAGGCCCTGGAGAAACTCTTGCCCATATGTACAAGATGTAGTAAAAAAAAAAAAAAAAATCCTCACGTAATGCCATTCATAATAGGAAAAATCTGGAAATAAGCCAAATGTTCATTAATAGGAGAATGGGTAAATTAATAGGAGAATGGGTAAATAAATTATACCCTTAAAAACTAAGTAACATGTCATTTAGGGTAATCATATGTATGCAATAAAACAATGTGTTTTTTTTAAAGGAAGAGAATCCTAAACATAAATTCAGGGTAATAGTTACTCTCGGGCTGAAGGGTGAAAATCAGGAAAAAGGACAGAGGAGGAGCAGATGTTAGGGTCAGAACCCTAGTTCTTTGGTTGTGTTGTAAGTTGACAAGTGATTACCATATTGTTCAAATACATTTACACAGAGGCCCAGGCACAGACAAGGGTGAAATAGGAGCCAAGGTGTACTATGAGCCAAGGATTATGATTAATCCAATTTTGTGCACTTAAGCCATTTGAAAAACAGAAAAGCAAAACAACAAAATAATTTTTAAGAAATTGAATATAGGGTGCTATGCTCTGAATGTGTCCCCCTAAAATTAATCACAAATGTCATAGGATTAGGAAGTAGGGCTTTTAGGTAGTGATTCAGTCATGAAGGGAGAGTCTTCACAAATGGGTGTAGGATCCTTACACAAGGACTGGAGGGAGTGGGCTTCCCCTGTTTTACCCTTCCGCCTTCTGCCATGTGAGGACACAGTGCCTCTCCTCCTGAAGACACAGTGCACAAGGTACCATCTTGGATGCAGAGACCAGGCCCTCACCAGACACCAATCCTGCTGGCACCTTGATCTTGGACTTCTAGCCTATGGAACTGTGAGAAATACATTTCTGTTCTTCAGAAATTACCCAGCCTAGTGTATTTTCTTATATAGAAGCACAAACTCATTAAGGCACAATGCCTCTTGTCATTTTCTTCTACAATTTTCTTTGTGGCCTCTTTAGCACTGGGTCATTTTATATTTGCTCCTTCATAATATCTCTTACTTTCGGTTTTTCACATTTCTGTTCCAAGTGTATTCTTAGATACATATTTTCCACTATTAGTTAACCTCAGGGGTTGCCTGGGAATGTGTGTTTCTGTGCCACCACTGTAGGACTGTGTGTGTGTGTGTGTCTCCCATTCTCTCTTCTCTCTCTGTCTCTCACCCTCTGTGTGTTTCTTTCCCTCTCTCTGTTGGTCTGTGTGTGTGTGTGTTTGTGTGTGCATGTCTGTGTGTGTGTGTGTCTTTGGACGAATGTGCTCTGTTTGCCAAAATGCGATTTTTTGCATGTCGGCCAGTCTTTGTTGAGCCTCTTTCTGTGTCTCTGTCTGGGTCCCGTGGCCGGTTGTCCATCGTTTTCACGGCGGTTCCACTTTGGGTTTGTGAAGTCCTCGATCACGTGAGGAGATGCGTCGGTCCCGGAGCAATCGAAGTCTCATCCCCATCCTGAGCGGCCTCTTTTCTAGGATCAAGAGGACCACACTCCAACCCAGGACAAAACCCCACAGCAGCTCATTGTCCGGCAGGAGAGGAGCAGACACACCTCCAAGAAGATGGTTGTACCCCTGCACGGCTCTTCTCTGAGCAATGAAGCCACACCACGATACAATTCTGAAGAGGAAGCCGGGAATGGGAGACGGCAACAATCCCTGTCCCTGGAATGCTGGCCTCTCTGGACAAGTCATGCGTTTCGCACCCCTCCCCTTATGCCTGTGGCGGTGGCAAGGTTCTGTAACCTGCCTGGGCTCTGGCCTGTGCTCTGTCCTCCCTCTTGCTCTGTCTCCCCTGTTTCTGAGGGGCCTAGTTGCCTCTTGATCTGGCTGAATAAATTCTACGAAGATCGCTTCCCAGTCCATCAGGGAGACACTTTCTGGAGATCCGCGACATGACTCTTTCTCTCTCCAAACCTGTTTCTGCTGGATTGGGCAGGTCTGATAAGCCTGGAACACTTGGCTTCCATGCGTGTCTCAGACAGGGAAGCTTCTTTGGTCTCCTTGTTTCACCTCATCGGTGGGTGGATTGCCTAGAATGAGCGCTAGGTGATCATGACTGGCCTTGTCTTCTAAGACAGGTGGTGTCCCATTTCCTTTGCACGTCCTGTCTCACAAATGAGGGATATCCTCTCCTCTGCTCATAGGTGGACTGATTCCCTGAATCTTTTGTCTGTAACGAATGTCAGGAAACCAAAGGAACTGGGCTGGGCCTGGGGATGGGGTTGGGGCCGGTTGCAGGGAAGTTGCATCAGGGCTACCTGGGCGGTGGAGGCTTCGGGGTAGGGTGAATGTTGCAGAAACCTCTGTGCTCCTCTGGCAGGCATTTCAAAATGTGGCTTGGACTGAGGCAAAGGCCCCGTCCAGGTTCCCAGGTCTTCTTTGAGTTCCCTTGGCACTCAGGGAAAGGCCACTTGTTCCCCCTTTCCACCGGGCACATGCCTGGACACCATTGTTGGTTTTGCCATCACCCCATATGCCTCCGGTGACACACATTCACACCATCTGCTGTGGGATACGCCAGTGCCACGCGTGATCGCATTGTCTCCACCTCGGCTTCGCACCATCCCTGTTTGCACCTGTCCTGGAAAGCGGTGTCCGCTTGCAGGAGCCCCAGGGCTTTTAGAAGTGGGGCACGCCACTGCTCTTTCAACGGAGGAGGGAGGCAGAGGGCTCACAGATCAGTGAACTTTCAGCTGACACCACGCCTTGAGGGCCATGGGATCATTCTGTGCTGCAGCGACGACCTGCCTGCCTCACCAGATGTGCTGAGCCCATCCTTTCTAACCCGGAGGGGTCAAAACTAGGATCTGAAGAGGAGTCCTGAGAACCCAGCAGGCACCCTGAAGATCCCCCTCCATCGGCGGAAGTCGGCTCAAGGATGTCTTGAAGATTGGACTCCTGGGGGTTTGGCCCTGGGACAGGATACTCAAGGACTCCTCTCCCACCCCGCCCCAAACTGGACCTCAGCCCCCACGCCACAGCCCCCACTTTCTCCCCAGAGCTGAGGGACAGACAGAGAATTGCGACTAGAAATTCGATCGATTGGTACGAGGGACCACGTGGCCAGGGGCTGGCCAATGACCAGGCCGCCCGGGATGAGCTAATAATGGAAGCAATTTGTAACTTTCAGTAGCTCTCTAGGCCTGGGTACCGGAGGGAGGGAGGCGGGCAGAGGAGGGGAGATGGGCACCCCCAGTCTTTCCATCCTCCTCATTCGTCTAGGGGCACCCGAATCCCCTATTCCTTATTTCCCCTATCACTCAGGCACTGGCAGGGTCCTTTGCCCACTCCTGTTGGCCGCTGCGGCTCCAAAGCGAGGTAAGCTGGTCCTCTACCCCTCAAACTCTTCACAACCCTCATCCCGTTTACTAGCACCTGCAAACCACAGCCTCCCTTCTTGTCCCATTAGTGAATTTAAATCGGATTTTGTTTTTCCTCTTAGTTGAAAGAAAAATAATCTTTTTGTATTCTTTTGCGTAACCTATCTCGGATTTGGAGAAAATTTTAATTCAAATTAATACGCTTATATTGGGGGGGTGAGTGGTACTTTCCTCCTTTTCAATAAATTTCTATACTTGCTACTTTATGGAGAGTTTACTTTTCTTTGGGGATGAGTTACACCTTATGTTTTCACATGTGTTACTTCTTTAATGATAAGTTCAACTCTTTTCTCCATTCCATCCTCCAATTTTGCTATTTATAAATATCACCTAATGGATTTAGAGTTTATTCATTTTTCTCCTCCCTCACTAGTTTTTCAGCTGTTACAGAATCACCACAATTTATTTTTCTCTGTATGTGGATGAGGTTTTGTGTTGATTCCTATTTTGTTTTGTAAATGAATTTATTGTTTGGGAAACTCTTGGGGGATGTGTGTGTAACAAAGGTCTCTTGATTAATTCCAACCTCTCCTCTTCTGAAGAACAATTTGCTTGAAATGTTTTGAGTATTTTCCTCATTTTTATTATGTCTAAATTTGAGGTATTTTACCTTCTTTAAAACCTGGCCTCTTTTTAAAATTTAACCTTTTGCATGTTAAACCATTTTTAAGGTTTTTATTTTATAAACTGCAATGATTAGTAGATTTACTTGCCTTTCCCTGACCTCCTTCACACGCCTGCCTCCTCCATCTCAAAACTCCCATCCCCAGCTTCCACAATTCTCAGCTTCCAATGGACTCATCCTCCCCTCTCCTCCCAGCCAAGGAGGGATGCCTGGGAAGTAGACAGTGTCCTTCTTGGGTCAGAACCTATGCTCTGGTTCTAGTTCAGGACACCTCCAGTCTGACCTCCAAGCCGGCAAAACGAGTGAGAGAAGAATTTCTGCTCAACTTTTTCATTTGGGACTAAGTTCTTTCCACTTGGCTGTATTCTGGAGAACTCTGATACATGAAATTGAATTTTAAATTCTCATTTTTTCCCTAAATTCTAAGAAAAGTGCAGGCAGATTGTTTTTCTTCCTTAAATGTAAGCTGTTAGCTTAGGGGTCAGCCCTTTGGGTCTTTTATCTCCTGAGGGAGACTTCTCAGAGAGACACACAGTGTTGATTCTTCCTTTTAGTTTTGGGTAAGGTAGAAGGGGCAGGGACTGGGGAAGCCCATATTGATCTCTGGCTCTAGCTCTGAACAAAGAAGGGTAGAGAGCTGGCCTGGGGACTTGTCCCTTTGGTCAGTAAGGTTTGGCTTAGGAGAGAGTTTGAAGTAAATCCCAGCTCTGAGGAAATTCTTCTTTTTAGCATTACTGTGAAAATAAACTCTTAAAATGGTGTGACATGGCGTCAAACTATTCAGATTCCTTGAAGTAACAAAAATAAACTTACAAGAGTAATTTATGTTTCCCAAAGATCCGCCTCCAGTGACTGTCCATTTCTCTCAGGGAAACAGAACCCAACTGGGCAGAAGTAAAACTGCCACCCCTCCCCTTTCAGTTCCCCAGTCACATTGACATTCTGGGCACATTTGGCCCAGCCCTCATCCCTGCTTCTCCCAAGTATGAATCTAAATTACTATTAATAAGGGGCCGCTCCAAGTTAATTGGCATTAAAAGAATTCATTTCAATTTGTTAATATTAAATGAATGCTCTGCACTTTAGCTCCCTTCTTCGCCCTGGATTCCCAGATGAGTGATGGGAAGAAGGGGCAGGGAAGTAGAATGAGGATTTTATTTCTGGCTCTCCAGCTTAGCCACTGTGGTGCCTCCCCTGGGGGTGTGCAATCAGGCACAGTGGGGGCCTGCTTGGGGAAGGTCTGATGGTCTTTTTTGGTGAAATTCATCTGTTTTAGCAGGAGTTGTGGGGGAGGGTGGGTGGGGAGCAGAGGGAGAGGGACAGAATGGTTTGGGGGACTTTGTGGGGAGCAGAGGGTCTAGGGAGAAAGTGGGAAGGGAAAGGGACGGAGGTCAACAGGAGTTTTGGAGAACAAGGGTTGTAGGCTGTGGGGGGTAAAGCCGATTTGTGAAGAACTGGTGATAGGAACTAAAACAACCCACCTAGAAGGGGAGGGGCTTTGAGCAGGGGTGGGGAGGTGGGATTTGAGGCAAAACAGCTAGGAGTTCTGAAACTATTAATATCTAGCTGTGTGACTCAGGGCAAGTTGCTTAACTTTTCTCTCTGCCTTAGTTTCTTGACCTGTAAAACAGGGATACCAATAATAGAACTTATCTCAGGGGGTTATTTGGAATTAGAGGAAATACATGCCATGTGTTTTCCACAGTGCTTGACACATAGAACCTGCCAGTAAATGTTAGCTCTTTTTATGGCAGAGTGGTTAACAGGATGGATTCTGGAGCTAGACGGCCTGGTTTTGAATCTCAGTCATGCCTTATGTGAGTTGTATGACCTAGGCAAGTTACTTAACCCCTTGTGCTTTAGTTTCCTTGTCTGTAAAATGGGGTTAATAGTACCTAGCTCAAAGGCTGCTGTCAGGATTAAATGAGTTATATGTACGAAGAGCCTGGAACAATGCCCATCCCATAGGAAACACTATGTAAGCATTAGTTGTCACTGATATTGTTGCTCTTCTGATCTAGGAAGGTTGAAAATAGAGGCACAGGTGAGCTACTACTTACAGGCTAAGACTGGAATCAGATCAACTCTTTCACTCCTATCCCTGAAGCTAGTCCTGCAACTGGGGCTGCATATGAGGGCTTGGGGAGAGATCCTATAACCCTGGAATCTGGGATATCCAAGTCCTTCCTCTGCTCTAGCTCTTGGGTTGGTGGTCCCTCCAAGACCCATAGACTCGAAGTCACTTCTTTTTCCCTCAGCAGGGTTGGGGTGGGGCTGGTAATGGGAGAATTACTTTCTTGGTCTGATAACTCCCTTTAGTAGAGAGTTAGTCCTGGGAGTGTGAGTTGGGGGAGGTTGGGTAGAGCAGAGGAGATTAAATATCCTTTATGTACCAGCCCACACACACTTGACCTCACCAGAGGGTTGGGAAGACAGAGATTCAAAGAGGGGAAGTGATCTGACAAAGTCCTAAAGCTAGAACTTGGCAGAGTTGGCATGTGAACTCTGATCTGCTTGATGGCAAACTTAAAGCCCTTCCATTGCTGCATGCTTTTTGAAGGGAGAAATGGGACACGTGTAAACTTGGGCCAGGACCATGGGGTAGATGGAAGATGGGCGAAGATAGAGTATTGGAGTGGGAAGTGGCCAAGCAGGAATGTTTCAATCATGGAAGATTTCCTGAGAAAAGAGATTCCACATCAGGGTTCAGATGGTAGGGGAATGAGGATAGGAAGTAAAGAAGAGGGAGGGAGCCATGCATTGACAAGGAAGGAGAAGAAAAAACAATTTATGCAAAGGCTGGGTCAGAGTAATGGACATGAATTCAATTTGCCTTGGGTTTGCCTTACCATTTATTGAAGGCATACTATGTACTAGGTACATACATGATCACATTTGATGTTCACAACAGCCCTGACAAGTGGGTTTCTTATCCCTATTTCCAAAAGAGTTCATTGAAGTTCTGAGAGCTTAATCCCCGCTTTAGGTTACACAGTAGTAGCTGGATTTCCTGGCATCAGAACCCTCACCTACGCTGCCTCTGAGCATGGCTTCTGTGCCCCAGTCTCAATTTCCATGACTGTTTCAAGTCCTCCTGTTCCCCCGCATTTGTAGTCATTCTTGGTGACTGGGAACGAAGGGCTAGAGCGTGAGCTGAAACTGAGACAGGGAGTGGCAGGCAGGCAGTGGGGACAGAAACTTTTCTCAAATCCACCCATGTGAAGAAGATGGACAGAAGGGTGGTCTTTCTGGAGAGAGGCTTCCAAGCCACTTTCCCAAGAAAGACAGCTGATCTTGGGATAAATGGCAGGGACCTGATTGGGTAGGGGATGGGTGGTCACATTGTTTTCTGGGCTGTAGACTTTATTTCCCTTCCTTTGGGAAGAGAAGAGGAAGAGGACAGCTCAGGTGTGGGTTTGAGCCCTGGATTAAGACTGCCCATTGTCCACTAAAATCTCTTCTTTCCTTGCTGCACGAGGGTGGAGGGACACCCAGCTGGACACTCCATTTCCCAGCTGCTCTTATTGCCAGGTGTAGACACAGGGGAATGTGAGGTGAGCATGTCCTCAAAGCCTGACGGATTGGGTAAATTCTCCTTTGTGTTCTCTCTTTCATGAGCTGGGCAGATGTGCCTGAGACAGGTTTGACCAGGCAACTGAAAAGACATCCCTAAGAGAAGACAAAGCAAAGGTATGAAAGGAACACACGTCCCTGACTGACTAGGAGGAACAGAGCTGCCTGCTATCTGGAACAACTTCCTCCCAGACTAAGTGAGAAATAAACTTCTGTTTTCTATATGCTACTGTGTTTGGGGGCCTTTGTGTTATAGAAGTTTTGCTGTCATCCTTTCCAATTCACCTTCTCACACCAGATATTTCAAATTAAGAAGATTATATCAGGCCAGGTGCCATGGCTCATGCCTGTAATCCCAGCACTGTGTGGGGCTGAGGCAGGTGGATCACTTGAGGCCAGGAGTTCGAGACCAGTCTGGCCAACATGGTAAAACCCCATCTCTACTAAAAAATACAAAAATTAGCTGGACACAGTGGCACACTCCTGTAATCCCAGCTACTTGGGAGGCTGAGACAGGAGAATTGCTTGAACCCAGGAGGCGGAGGTTGCAGTGACCCGAGATCATGCCACTGTGCACCAGTCTGGGCTACAAAATGAGATTCTGTCTCAAAATAAAAAACTGATTACATCAGATCACGGAATAACTATAATAATATTTATTGGGCCAGATAGTATGCAAAGGACTCTATGCACATTATTTAGTGTAATCTATGTGACAATCCTCTGAGATATGTGTTACTATTCCAATTTAAACAAGAGGAAACAGGTTCAAGGAAGGTAAGTTATGTGCTGAGGGACACACAAGAGGGGGTGGAGCTGGATTTCAAGCCCACTGGGTGTACAGAACTGAGCCTTTTCACCATGGGGGCAAATCCCTCCTGAGGACAGGGCTGGAAAGGCCATGGAGATCATCTTGTGCTTGGACAAGCCTCTCACCAGTCACCACAGGGCCCTGACTCCCATTCCTACCTTCAAGAAGCTCAGCAGGCTACTACTCGTGTTCATGTTGGGTCACTACATACGGTTTTATTTGAAGGAAGGACCCCAGAGTTAAACTCATTTGAAAACCCCTGATAAATTCAGTCCCCTCCCTCTTTTTACAGGTGAGGCCCGGAGAGAAGATATGACTTGCTTAAGGTCACACACTTAGTTTCTCTGTCAATCTTTCTAAATCTAGGACGAGTTCTCTTCCCACTGTATCAGGCTGCCTCAACAAACAGGGAAGTACAAAAATAGCCAAATCCAGGAAGGAGGGCAAGTGGTCTGTGTCTCCTCCAATTATTTCATGGGACAGCCAAGCCTATTTTCTTGATTTCCCTTGTGCCCCTCCTGTCGGATATCTGCTTTGGGACCCATCTCTTTTGGGCTTGCAGAGAGAACGGGCTGCACCAGCTCTCTACCCTCTGCATCACCCAGATGGTCAAACATGCAAAGGGAAAGGAGAGCTGGGGCCAGAGTCAAGGCAGGCAAAGAGACTCTTCAACCCCCTCCAGTCTTTCCACATTTATATTTTTGGAATTTCAGGCTCCCTCCTCCCCCGGGACCTTTCCTAGTAGCCCACCAGGGAGAAGAAGAGGGAAAACTGTCATAAATTTCTCCTATTTATACAAGATGACAGAGTTTCTTGTGCCAGAAAAAACACAGAAAGGGAGCTGTCAGGGGAGAAGGGACCCAGCCCTATATCTTCTGGGGTCAATTTATCTTTCTGAATCATGGCTTGGGGGCTACCCTAACATTGCCTGTATGAAATGCAGGCTTTGACTTGGGGCAGCCAGGCCAGACAGCCCCTGAGCTTTGTTTCTGATCACAGTTTTCCTGCTTCATCTCAACTTCCCCCTACCCCTTACGCTGTCTTTTTAAAAAACAACCTTCTTGAGGTATAATTCATGTGTCATACAATTCACCATTTGAAATGTACAATTCAATGGTTTTAGTATATTCACAGGTATGCCAAACCATCACCATAGTTAATTTTAGAACATTTTCATCACCTCAAAAAGAGATCTTGTAACCTTTAGCTATCACCTCCCTATCCCCCCATATTCCTTCTTGCCCTTAACAATACTAATGTACTTTCAGTCTCTGTAGATTTCCCTATTCCGGACTTTCATATGAATGGCATCATATAATAAGAGACCTACTGTGACTAGCTTCTTTCATTGAGCATAGTGTTTTCAAGGTTCATCCATGTTGTGGCATTTATCAGTACTTCATTCCTTTTCAAGGCTGACTAATATTCCATTGTATGGATATATCACACTTTGTTTATCCGTTCATCTATTGGTGAACATTTGGGTTTTTTCCACCTTTTGGATATTATGATTCTCTCTTTCCTCTTATTGTCTAGACATCTTGGATAGTATCCAGTGAGGCCTGTGGGCAAGAATGGGTGTTTCTTATATTTGGGAACACCTAATATCCATGAAAGCAGGGTCTTGGCACATGTCTGCTTTCATATTAAGTATATGTACTAGCTGGAATTTTCCTCCCTCTGTTGTTACTGAGTTGGGGCTGCTCCCTCCTTTATCAATTCTCCCTTTTTATCATGATTGCTGTGTTGGAAACTTGCTGACTCTTCAGACTAGGGGATTCAGATCCTTCTCTTGGGGCTTCAGAGACATGGAGTGGATGAATGAATGTCTTCCCATGAGGGAGGAGTTCCCTGAGTCTGGTCTCAAGTGATTATCCAGTGCCTCACAGTGGAAGGAAGGTCTGTGAAGACTCCAGGGTCGAGGGAAAGTTATGTTCTTGGAGGTATGACTGAGCCCAGAATCCAGGCCTCCAGTGTCCATCTCCTTGCCTGGCCCATTTCAGTCTTCAGACATGCTTTGAGGTCAATCCAGTCACTCACCCAGCAACAGACACTGCCTCTGCCCTCATGGACCTTGCAGTTCTAGTGGTGAGAGTAAGATGAATACAAGTGAACAAAATGATGGCAAGTTGTTCAAGCTTGTTCAAACTTCTAAACACTGTTCAATGAATGAATGAACCAACAAGAACTTACTATGTGCTCTGGAAAGAAAATGTGAAAAATGTCGAGTTGTAAATCACTTTCTGCTACCGCTACCTTTCCTAGTCTGGAAGTCAGCATTACTTCTCCATCCCTTGGAGGAGATAGTGGGCAGATATTACAAAATGTTAGCTAAAAAGAGCTACCATTTATTGGACCAGACATACACCAAGGGGTTTCTATAGTTCATTAATTTTCACCCTTTGAATTAGGCATCAATATTTCCATTTTGAAGATGAGAAAAACCGCAACTCAGGGTTTAAGTAGCTATCTGAAATCACACCCATAGCAGTAAGTGGCAGAACATTTGCTCTGGACACTGGGATAAGTATGTGTGTATGGGTTTTTTTGTTGTTTTTTGTTTTCTGTTTTTGTTGTTGTTGTTGTTTGTTTGTTTTTGGGATGGAGTTTGGCTCTTGTTGCCAAGGCTGGAGTGCAATGGCATGATTTCAGCTCAATGCAACCTCCACCTCCTGGGTTCAAGTGATTCTCCTGCCTCAGCCTCCTGAGTAGCTGGGATTACAGGTGCCCACCACCACTCCTGGCTAATTTTTGTATTTTTAGTAGAGACGGGGTTTCGCCATGTTGGCCAGGCTGGTCCCAAACTCTTGACCTTGTGATCCGCCCGCCCCGACCTCCCAAAGTGCTGGGATTACAGGCGTGAGCCACTGCACCCGGCCATGTATGTGTTTTTATGCCTAGCACTTCATAACAAATGCCAACATCTCTTCCTGCGGCCCTACCACAGAGGGAGCTGATCAGTTTCCCCTCCTGCCCAAAGGCAAAGCAGCCACAGTGGAAGTGCCTGAGTCCTCCCTCACAGCCTTCTGTCTAGTGGTTATTCCCGCTTCAAGGCTAAGGAAGGGAAGGACCCGTTTTGCCTTCAAAGGCTTTTTCCTTCCAGCCCTTGCTGTGCAGCCCGTTGTGTGTGGGAGGAACCATGAGAGGCCTGGATATTGTCAACAAAAGACTTGAACAAGCCAAAGAGCTGATTATGTTGACAAGAAGGGGACCTTAACAAGGCAGATAATCAAAAGTTGATGACTGACAGCCTCTTTCGCATCCCTTCACCCTCTACTAAATCAGGTCTCTTACATGATCTTGATGACAAATAATAAAAATTATAAACACATTACAGTTTTCACATGCATTTGTTCACTTCTCACAGCAAATATGAGATTTATCTAAGGCTGAGCAGCTTATTACAGAAAAAAGTTTATGGGACTAGAACCTTAATTTTATGTAACAAAATTTATATAGAGCTTACCATGGATCATGTACTCTCCTAAATAGTTCAAAACTTTCATTTTTAGAGAGATGGGTGTCTTGCAGCCAGGCGCAGTGGCTCACACCTGTAATCCCAGCACTTTGGGACGCCGAGGTGGACAGATCACCTGAGGTCAGGAGTTCGAGACCAGCCTGACCAACATGGTGAAACCCCATCTCTACTAAAAATGCAAAACACAAAAATTAGCTGGGTGTGGTGGTTCATCCCTGGAATCCGGAGACTGAGGCAAGAGAATCACTTGAATCCAGGAGGTGGAGGTTGCAGTGAGCTGAGATCATGCCATTGCACTCCAGCCTGGGCAACAAGAGTGAAACTCCATCTCAAAATAAAAAGTGGGGGAGCAGTCTTGCTATGTTACCCAGGCTGGTCTTGAACTCCTGGGTGCAAGCAATCCTTCCACCTCAGCCTTCTGAGTAGCAGGACTATGGGCCCATGCCACCAGGCCTGGCTGTATCTCATAACTATTAACTCATCTACTTTTTCACCACCATGTGAAGTAGGCATTACTGTTATTCACATTTTTTAAGATGCAGAAACTGAGGCATGGTAATCAAGTATCTTACCCAAGGTTGTACAGCCAGCATGTGGTAGAACAGGCATCTTGAGCCCAGCCCCAGCATCTGTAACCACTTCGCAAGGTGGGCATCGCCTGGGGACTACACTTGAAACTCTAGTTTGTTAGTCTGGTGCCCCTGCTTCCGCCTGCCTCCCTCAGTCTTTATGGCCCATTGGAAAAAGTAAGCCAGAGCTGTGGCTCCCAGGGTGACGATCCTTCAGCTGCATCCTTGGCACTGTCATTCCCTCCCCCCATCTCCCACCAAGGGCTACAGCCGAGAATACCACAGACGGTTTGCCATGGATCAAGATTTCTCTCAAGAAAGAGCTCACAGGCCGGGCGCGGTGGCTCACGCCTGTAATCCCAGCACTTTGGGAGGCCGAGGCGGGCGGATCACGAGGTCAGGAGATCGAGACCATCCTGGCTAACACAGTGAAACCCCGTCTCTACTAAAAAAACACAAAAAAATTAGCCGGGCGTGGTGGCGGGCGTCTGTAGTCCCAGCTACGCGGGAGGCTGAGGCAGGAGAATGGCGTGAACCCGGGAGGCGGAGCTTGCAGTGAGCCGAGATCGCGCCACTGCACTCCAGCCTGGGCGACAGAGCGAGACTCCGTCTCAAAAAAAAAAAAAAAAAAAAAAAAGAAAGAGCTCACAGAAAGGCTGCTGTGAGAAAGGAAGTCACTTGCTACTCCCCTCATTCCTCCATCAGGAGGAGCTAGATGAGGTCACTGTACATTTGAGTGGGTGCTATCAAAGCACAGCCTCTGGCCAGCGTGGAGGCAAATGTGGGCTGTGTGGCCCGTGACTCAGTGGCTGAAAGGAAACCTGAGGTGGTAGGTGATGGAACTGATTGAAATAAAACTTCTGTAGGAATGCTGCATGCCATTCATTCAACAGTGCTCCCTGACCAGGGCCCAGGGCTGTGCATATGAGCTGCAAATGGGTTTGTTCATTCATTTACATATCTATTTGCTTATTTATTCAATAAATTCTGATTATGCCCCTAAGAGGCACTGTGCTAGATATCAAGGAAGAACAAGACAAAATCCCTTCCCCACAAGGGCTCCCGGTCTAGAGAGGGGAGGAGGAAGGGAGATCCACAGTGATTTGTATCATATGCTGAGGAAAGAGAGTCATTTACTATCATCGTTTGACATCCTCACCCCCAGTGCAGTCCTTCTCTTTGTCTCTCCATGCTGGGAGTGGGCAGTCCCTGCTCTGCTGCCCTTCAGACACAGCCCTCTTCCCTCAAGCTGCCCTCTGCCTGGATCCCACCTTCCTTGTGAGCTGGAGTATTTGCTTGTGGGAGTCTTGACTCTCCTTCCCTGTCAGTCACTGTTTGGCTGCAGGCAGTGACAGTGGTGGCAATAAAGCAGCAGAGAGGAGGCTTTGGTATCAAGCAGGGACTCACGGGTGGGATGGGACGGGGATGGTTTTATGTTTGCCCCACTGTGTTCTCTGTGCTGCTCTGCCCAGGGAGGCTGACCTCTGCAGACTGTGTCACATGGGCCCCCTGATCTCTCGGCCAATAGAGTTCCCGGCTGAGAAGGGGGAGAGAGGAGTCAGGGTATTTGTTTCCTCCATTCCCTGTCAGCCCCCCTTTTTGCCTGCTTGAAGCTCTGGTGGTGGTTGTGTTTCCTCCTTGGTCACAGTTTTGCTGAGTGGCCTCTCTCCTGTGTCCCGTGAGCCCAGTTGGCATTGGGCTTTGGTAGAGATATTTCTATCCTGGTGCCACACTAGCCCTTATTAGTTTTCTTCATCTGGTCTATGCCTTTAGAAACTGCCACATCACTAAACCCTTCAGTGAAACCCTCTCGAATGTGTCATTTATTTTCTGTTGCCACCCTGACTGGCTCACCTGGGTGCAGAGGAGGTGGGGACAGAGCAGGTTGGGGCTCCAGTTCAGCTTTGTTATCCCTCTTTTTCAGGGTTTCCCAGAGGAAGAGAGAGAATTTGGACAAATGAATGAGGAACAATGCTCTCCTGAGAGTTTCTTTAAGGGGCGAGGGTCACTGCCACTAGCTCCTTTGAAAGCAGAATTAAGAGGCAGTGCAGGAAGGCACAGCAGGAAGGCTTATGGTTAGACTACAGAGAAGGAAACAGCCACTGCTGGGGACCTACCCTGTGCTGGTCACTGACAAGCTGTCTCATTAAACCTTCCCAGACCCTCAACCCCTCCTAGTATCTTATCCTCATTTTACAGATGAGAAGACTGTGGCCCAGAGAGGTAAAGATCTGGGGAGCAGGATGGGAGCTTCACTTTGTCTCAGTTGCTCTGGCAAAGAGAAGCCTCACCTTGTGATCAAGGGATTGGGAGGGTGACAGATAAATTTTGGCTTAAGTGTCAGCATAGCACTGGGAATCTGGAGCTAGATGGCACTGGCTTGACTCCTTGGATCTGCCTCTTACTGGCTGTGTGATACTGGGCATGCCTCTGTTTCCCCATCTATAAAAATGGGGCTAATGATAACAACACCTGCCTTACAGGTTGTGTAGAAGGTTGAATTTGTAGTTGTGAGGTGCCCAGGAACAGTGCTGGCACACAGTGAGCGCCATACACAAGTGTTAAAGAATGGAGCCTCCTGCTCTCTCCTTATTTTCCACCCCCTGCCCTCTTCTCATTGCCCACCTCCCCTGCCTTCTCCTCACCATCCTGAAAAAGGGTGAACAGCCACCCAGGAGCCCCTGAACGGGCATGTTGGTCCCAGGCCCTTTGTGAGCATGCTTTTCCCTGCCCTGCCCCCTGTCATCACCATTCTGGATGGAGCAGCAAGGACGGAGACACTTAGTTGGGCTGTCCACTCCAGGTCCAATGCCAGTGGGATCAGCTTTGATGGGATGCACACAGACTGACCTCTTCTCCCCAGCCCCTTCAACTTCCCAGAGCTGCAGGGGGCCTGGGAGTTCTTGGTAACAGCACATTAAACCTCTGTTTGTGGGAACTTTAATTTAAACACAAATCAGAGATGGCAAATGACTCTGGCAGCCAGATAAGCCATCCCGGGAGAGCAAGGAGAAAGCCAAGAGAATCAGCCCAGATGAGTCCTGACTTTAAACTACTGGTGATACCCAGAAGCCTGGGACAGATGAAATCTAGGGGTCCTGAATGAAGAACCCCAGAAGCTCCACACCCCAGTTGTCCTTGCTCTGGGCTCTATGCCAGCTCCCTCTCCTGTGTTCTCTATATTTCTATCTTTTTGCAAAATTCTAACCTGATTCTTTGGCTCCATCCCTCCCACCCCCACCCCACTGTTTTAGAGAATGCACTTTCTTTACTTTGCTTCTCATCTTCTTCTGTGACCTACTATTCTGAGAAAGTTCTACTTGTTACCTAACCTCCATCTATGCTACTACCTTTAGAGTCTAATACATCCTGCTTAGTGGTAGCTCTGGGAGTTTCTGTTCATGTGGCAAATGTGGTGTAGTAAAAACAACCTGAAAAAGACCTGGGTGAACTTCTCTGCATCTCAGTTTCCTCATCTGTATGATGAGTGTGTGAGAAAGAATCTCTAAGGACTTGTAAACTCTGACTTCTCACAGAGAATCTGAGGACAAGGACATCCCAGGAAATCTCTATTGTTCTGGAACCCATGAATTTTCCACTGTTCTACTGTTTGGGAGTGAGCGTGGGGAGAGCAGTCAAGCCTGTTGATTCCTTTCTGGAAGGGGTCTACAGGCTTTGCTTCCACCCCTCCGCCCACAACCCAGGCTTAGGCCAGGCCCAGGCCCAGGAGAGAGGATGCCTTTTCAGTTCTGTCAAGGCCTGCTGAGCCCAGCTCTGTGGGGCTGTGGCTGCTAAGATGTTGTCTCCATCCTCTGGGGTAGGAGCAACATATGTTCCCTCTGTCACAGCACCTGTGAGGGTGGCAGAGGGATGGCAACCCCCAAGAGGGCAGAGTTCCATCTCTCCAACTGACTTTGAAGCATCTTTTTATCCTGCTTTTCTGGGAGGCTTAAAGTGAAGGCGGAGGGAGATATCACACAGTCCCAAAGCCCCCACTAAATGGGGAGCTACTGTCTTTCATCTTTCATGCAGGGTAAAAGAAGACACCTTGGCTACAGCAAGAGGAAAGAAGGTCAAACCACAGGCAGAACTTTCAGGTTGAATGTTAGAGCAGACTGTGATCCCAAGAGATCATCCAAGACCCTTGGTCTCAGAGGATGCCTATGAGGCCCTGGTCCCTGGCTGGGGTGGGAACAATAATCTCAACAGCCCCATGCTAGACTGACTTGGGAGTCAGAAGGTCCCTGGGACTAGAATAGAAGGACTTTGGCATTTTCCCTGGCCTAGGGCCCTTAGACAGAAGTGGGCAGCTGCCATCAGGAGCCTGGGGCCCAGCTGTGTCCACACCTTGCCCGCCTCCCCCCTCCTGAGTGCCTGGCTGCCCCTGGAGCCCCAGGCTTGCCTGCCATCTGGGCAGCTCAGAGGAGAGCCCACTGCCAAGGGAGTGCCAGCGTTGATTTATGGCCCACAACCTTGGCAGGCTCAGGCTGTGTGCCCGAACTGCCTTTGCTCAGGGAAGAGATGCTCCTCTTAAAGGGACAGTGCAGAGGAATGCAGGAAAGTCCAGGACGAAAGCTTGGCAGGGGGCTGGCAAAAAAGACCTCCACCCATCAGCACTCTGGGTGACTGTCACTCCCTAGGGAAACTTCTCCCTAGGGAACCACCCATCATACATGTTATCATACCCTATCCTTTGTAGACTTGGCCCAACTGTAACATATTAATATGTTTACTGTCAGTCTCTCCCACTGGACTGTAATCTCTAGGAGGGTAGGAACCAGACCCATTGTGCTCATTCCTGAATATTCAGCACCAAACACAGTGCCTGGCGCCTAATAAGATCTCAGTAAGAATTTGTCAAGTGTAGGAAAGAATGAATAAATGAAGGTCCTTGTCCATGAGGTGGAGGGAAGCCCACGTGTCTTCTTAGTGCCTGCCATGGTTTCCGAGACCCTGCGGCATCTGCTGCTACCCCCAGGATCTCTCCCTCCAGGACCCTTCCTCACCCCTGTCATATCAACCCAGGACCAATGGGGCCAATCTTATCTGGATACCCTTGCCTTCCCACTTTCCTTGAGTCACCTTTCTTAAGTCCTTCACACAATGTTCTTTTCCTCCAATTTTCCTTCCTCCAAGATACTTTCTCAGATTACCTACAGCCTCAGTCCTGGATTCAGATACTCTTTCAGATAATCTTTTATTTTTTTATTTTTATTTTTATTTTTTATTTTTCTTGAGACAGAGGCTCCCTCTGTCACCCAGGTGGAAGTGCAGTGGCAGTCTTGGATCACTGCCACCTGTGTCTCCCAGGTTCAAGTGATTCTCCTGCCTCAGCCTCCAGAGTAGCTGGGATTACAGGCTTGTGCCACCATGCCCAGCTAATTTTTGTATTTTTAGTAGAGACGAGGTTTCATCACATTGGCCAGGCTGGTCTCGAACTCCCGACCTCAAATGATCTGCCCCCCTCAGCCTCCCAAAGTGGTGGGATTACAGGCATGAGCCACTGTGACTGGCCTATCCAGCAATATTTACTGAGTATCTACTATGCACTGGGCACAGGTTGCCAAGAATTCATGAATAAATGGAACAGGCATAATCCCTGAACTCAAGGACCATACATTTCAGAGAGTGAAACAGACAAAAAAATAAGTAAGCAAGTTAGCAAATAGATACATGCAATTTTGAGACCTGTTGTGAAGTGGGTAATCACAGACAGGGTGGAGCAGGGACCCTTTAAATTGGGTGGTCAGCTAGGCATGGTGGCTCACGCCTGTAATCCCAGCGCTTTGGAAGGCTGGGGCGGGCGGATCACCTGAAGTCAGGAGTTTGAGACCAGCCTCACCAACATGGAGAAACCCTGTCTCTACTAAAAATACAAAAATTAGCCAGACGTGGTGGCGCATGCCTATAATCCCAGCTACTTGGGAGGCTGAGGCAGGAGAATCGCTTGAACCCGGGAGGCGGAGATTGCCATGAGCTGAGATCGTGCCATTGCACTCCAGCCTGGGCAATAAGAGCAAAACTCCGTCTCAAAAAAACAAAATAAATAAAATAAAATAAAATAAAATAAAATAAAATAAAATAAAATAAATTGGGTGGTCAGAGAAAGTTTCTCTGAGGAAGTGACACTTGGGCTGAGGTTTGAAGAATGAGAGGGAGCCATGTAAAGAGTGAGGTAACAGCATTCTAGAAACAGTTCAGTCACCTGGGTGTGCACAGCAGCATTTGGGGGATGGGAGTGGGAGAGGAGCTTTCCCAAACTGCACTCTCCTATCTCTTTTACATTTTGAAAGCCCCTGCCCTTCTAATGTGGGAGGACCACTGCTTAAAATCTTTGGAGAAGCAGCCCTGGCCTTACCTGGAAGCTGGTTAGAAAACAGAGCTCAGGTGCCACCCCAGATCTACTGAGTCAGAATCTGCATTTTAACCAGGTCCCAGGTCATTTGTATGCACAGTGGTGTTTGAGAAGCAGTGTTTCAGGAAATACCTCACAGGAGGGATGGAGTGTGAGGACATCAGATGATGTGAGGTGGGTGGGGTTGGGGGGTTGGTTGCTGAAGAGTGGATTTGAATCAGAGATGGGGGTCTGAGTGTGTATATGTGCCTCTGTGTGTGTGTTCCTCCAGCCCTAATGACTGTGGGCTATATGAGGATGTGCATCTCCAAGCGCTTTTCCTTCCATGGGTGTGGAGTACCAGGGGATACATCTTTATCCCACTGTGACAATGCCCCCACTTCCACCTACAGCTGTGAGTCAAACAGAATCTGCCAACCTCTGGGCGGTGGGAGCATCTCGGAAGCAAGGCAAGGCAAGGAGATCCCTTGTTCCTGACCTCCGGCAATCCATTTTATTTGACCCGAGTCTCATAAAGGAGTCCTGATGAGCCCAATCGCTTGCTAATGGTTATGAGCCGAGACCTGGGGATTTATGGCTGAGGCCTCCGTGGCCACGAACAGGAGTAGGGCTACGCAAAGGAGGCCAGGCTGTGCATGGCTTCAGTTCATGGAGGCCTGTACCCAGAACCACCGCGGAGACTACCACACCCCCACCTCCAAATCTGGGGCAAAGAACATTGCCCTGGGTGGGGGAAGCTGGGCTAAGGAGAAAAAAGACCTCTGGCTGGAGATGTCCAGGGATGAAGGGTGAGTGTCTGGGAAACTGGTCTGACTTGGCTGGGTGGGGTGTAGGGGGAGATACTGGAGAAGTGAGTGGAAAGGGCACTGGAATTGGAGCCAGTCAAACTGGGGTTCAAATCCTGGATCTGTTTTGCACCCGTGTATGACACTGGACAAATCATGGCTCTCCCTGAGCCTCATTTTTCTCATCTGTAGATGGGAATTGTGACGCTATCTCATAGGTTTGTGAGAATTAAGTGAGGCCAGGTACGGTGGCTCATGCCTGTAATCTCAGCACTCTGGGAGGCCAAGGTAGGAGGATTTCTTGAGCCCAGGAGTTCAAGACCAGCCTGGGCAACATGCTGAAACCCTGTCTCTACAAAAATACAAAAATTAGCCAGGTGTGTTGGCATGTGCCTGAGGCTGATGTGGGAGCATTGCTTGAGCCCAGGAGCTTGAGACTGCAGTGGGCCATGATCATGTCACTGCACTCCAGCCTGGGTGACACAGTGAGATCCTATCGAGAGAGAGAGAATTAAATGAGATAATGTTTGTGAAAAGCACTTCGAATACCAATTGTATATATTTAAGTGGGTCAAGAGATTGGGATTCTAATTCCAACTCCACCACTAACTTTCTGGGATTCTAGCACTGGTTTTGTTACAAATGGCTTTTTTTTTTTTCCTGAGACAGGGTCGCACTCTGTCACCCAGACTGGAGTGCAGTGGTATGATCTCAGCTTGCTGCAACCTCTGCCTCCCAGGCTCAAGCAATTCCCCTGCCTCAGCCTCCTGAGTAACTGGGATTACAGGCATGCTCCACTACTGCCCGTTAATTTTTGTATTTTTAGTAGAGACAGGGTTTCGCCACGTTGGCCAGGCTGGTCTCGAACTCCTGACCTCAAATGATCCACCCGCCTTGGCCTCCCAAAGTGCTAGGATTTCAAGCGTGAGCCACCCCGCCCGCCCAGTTACCAATGGCTTTGTGACCTGGGGCACATCACAGACCCTTTCTAAGTCTTAGTTGCCCCACAGATACTAAGAGGGGACACAGTGCTCTTTTGGTTGCCTCCAGCTCTGATGTTTTGTAGTTCTAACGAGGAGTCCTTATTTGGAAATGGAACTTTGGAATGGTTTGGATCTCATTCTGGCCATAGAGAGGGCATCATTGCAACTGTGGCTTCAGGGCCAATGTGCGCTTAGGGGGGCTGAGTCAGAACAGCCCCCTCTTCCTCGATAGTGCCATCCTGTGAGTATAACCCCTGTATGGGTGTTGGACACAGTGTTGGGGAAGACTGTGCAACAGGGGTAAGTAGGAAAGGCCCTGTGGTAGGGGGTTAGCTGGGTATCCATGGAAATGCCTGAACTACTCATGCCTTTTGCACAAGTAGGTCTTCAAATAATCTCTTCTGCTTCCCTCTTTCCCACTCTTTCCCTGTCTAAGGTGTGTGGTGGTGGTGGTGGTGGTGGTGGTGGTGGTGGTGGTGTGTGTGTGTGTGTGTGTGTGTGTGTCTAACCTGATTGGGAGAGTAAGCCAAATGGAGTGAAGTGGAGAAACATCCCCAAAAGTCCCAGGTAGAGACCTAAGGATTCCTAAATCACAGTGCAGAACAGGGTCCTCTACCCTTTTCCCATTCTGGGAACATCCTGAAGCCAGTCATTGTGGGAGAGAGACATGATCCCCAACCCAGCCTCACAGACCCCACCCTTCTTCCACGCTTTGCCCTACCCTCCTTCCGTGTGCTTGTATCCTAACCTTAAGCCCTAGAGACTTCTAGGTACCCAGAGAGCAGCCTATTCAGTGATGTTTACTGAGCGCATGTTATGTGCCTTGCACTGGGCCTGGAGCAAGGGCTAAGGAGTGAAATTAGACCTGATCCCTGTCCTGAAGATGTCACAGCTGAGTAGGCAGAAAGACTTTAAACAGATAATGGCAACACGATGTGCTAAGGAACATCAATGTACAAGATAACAGGTAGTCTGTATTTATGGGAGAGGGAGGCATAAAAGAAGATGCTTCAGCTGCTTTCTAAACATGTTTGTCGTGGAACATTGAAAACATATGAAAACAGAGCAGTATAGTGTCCTCATCATGCAACTGCAACAATGGTCACACCAGGATCTTGGCGTGTCTATACTCCCACCCACGTTCCATACCCCACTGCACCATTACTTGGGGTGGAACTGGGTTGGTTTTGAAAGAGGAACAGCAATTCCCCAAGTAGAAAGTGCTGGAGGGAAAAGTTTGCAGGCAGAGGGGATGCTGTGCTCAGAAGCTTGAGCAGTGCCTGATGCTGGTACATCAAACCGAAGCTGAAGGAGTGGGACAAGATGCTTTGGCCCCCGTGCATTCTGGCCCTAATGCATCTGTCACACAGCATGCCCTGTGGCTCCTTTTGGAACTCGGGTCTCCAGGCAAGTCTTCGGAAGAGCCAGGTTAGCGCAGAGCCAGCCCTTTGAGTGCAGGGAGTGAGGAGGCACCGCTAAGACGGCGGGCCTTGGCTGGGCGTCCGCGGGGCTTTGGTGGGCCTAGAGCGCTAGGGACTGGCACGCACCAGCACTGAGGGGCAAAGCGGGCGCAGTCAGGCCCTCCACCCCGCGTCGGCACGCGGTCTTAAATATTACCCCGGAGTTTTCAATTATCTCTCCTTAATGGATTTGCAGGGGCTCTTTCATCAAGCGCGGGGTGGCTGGGTGTGGGGGTGCGGGGAGCGCGCGGCGAGGGCTGGAGCTGGGAAAATGGCCCATATTTCAATATTAAAGCCCTTTACGATCGTCAGCAGCATGAAAGATGCTGCAAATTAAACGGAGCCGCCCGCGCCAGCCTCTCCATCTCGCAAGTTTTAATTAACGCTGAGGGGGAGGCGGCTGACGGGCGGGTCGGAGCCGGGCCAGCGGCGGATCTGGGAGCCTGCGGATCCCAGATTCCGAACTGGAGCGTCAGGGATCTAGCGGGCCAGGCCAGGCGGAGGCGGAGGGTGGTGGGCTCCGAGTCCCGGGCGAGGGCGCGGAAGATGCCCGTGGAGATGGGCAAGGCTGAGGGGTGGGGGACAGGTTGGAAGGTCTCTGAGCATCTGACCGGGAAACAAAACTCTGCAACTGAATGCAGGAAGCTTTGTTCTTAAAGGTGAGGGGGCTTGTGGCCAAATCATCGAGCTCTTCATCCCCAGGCTCCTTCAGCGCGCGTCCTTCTGCCTCTCTTCTTTCGACCAGCACTTCCCCCAAACGCTCCCCCGCGTTGATTCCCGGTCCCCTCCCACCTCATCCTGTGGCTCCTTGTTTCGGGACGCAGTTGTGCTTCTGTGACCCCGCGGCTCCTGTTCTGGGACGTCTGCTTTCTCCATCACTCCCTGGCTTCCCGGGCGGGCCCCATCCTCCTGAGCGGAGCGGAGCAGCGCGCACAGAAGCGCCACTGTTCTGCCTTGGCAGGGCCTGGCCCGACAGCTTGTGCCTGCGCAGCAGACCCATCCGTCAGGCGGGAAGGATGGAGCGACGTCCGGCTGCCCGCTCTGAGGACTCCCCAGGGAGACACATCTGGCCTTGGCCCAGACTCCTCTCTTCCCTTCTCCCAACCCGCCAACCCTTCCCCCAAATACCAGCTCAGTATATACTTCTGTCTCTCCTCCTTTCCTTGCTTCTCCTCCTCCCTCCCATACACATGCAGCCTGGGGCCTGGGGCCCAGGAGAGCTACTCCTCTCATGGGTCACACTGAGAAGTCCTTCCTCCACCTGCATCCACATGGCAGGGCATAACTCTAAAGCTTAAAAAGATCCAGCGATCTCAGTGGACCACAATCCAAAGCTAAGTCAGCCAATCAACACTCAAGGGCTTAAATCAAGGACTTTGGGCAAACCCTATAGAGTGGAGGAATTAGAAAAATAATACAAATAAAAGACATGGTCATTATTCCTGGGTATTTACAGATACTTCTTTGTGCTTCCTGAAATGTTTTGCAGAAATCACATTCTCCTCTCATTGTGCTACACAGCTTGTAAGCACCAAGACAAGAAATTCTATGATAAAGCAAAAAGAAAAGAAAAGAAAAAAATCCTCTTCTACTTTCTTCTTGGTGTGTATTTTTTCTTGTCAATTTCTGATAATCTATCAAGCCTACTTAAAATAGTGCCTGCTTATGCAGTATGGTTAGGATGATGAACACACTTAAACAGGATAGGGAATAAGTACAAACTACAAGTGCTGTGGGGATGCAGAGTAATAGGACAAGTGGTGAAAATTAAAACATTTTTGGCTTAATCAAGGAGTACTTCCTGGAAGAGGGGAGACCTGATTTGGAAGGAGAGGTGATATAAACTTGAAAAGAAAGTTCCAGATGTGGAAACACTGGTTTTATTCTTTATTTTTATTTTGAGACAGGATCGTGCTCTGTCATCCAAGTTGGAGTGCAGTGGCACGATCTTGGCTCACTGCAACCTCCACTTCCCGGGATCAAATGATCCTCTGCCTCAGCCTCCTGAGTAGCTGGGACTACAGGTGTGTGCCACCACACCCAGCTAATTTTTTTGCTTTTTTTGTAGAGATGGGGTTTTGCCATATTGCTCCAGCTGGTCTTGAACTCCTGGACTCAGGCGATTCCCCTGCTGCCTTGGCCTTCTAAAATGCTGGGATTATAGGCATGAGCCACCACACCTGGCTAACACCGGTTCTAAAATTAGGCAGAATCTATATTTTACTTCAGGTTGAGGAGCAGATAATCTTGGCTATATTTTCCCTGACAATACAGTAAGATGAAAGAAACCTTGTGCAATAGCAGGAAGAATTCAGGGTAGACAGTGGGATCTTGGCTAATGCTGGAGACTAAAGTGAATGGAGAGAGACCCTGAAGCACCCTTCTCCCATACTTGGCTATGGGCTATGGGAGGGATGCCTGGACTCTGAGACTTGGCCACCATGTTGTGTTTTGCCATAGAAGATTTGGACATGAAGTTGAATAAGGCAGGAACGACCTCACAGCATCAACCACAACCCCCAATGTGGCTGGAGAAGGAGGGAGAGAGGGCAAAGAATATCTTCCTCTTACTCAGATTGTAAGTGGAGAAACTGAAGTCCATTCACTCAAATCCATAAGTGTCTACTGAGCACCTCCTATGTGGCAAGCACTATATAGGCCCTAAGGATCCAGAGATGATCAGGGCATGGTCCCTGTCAACATGGTGCTCACAGTCTAGTGGGAAATAGAGTTCACTCGTCATTCTATCATTCAATCAAAAACAAAAAGTATTGAGCACTTACTCTGAGCCAGGCAGAGTTGCAGGTGCTGGAGATGCAACTGTGAACAAGACAGACCCAATCCCTGCCCCATCAGAGAGTACTACCTGGTGCAGAAGACACATACATAAACAGGCAGCTATAATTCAGGGTGATGTATGCTATGAAGGGGAAAGGACAGTTGCCATGGGGTGGCATATCCATAGATATGCCATAGATCCATAGGTTCCCATGAGGGGATCTATCCGAGTCTGTGAAAGGGGATGTGAGGATGATGTGGAAGAAGCAACACCAAATCTGATCTGCTCACAAGGTGCGCAGAAGTCAAGTGTGGGATGGCATGGGGAGGGTGTCCTGGGCCGAGAGTTTGTGTTCCTTTTCAGCATCTTACTAGGAGCTTGTGGCCAAATCAGGCCCAGGCAGAGCTTCTTCCCTCTAGTCACAGGATAGCACTGGCCTGCACCAACACAGTTCTTCCAACACCAGCAGGGGAAACCAGATGATAATCCTAACAGAGCCAGACCAAGGAATGAGGTTATCAGTTTTCCTTTTTCTGCTGGGAAGTTTCTGCCTTGGGGCTAGGCTATGTAGGGGGAGGCTGGGAGGTGGGAGGGCACTGTGGAGGATCTTACTCTTTCCACCCTCCTCTCACTGATCCTAGTTTTGAACAAGAAACAGGTGATCTGTTTCTCTAGTTGCAGCTGAATAGAAACCAGGACAAGAAAGTGTTGTCCTCCTCAGACACGTTTCTGTCTCCTGGGTCCTAACCAGCTGCCTACTTGAGCCATCTGACTTCAATCCACAGGGCCTCCCAGGAGCTGAATCCAGAAGGGCAAGAACAAATTAGCAAAGCAGGAAAGGGCATTCAGAAGAGAACAGCATGGGCAAAGGTCCCAAGGCCAGAGGACTTGGAAACTGCAAGTCCCTCAGTGTAGAGATGAGTCTGTAGAGGAGGTTGACACAAGCTTGTGAAAGACCCAGTATGCCAGGCTAAGGGGGTGGGAACAGTGAGGGACACTGAGGGTTTTATGGCTTAAATTTTGACAAGTGTATCTACATATAGACAACTAATGTAACACTCCTTTTTTTTTTTTTTTTTTTTTTTTTAGAGATGGAGTCTCACTCTGTCGCCCAGGCTAGAGTGCAGTGGTGAGATCTTGGCTCACTGCAACCTGCGCTTCCTGGGTTCAAGTGATTCTCCTGCCTTAGCCTCCTGAGTGGCTGGGACTACAGACTGATCCCACCACATCTGGCTAATGTTTTGTATTTTTGGTGGAGACAGGGCTTCGCCATGTTGGCCAGGCCGGTCTCGAACTCCTGAGCTCAAGTGATCCACCTGCCTCAGCCTCCCAAAGTGCTGGGATTACAGGCAACACTTTTTTTAATTTTCTTTTTTGAGACAGAGTCTTGCTTTATCATCCAGGTTAGAGTGAAGTGGCTCAGTCATAGCTCACTGCAGCCTTGACCTCCCGTACTCAAGCAATCCTTCCTCCTCAGCCTCCTGAGTTGCTTTCAATTTTTTTTTTTTTTTTTTTTTGAAGAGACAGGGTCTCACTATGCGGCCTAGGCTAGTCTCAAACTTCAAGAGACCAAGGTGGGAGGATGGCTGGGCTCAAGAGATCCTCCTGCCTTGGCTTCTCAAAGTGCTGGGATTGTAGGCATGAGTCACTGCCTGTCCATATAAAGTAACACTCTTGAACTCACTATCCAGACTTGAGGTTTTGTTAAGTTACTGTTAAAATTTTGTCAATTTTGCTCTTGAGTTTTCAAAATAAACAGGTCATTACAGATAAAGTTGAAGTTCCCTTTGTCCCTTCCCCAGTACCGTTCCCCTCCCTTTCAGAAGCACCACCATCATATATTTTTTCTATTTTTATCATAGATATATATCCATGGATAACATTATAAGGCTTCAGTGCATTTTAAAAAGAGGTCCAATGGTTATGATATAATTTATAACTTTAGTTTTCCATCGCACATTTTTAAAAAAGTCTTTATTTGGCCGGGCGCGGTGGCTCACGCCTGTAATCCCAGCACTT
This sequence comes from Homo sapiens, assembly GCF_000001405.40. NCBI lineage: Eukaryota > Metazoa > Chordata > Mammalia > Primates > Hominidae > Homo > Homo sapiens. Next base: position 61,887,361 of record NC_000009.12, on the reverse strand, counting down.
TGGGAGGCCGAGGCGGGTGGATCATGAGGTCAGGAGATCGAGACCATCCTGGCTAACAAGGTGAAACCCCGTCTCTACTAAAAATACAAAAAATTAGCCGGGCGCGGTGGCGGGCGCCTGTAGTCCCAGCTACTGGGGAGGCTGAGGCAGGAGAATGGCGTGAACCCGGGAAGCGGAGCTTGCAGTGAGCCGAGATTGCGCCACTGCAGTCCGCAGTCCGGCCTGGGCGACAGAGCGAGACTCCGTCTCAAAAAAAAAAAAAAAAAAAAAAAAAAAAAAAAAAAGTCTTTATTTGAGGTTTTCGGCAAAGTGCTGACAAGGGTAAAACTAGTGTTAGAAGATCATGCTGGTTACCAAGTGGAGTATTCCAGGTGACAGAGGAGGACCAAGGATGGTGACAGTGGGAAGGAGGAGACAGAGGTAAAAGGAGACTCCACACCACAGGTCACTGGTGATCGCCCTGTGAGGGCAGGGTTGTTTTATACATGCTGTTCTTCAGCACCATGAACAGGGCCTGGCTGTTGGAGATGCCCAGTAAATATCTGTTGACAGAGAAAGGTTGACAGGGGCAGATGGATCCAGGATGACTCCCAAATTCCTAACCCAGTGCAAAAGCCTGGATGATGATCCCAGTCTCCATTATGAGGGCCCCAGGAGGAGAAGCTGGATTGCAGGGAAAGATGAATCCAGAAGCCATCTCTCTGATCTAGAGGAAACGAGGCTGTGCTGTGTGGAAGGGATTAATGTTAGGAAGCAGACCAGACTTCCGTTCTTAGGACAGAAAAAAATCTTGTAGCGGATAGTTCAAGGCTATAAAAGATCTGAAGGGACCCAGAGATGGTAAGAGTGGAAAGGTTCAGTCCTGCTGGGGGCAAAGGGATAGTTGAAAAACAAGCCAAAAACAATAATCACTTTCCTCAGAAGGCCAGGAGGGCAGGGCCCAGCTTCTCCATCAGCCACAGCGAGTGTCTTATAGCCCTCTGTGTGGTGGGTACCCACAGCCCATTAGCCAAGGCAGAGGAGGAGGAGGAAGGTATAGTAAGTGCATCTAGGATCATAAAGACCTTGTCAGATGCCCACACTCAACTTTGCTCCCACTCCATATTCATCAACAAGATGGAAAAGTGGGGTGCTCACAACTGCTTCTTAGGACTTATTCTTGACCAAATTCAATTTCTCTGTTCAGGGAAGGATGTGAAATATAACCTGCTTTCCAACTCTTAAGACCCAGAGCTCTGGCTCTTCACCTCAAAAAGCTACCTTCTGCAAGAGCTCCCTCAAAGTCACTGCCACCCCCACTTCCTCACCCCACCACCCCTGCCCCAGGCACAGCCACCACCCACCCTCTGCTGCTAATTCACCTATAAATGGTCTCCTGCCTTGCGTCTCCACTCAGTTTTGTTCTTTCTCTAACAGGTTCCACTCCCCTGAAAGCCCACCCGATCCTTCCTGTTACCCTAGCACTAACTTCCTAAATGAAGTGCGGTGGCTTACAGTTCTGTCCTTCTCTGTTTTTGTCACTCTTTCCACTCACAATTCTTTGGGTCCTGGCTATGGTTAAGTGGCATTTCTCTACTTCATCCCTGGGTGCAGGGACAGAAATGCTTTTACCATCCCCAGTGCCCCTCTCTGGGGGTAGCAGAGAAGTCACTTTAGTTTTGTTTGGTCTGGTGGAGTAAGGCATGCCCTTCTTTCAGAGAGGGAGCTGTCATGGATCTAAGCCAGTCCCTGTCCTAGGAGTACTTGCAATTTAGACTTGCTCTTTAGTCAAGGAATTTTAAATATTGTAAAGCAATGCCGTAGCTGGAGGGGGAGAATCTTTGAATCCCCTTTCCATGAGTCTGCTATTTGAAGGTGTGGTGGGATCCCTTGGAAGTGTGGGCCCCTTGTACTCTGGATCTAATCCTTAGAGTCACCAAAGGGCCAACATAATGATTCTCAAACCAATCTGTGATCGGTCCCCTCATACCTTGAACTTGGGCAGGCTGCTAATTTTTATCAGAGCAATACACCCTGTAGATACCACCTCCCTGAACTCTAAACTGAGCAGAGCTCTAAACCATCAAAGAATCAGGCTATATAGACTTCCACCTTAAATGGGTGTAGATTCAACATGATTCCGAAAGTCACGTGACTTGCCTCGCTAACCAGGGTTCTTCCTCAGTGGGGAAACTACTTGGGCCATTTTTCCTTCTCCTTTTCACCTACCTGAATTATTACATTTATTTATAATTAACATATATTGCATGTAATATTAAAAAAAATAAAACTTAGAAAGACTTGGTGGTGGGTGCTGCTGAATTAGGTATCAGAGCCCCAGTTAGGTGGGTGTCCTGTGGAGTTTCTGATGAATCAAAAGCCGTTTTTGGGCACTTTAAAAACATGGACGCCTTGAGCCCTGGGCAGCCCCAAGGCTGTGACTACCGAGGGCACCCACAGAGGATTAGAACTGGGGCACTGGAATGAGAGGACCATCAGAAGCAAGGCCTGGATGCTCAAATTCCCACCACAGTCATAAAACTTAAGAGCATCTAAGTCGCAAGCAGCTTTTAGTTTCTTTCTTAAGAATCCAACTAATCTTGTGTTCCACCTTGTAGCCTTCTATAAAGTGTGACCATTCACTTGGTTGATGATTAATGATTCAGCTAGTAATTATTAAACAGAAAGGAACCAGAAATAAGAATCACGAATTTACACAAAACATTTCATGTTCTTAATGCTAAACTTGAAGGTAAAACACTAGGAAGGTAGAAAACACAATGTTGCTATTTGTTTTGTTCTTCTAAAGAATGAAGAAGTCAGATTTCCTGGTCCTTGTGTAGGCTCTCTTCCTGACAGGGTTTCTCAAACTTTTCTGCCAAAGTCCCTTTGTTATTAGAGGCAGGAGGGTAAACTTGGACCCCAGCAGTCTGGGGGATTGCCCTGAAGGGCCATTAGCAAGGACCAATTATTTCTTTTTTTTTTTTTTTTTTAAAAAAAAGACATGTTTAATTAAATAATAGGTTACTTCATCTTCATTATTTGCATTATATAAAAATAGGATTTTTTATTAATAAGAAAATAGCAGATTCTTTTGTGGCCTTAAGTTTTAGCTCTAAAATGATGCAAACTTTGCATTTTATAACGTAGTATATTTTATACAACTTAATATAAAAATGATGTTTTAAACCATCTGCCATCAAAAAACCTCTGTGGCCCTCAGAGAGGCTTCTTATATATCCGGGGACACCCTCAGCGAGCAGCTACTGCAGTGTGGCCTGGGGAACTTGCACCCAGGTGAGAGGTGCTATGGGGTGTGGTGGTTTGTTAAACTAGCTGCCACTGTCCCAGGTTGTATCTTTAATGACTACCATTTAGTGAGCACTACTATGTGCCAGACTCTACGCCAAATGCTTTTATATGCTTATGCCATTTAAATTCTCACAACCACCTGCCTAAGGCCACACAGCTGTAAGGTGGCAGAGTGGGGATTCAAACACCTGTCTGCTTGGTTTCAAAGCCAACTGTGACCCCCTGCTGACTCTTAGAGGCCAAGGCTGAAGCCCCTGGCTGAGTGAGTGGTGGTGACCTGGGGAAAGGACTGTTGTGGTGCATCTGGAAAGAGTGTCGGGGGTGTTCCGAAGGTAGTGCCTTATCTCAATTGATTGTTCACAGTCAGTTACAGATCAAACTCCTTGTTCTGCTCCTTCCCCCTTCTCACTACTGCACTTGACCAGTCTTTAAAAAAAAATACATACGGTGCAGGTCTAATACGAGAAGGGTCAGAAAAGCTAGGCTTAGGTCTAGCTCTGCCTTTGACTAGCTATAGGTTCTTTAGGGAGGCCCTCAGCCCTGTCTATAAATGGGACTATAAAGGTCTGTGAAAGGGGCAATGGAAAAAAGATGAATGTTGAGCCACATCTCAGGCTCCTTTCTTGCTCCACTGCTTATCAGCTGTGTCATCTTAGGCACATCACTACGACTCTAAGCCTGTTTCCTCACTTCTAAAATGTGAAGAACAATACCCACCTCACAGGGCTGCTCTGGGGATGAAAAATAATACACATGAAACACCTGGAACAGAGTTTACATATAGTAGTTGCACAATAAATGCTTCCCAATAGTAGTTATCCTTGTAATAGTGGTATTAGCGATACTACTAAAGTATTATTATATAAAGTAGTATTAACAATGCTACTAAAGTATTCATATTTTAAAACTGTGATTATTAAAGTGAGAAAAATGTATGAAAGGAATACTACAAATTAAGGTAATCCACTAAAAATAAGGAGCTGGAGGCTAGGCATGGTGGCCCACACCTGTAATCCCAGCACTTTGGGAGGCCAAGGTGGGTGGATTACCTGAGGTCAGGAGTTCAAGACCAGCCTGACCAACATGGAGCAACCCCATCTCTACTAAAAACACAAAAAAATTAGCCAGGTGTGGTGGCGGGCGTCTATAGTCCCAGCTACTCGGCAGGCTGAGGCAGGAGAATGGCATGAACCTGGGAGGCAGAGCTTGCAGTGAGTGGAGATTTTGTCACTGCACTCCAGCCTGGGCGACAGAGCGAGGCTCCATCTAAAAAAAAAAAAAAAAAAAAAAAAGAGGAGCTGGAGGAGGCCCACCTTCTTAATGTACGCCAAAATAGTTCTGCTGGTTGAAGGCCTGGAGTTCCCTGCAATGGGTGGGGAAGGGGATTAGCCTGGGGAAATAATGCCTGGGTCAAGTTAGGGAAGATCCAGGTCCCTCTGCTGAGGGACAGTTTGGAGGACAGAGCCTGACCCTCCATGAAGAGAGACTCTCAAGGTCTCTTTTAGCTTTAACATTGGCTAAGTGTGATTCTATGACTCAACCAGTCTGCCCTAATTCCTCAGTGTGGGCAGGACATGAAAGACAACCCACCAGTATCTCAGTGAGTTTGTGTGGAGCCCACCTTGGCAGTCACACACAGACACTTCCCAGAGTCTCAGTGATGACGATTCTCTCTAAGGGGAACCCAAGCCTTAACCAAAGACCACCTCTCCATCTTCCTGCTGGGGTCTTGCAGGTCAGCCTAGAGGGAGTTTTCCAGAGCAGGTGGCTTCCTGAGTGGCCAAGATCATGTGAGCAGGATAAGTTCTCTTCTCGCTGGGCCTTTCCTCCCTAAGCTGGTGTCCCAGGCACCTCTCTCTGTTTGGAAATCAGATTCTTTATGGTTTATTTTTGACACCAGATAATCGCTGCCCAAGTTTCATCAATTTGTCACTGTTTTTATTGTCAGCAATTGCCCATAACTGGAGCACGTTTAAAATGTCATTGATCTTGGTATTACAGTGTCATAATCTGACAGTAATATGTGTAGCCAGCACAGGAAGCCCAGGCTCTGAGATTGATGGCGCACAGCACACCAATTATATTCTGTCCATCTAAGTGATAAAAGAGTACGTAGGAGGCATTCAATAGATAAATTAGATATCACTCCCAATTATGTCCTTTATTTTATGGAGTCATATGCTCCCCTTAGAACTTTTTTTCTTCATTTGGCTTGTAAAGGGGAATTACTTGACCCCCCTAAAGACTGGGACTGCCTCCCCTGCCTGTCCCAACTTGGGTTCTACCCTGATCCCTTCCGACAGGCTCATAGTCTTTCACCTGGGCTTTCTCTGGGACTCACCTAGGAGTTCCCCAGTGTGGTAGGTCCACAGGTGTAAAGGGAGGGAGGCAGAAGTGCTTCACCATTTGGGAAGGAGTTGGGTCAGGCCTTTGGGAAGGACTAGGAAGTCTGACAATGCCTTTAATGTGACACTGCCCAAATAAATGAGACCGGGAGAGGGGCTGGAAAATGGGTAAAAATCCTCCAGTCCAGACAACAGAGCCTTCAAATTAGGACAACTAGTAATTGGCTATGGCTGGGGAGGAAGAGGATGGTAAAAAGGTTTTCAGTCCTTAAGAAGTGAATTCATCCATCCCTCTACCTCCACTCCAGACTGGGTGGGGCCAATTCAAGCCCTTCCTCGGAAGAACTCCCAGAATCTTCTACATCCCCATTCTGATCCATATCAGATGACTTCCTCAGCTCAAGTCCTAGCTCTGCCACTGTGGTAGGGACATAATACCAGCTTTCCTGGGGGAGGCAGAGGGCTCCTGTTTGAGAAAAAGCCCGAAGAATGGTTCATTTCCAAGAAGAGAGCTCACCTGAGGCAGGGAAGTGCCTGGCCAAGGAATAGAGGTACAGTGAAGGCATAACTTTATTGGAGGCCTGGCTTATAAGCATCATAAACTCTGAGGACAGCCTTGACCTGGTCCAGACCCCTGTTTCCCCATCCCCCAAAGCCAGCAGGAAACACGGCAGAGGCCGAGACACCAAGTAGTAAACAGTGATCTAGGTCCATTGATCGAGCTTTCAAAGAGAAAGTGTCCATGGGTTGGGCTGCTCTCCATTGCCCTGTTGCCATCTCAATGTTATAAATAATTCTGGCACTAAGTGCCCTGTCACACCGAGTGGAAGTAGTTCTTATAGAGTGAAACCTGAGAATATGGGTCATGGGAGGAGGGGTGACTGGGGCCAGGGGTAGAGATGGGGAGTGATCACCCCAAGGCTCCTCAACTATACCCCTAGGCTGGTGATAGATGAATTTCTGGAGCAGAGGATGGCATTTCAAATGAAATGGTTATAGGAAATGAGTGTGATTTAAACAACGTCTTGGCTGATAAGCACCAGCCAGCTGGGGGGAGATGGCAGGCTAGAAGTGGAGGAATCAAAAGCCCAGAGGCCCCCAGTGTTAAGTAGCTGTCTGAAGCTCCGCTCAAACACACACACCAGCTTTGGTCTCAACATGTTTTTAAGAGCTGGTTATGATTTCCTTGAGGGCGGCTCAGATTAAGACTAGAGTGGAGCCCCCAGCTAAGCACCTTCAATAACTGTCGATCACATCCTCTTTAGAAACAGCAGCCTCTTCCCCTTGGCTCAGGGACCCTGTAATTGGGGAGGGCTGTGAAGCTGCGTGGCTTGTCAGCCTGTTCCCAGGCAGCACGGGGCCTGTCTGTCCTTTGCCTGGGGTCCTGCCCTGGATCCCAGGAACAGAGATTGAGCCCCACCCACAGAGAGCTCTCAGTCTTCAAGAAGAGAGAAAACATACAACCTAGAAAAGAAGAGAGGAAGCAAAGAGAGCAAAAGGATGGAAGCCAAGGAAGAGGAAACTGTCACCAAATCCAGAATTTGGGCCTTTCTCACCACATGCACTGCTGCCATCCTGGTCCAAACCACACATTTCTCACTTGGATTAGTGCAATGACCTTTCAACAAGTCTCCCTGCATCTTCCCTTGGCCCCCTGTGATCTATTCTCAACACAAAAGACAAAAAGACTATTTAAAAACTGAAGTCCAGGCCAGGTGCAGTGGCTCATGACTGTAATCCCAGCACTTTGGGAGGCCAAGGTGGGTGGATCACGAGGTCGGGAGTTCAAGACCAGCCTGGCCAAGATGGTGAAACCCCATCTCTACTAAAACTACAAAAATTAGCTGGGCATGGTGGCAGGTGCCTGTAATCCCAGCTACTTGGGAGGCTGAGGCATAAGAATCACTTGAACCTGGGTGGCAGAAGTTGTAGTGAGTCAAGATTGTGCCACTGCACTCTAGCTTGGGTGACAGAGTGAGACTGTCTCTCAAAACAAAACAAGACCCTGAAGTCCAATCATGTCTTTCCTCTCTACTTCACTCAGAATAAAAAGCAAAGTCCTTAAGTTGACTTACGAGGCCGAACATCATCTGTTCCCTCCTTACCTCTCTGATGCCATCTCCTCCCACTCTTGCTCACTCCCACAGACTTGCCAGGCATGTTCCTGCCTCAGGGCCTTAGCACCAGCCACTCCCTCTACTTGGAATACTCTTGCCAAGATGTCTATGGGGCTAACTTCCTCTCTCACCTCTAAGTCTTTGTTCAAATACCATATTCGCAGTGAGCTCTCCTTGACAACCATACTAAAAACCTCAGATTTCCCCTCCATGCTGATCCTTCTGTACGTGATCTATTCCTTTTCTGTAACAATTATCATTTTCTAATATATGATATAATTTACTTATTTAGTAAGAATATTGTTCATTATCTGTCTTTCTCTGCTAGAATGTAAACTCCACACAGGTGGGGGGTCTTTCTCTGTTTTGATCACCAATGTATTCTAAGAACTTGGAATAGTACTCAATAATAATTGCTTAGTGAGTAAATGCAAAGGATGAGGTTCACCAGGGGAGGGTTTGGAGAAGAGAACAGAGGGGAGGCCATCCCAGGCTTGGGATGAACTTGTGCCTTATCTCACAACAGGCCATGTGTGAGGATCTGAGAGTCCGAGTGTTGGGCACAAGTTCAAGAGTCGGGCTAGGGCATCACCCAAAATGGAGAGATTCAGTTATCAAAGAGACTAGGCTGGATTTACCTCTGGAATCTGGTGGAGGACTTGGCTTTAGGTTGGGATTTTACCATCATCATGACCAAAGAATACTTGGGGATAATAATGCCAAAGGGATGTGCAGGGCAAGAATGAGGTGGTTGGGAATGGAGGCAGACTGGGAATTCAGGTGGGGGGGGGTAGCTGAAAGAACAGGCATGTGTCTTCTAAGTCTGGAAAAAAGATTGAGGTGGAATTAGAGGGCCTGAAGGAAAATTGTGTATGCAAGTGGGAGGAAGAGCCTGGGTCCCTGGAAGCTATCATCTCCAAGAGCATGTTCCATCTCCACTGAGGGCAGAATCAAAAGCCATGGGCCACACCTAAAGTCGAAGGAACTAGAGTGAGACATCAAGAAAGGCCTCCCAACAATGTGACAGGTGGTGGAGGGGAAGCACTGGGCCTTTTTCTCTGGAAAACTTGAGCAGGACCTAACTGGGTGCATACCTGAGCCAGGCTAACCCAGAGGGCACTGTGAGGCTCTGGGGTGGGAGTGTGGTACTAGAGCCCTGGAGAGGGTTCCTGCCTCTGCCTGGCTCCCAACTCCATCCTCTCACCTGCGAGGCTTCTGAGCTTCTAAGCACGCAGAAATGTCCTCTCTCCTGACCTCAAGTTTCTCCATCTTTTCAGAGTGGAAAGTGAGAGTATTTAGTATTCCAAGGCCCCACCAGTCCAGGGGCCAAAACATGTTTACCACATCTCCTCAGAATATCAGTGCTCAACTCGGTTTTGTGGTGGCCTCAGGGTACAAGCCAGGAGAAGCAGAAAATACCTTTGGAGGTTATACAATTCAGTGGTTACTGCAGTACTAACGGAGTGAGGACATGGGTGGCCTGGGAGTTCTGAGGTTCCGGGGAGACTTACTTGTCACTGTATAACTTTTGGTGCCTTTTGAGTTTTGAACCATGTACGTGTATTTCTTATTCAAAAAACATAAAACAATTAAAATCAGATGAAAGCAACAACAATAATAACAACAAAGAATAGGTCTAGGGAAGTGGGAACTTGATGCCTCCAATTGCTACCCTGAAGGCAATGACCTGCCTCCTCTTGCCCATGTGTACCCTTCTCCACGTCTGGCATCTCCATTCTCTAGAGGCTCAGAGAGGGGTGTGGAAGGCCTGATGTCACCCAGCATTTAAGACTAGCAAAATTCTGGGGCTTAGCTGTCCAGACTCTCAGTGTTGTCTTTCTTTTCTGATCCTCAATGACCCCGTCTACTCATTGACCTCTCCATGTTTTTGGCAGAACTTTGCATATGCTCAAATCAACCTTCAATGGGTCGTTTTTAAAACTGTGTGGTCTTAAATGCCACCTTTCCCAGGAAGTAATCTCTTTTCACAAAGAGAAAGATGACAGCTCTCCTCTCCCCCCGTGTGGTGTCTGATGGTTCATTCCCTCCCTTCCTGCCTCCCTCCTCCCTACCACCCTCTACCACTAAAGTGGCTCTCCACTGAAACTTGGCCCTGTCTCTGATGAGATATGTGACCTTGAGCAAGTCATTTAACCTTTCTGTGTGTCTGTTTCTTCATCTGTAATTGAGGATCCTGACCTTCCTCCCATGGCTCTTCACTTATGCATTTGTACAGCAAGCATGTATTCTGTGCCTGGTGCTGAACCTGGCACTGAGGATCACACAAGAAAATGTATGTGAAGTTAATACAGAGACAGAAAGTTACTGCCAAGGCCTCCTTCCTTGGATGCTGTTCTGGGCTGGGTGCTCCAACCCCCTCATCTGGCATGCCCTTGGAGGAACTGCTTCACAGTCTACTCCAAACCTCTCAACTTCTAGCATTGCTCCTGGGCTGAAGCCGATATCCTGCTCTGCATGAAGGGTCAGGGGGTGCAGAAATAGCCTATTTCCCAGGCTTTTTCATTTGGTTAGATCCTTAGGTACCACTTTGCCTACAAGAAGGAATAATGCTGAAATCTGTCTGTTGGTCTTTAGTCTGGAATTTTCAATGTCCACCTCTCTTGCCCTCTGTGGGCCTTTCCCTGGGACTTGGGCTGGAACAAGGGGTAGGAAATGGATTCTATCCATGTCCTCACTCTGCTCATTTCTCTCCTTTCCTGAATCCCATGCATCCATGGAGATTGGTACAGTGGCTAAGATTCTGGGATTGGAAACTCACATTTGTCTCCCTCCAAATGTAAGCTGGGCTGTGGAGGAAAGATGGTCCCTTCTTTAAAATGAACACCACCATCTCAGAGTATACAGGAGCTTGCTTCAGGCAGAGGAGGCAGAGCTGCCTTCCAGAGCTCTTGGCAGGAAGCTGTCCCCACTCCCTGCCTGACCACCGAGGATTGGGTGAGCATCACTGGGAGGGAGCGGTGTTTATAGAAAAAACGTGCTGCTTCAGCCCTGGTCATTGCTGATGGACCATGGCAGCAAGGAAGGTCAAGTCCAGACTAAGGAGGTACTTCTCATTATCAGGGACTGGGTTTAAGGTGAGAGGTTGGTTGGAACTACTCAGACATGGTCTTCCCAGAGCAAGGAGGAAGGATGAGATGATCTGGGAGTTGTGAAGGACTCAGGGGTTCCATGATGTTGCAGAGCTGGCAGTGACTGGGAGGATGCCAGGGAGATGTCAGTTCACCCATGTCTAGAGCAGAAACCCCATGGTCAGAGACCAGGTATCTGGAACCCCAACATTCCCAGCATAATGCCTCGCACAAGGCTAACTGGAGACTGAGGAAGACAAGTCCTTCCCTGGAAGATGGTGCCAACACTGTGCTCACAGAAGGACAGCTACTTTAAAGCCCCAGCAGGAAAATGATCCCACACTGTGGGACCTGGAAGTACTTCTTCATGTCCAGCCTCAATCCTCCTTACCACAGCTCAATTGGATCTCAGTCCAACCTGTGGGATTTGTCCATGCCCAGAGGTGAAACCCAGCAAGGAATATGGACTTTGCTTTTAGGCCTACGCTGTTGGCTGTGGGAGATAGAACAAGTTGGCCAAACTGTCGAGTACCTGTCTCCACACCTGGGGAGTCCCCAGGAAAGTGGAGAGGGAAGATCTTCCAGGGAACGGCCACCCTCCATGAGGAGATAAGCAGAACAGCAGAGGGCAAGGAAGGTTCAGTGGCCAGGAGAGGTGGGGCTCAGGGAGTCCCTCCTGGCTGGGGGTGAGGGAGCTTCCTGGATGCTCAGCCTCTCCAAGCCCCTGAGGAAAGACTGTAGCTTCTGGAGGGCAGGAGCTGATCCTGCATCATCTCGGCAGACCAGTGCCCAGCACACAGCAGATGCTCAAAACACATGGGTCGAATGAATGAGCCTGCGGTCAAGAGCCTGCCCAGCCAGCAGGTGGAGTGGGTCTTTGGAGAAGGGATTCCCCTCTCTGGGCCTCCATTTCTTCATTTGTAGAATGAGGGGCTGCAGTAGATTGTCTCTAAGGTTTTGTCAGCCCCTGACGATCTGTGGTTTCCTGTTTCCCTGCTCTCTCGTCAATTCCTTGCCTATTCTTTTTCCCTCTACAGCTTCTCTTTTCCTTTCCCTTTAAGTCTTTTTCTTCCACTAACCCCCAATCTCTGCACCCCCATTTTCAGTCTCTCCCCTCCCCAGACAATTTCTCTGGCTTTCCCCTTTACAGGTATTTCTTCCTCTCTGCTTCTGATAACTGCCCCCATCACTACCCTTCCCTGATGCCTTCAGTGTTCTGCACCCCCTGCCCCCCAAAAGCCGCCCATTCCAGTGCCCCTTTCATCCACCTTAGATGCCAGAGGCGGGAGATTGGAAGAAAAGGAGGAGGGTCCTAAAGCAGCCACTCCCCTGCCCTGCAATGGCCCCACCGCGATGTCCCCGTCCCCCCGCCCCGCCCCCCTCCCCGCCACGCCTCTCCCTCAGCAGCCAGTGCCGCACTGAGCCCTCGCCCCACGCTAATGCTAATGCGATCTGGAGAGACCCGGTCGGTGCGGGCGGCGGGCAGTCTGGCCCAGCGTCCAGGGCGGCGCTGATGGATGGTCCCCTGACAGTAATCGCAGAATGAGGACGCGCAGGTGACGCTCTTGCCCGAGGCCCTGCTGTTTGGCTAGCCCAGGAGTCTCTCCCTCCGCAGCGTCTGCCTTCTGGGCGCTCTCAACTCACTCGGCTTTGCGGGAGGCTCAAAGCCTCAGGTTAGGGCAGAGGTGCGGGCTTCCTCTGCTCTCTCTCTCCCAAGACACTGGTTTCTGTTTGGGAACAGATCCCTTCTTGGATCCACGCTGCTTCTGTGATTCTGAACAAGCCACCCATCTCCTGGAGTCTCAGTTCTCCCTTCTGTATAATGGCCTTTAAAGCCTGGTGGAGTGTTGGGGGCACGGGAGATAATACTGAGGAAAATCACGCTCTCTCAAGTAGAAACCGAATTTCACTTTTAGTTTACAATGCTCAGAATAATCTGGGCCAAATGTGCGAAGCCAAGTAAGAGCTGAGTGGCTACTCACACACAGAATATATGTTTATACACATACACATAATGTTTTTAGCATACCAGGACTGCTTAGACGTCTTTAAAGAGAACACTAGCCCAGGTACTTCTCCAGGGAGGCGACTGTCTCCAGCAGGACTGTTTCTCCCCTCTACTGAGGCCACCTACCTGTCTTAAGCCCCCAGACCCCATCCGTTCTGGGGTTCCCCTGCAATCCAGAGCCAGGCTGAGGTGGTATGCGGGAAGATCTCCCTTTGGAAAATGTTTCTGGATAATTTCCCAACTCCTTGACCACGTTCTCCCCACCTCACCCACATTCAGATAACACAGGTTCTAAGGCTCCTTCACTCCTCCACCCCTGGGGGATACTCCTTGGGCCTGGCCCTGTGGAGGGGCTGGGAGGTGGGATCCAGAACCAATTGCAATTCTGAACGCACACCCAGCCGCCTCCTCACTCCCTTTTAACCTTTCCCTCTAGTCAGAAGCCAAATTGAGATAGTCTTGAGTTTTGATTTAATTCCTGAAATGGAGTCATAATCTGCTTAGTGTCCTTTCTCCCGAGTCCTAGATACTGAAGTGTGTGTGTCTGTCAGGGGGAGTTAAAAGAGCAGCTCTGTGACCTTTGGAGGACCGTCACACTCACTCACCTCCCAAACACCACCAAAGAGCAGGAGACGCCATGGCACTGAGTTGCTGGGTAGTATGATGATGGTACTGACAACTCACATTTACTAGGCACTTACCACATGCCAGTACTGAGACAGGCACTATACACGCATTTCTCACTTAATTCTCACAACTACCTTTCAGGTAGGTACCATTCATATCCCCAACTTACAGATGAAGAAACTGAGGCTTAGCGAGGTTAAGCAGTTTATGTTCCATCCTGCAGTGATCACAGACGGTCCTCGACTTATGATGCTTTGACTTACAATTTCTCAGCTTTATGATGATGCCGAAGTGATATGCATTCATTAGATACTGTACTTCTAATACTCATACAACAGCTCTGTTTTTCACTTTCAGTACAGTACATTATAACATGTTGAATCTCATGTTGAATACATGAGATGAATAAATATCTCATGTTGAATACATGAGCTATTCAACACTTTATTATAAAATAGGCTTTGTGCTAGATGATCTTGCCCAACTGTAGGCTGATGAATGTGTCCTGAGCACTTTAAGGTAAGCGAGGCTGAACTATGATGTTTGGTGGGTTAGGTGTATGAAATGCATATCCACCTTACAATATTTTCAGCTTGCTACAGCTTTATCGGGACACAGCCTCATCGTAAGTCAAGGAGAGTCTATTATTAAGCGGCAGAGCCCAAATTTGAAACTACACAGTCAGACTGCAGAGCCTGTGCTCTTAACCACTTAGTTGTGTGACACCTGGCAGGGTATTTAACTTCTGCATGCCCTGTTCCCTCATTTGCAAAACACAGATAAGTAGGGATGATAAGACATTCCCTTCAAAGAATTATGTTGATTAACTGAGCTAAGGCATTCACCATACTCACAGTAAGCATTCAGTAGTTTAGGTGCCCTACACATTGGAGCAGGGTTGAGAAAGGGAAAGAGTACAATCCAATGGGCTATTAATTATTCATTGTTACTGTTGATAATAATAGTTATCATGCATTGAGAGCCAACTGAGCATAGGCCACCCTACAAGGTAAAAATTATGTCTGTTTTACAGATGAAGAAACTGAGTTTCACATAAATTACGTAAATTACCTAAAGCTATCCAGTTAATAAGTGACAGAACAGAGCTCTTGTTTAAACACTGGGCCCTTGACTCCAAAGCCTGCAGTTCCCAGCACCCCCAGGGTCACCAAAACCTGGCCTCTCCTGGGGGAGGTCAGGGCTGAGGCCAACAAGCCCAAGTCACACCCTTTACCACCTGGGACCTGATTTTCTCCAGGTGAGCAATGTTTTCTTAAAAGAACAGGAGGACAGTAAATAATTAACCAAGACAGTTTCTCCCTCCCTGAAGCCAAGGTAGAACCTCCCCCCTACAGCCAACCGCCACTCTCCTCACTGCTGTTTCCTCTGTGCTCAAGTTTGTGGCCATTAAATAGAAGAGGAGAAAGTTTGAGCCAGGCATGAAATATTTATCAGTTAATTACAATATGCAGATTCTGTTCCTAGGGGTGATTTATCTTTTTGGAAATATAGGAAAAGATCCTGGAAACTTGTATCCTAATCGCTTGGCCTATTATTGTAGCAACCAGGTAGAAACTGCATTTACTATGTAACTACAAATTTTCCAACTACTAGAGGTATCTGCCTCTGCTTCTATCACTGGTGATCTGGGGACCATATGCTTTTCTGATAAGAGATGAGCCTCTTAGAGGTCAATTTGTCAATTCCTCTGTCTCCTCTGGGGGTGGCCCCTTTGTAAATTCTAATAGCTATAGGAAATGAAAAGGGTGAGAGTCTCTGAAATTCTGGGATCTCAAGAGAAGCTAATTCTAAGTGAAAACCTCCCGGACTGAAGCAGTGCCTGTGGTGAGGGGATGTCCAAGGTTGAGAAGCAGCTCTCAGCTGAGTATCCCTCCCCTCTCTTGCTCTGGCAGAAGTGTCAGCCTTCCCCTTATCTCTTGTATCATTTCCTAGGGCCTGCATCTCAACCTCTGGCTACACATTAGCAACCTGGGGAGTTTTAAAAATCCAGATGCCATGGTGTATATGTGCCACATTTTCTTAATCCAGTCTATCATTGTTGGACATTTGGGTTGGTTCCAAGTCTTTGCTATTGTGAATAATGCCGCAATAAACATTTGTGTGCATGTGTCTTTATAGCAGCATGATTTATAGTCATTTGGGTATATACCCAGTAATGGGATGGCTGGGTCAAATGGTATTTCTAGTTCTAGATCCCTCATATACACCATGGAATACTATGCAGCCATAAAAAATGATGAGTTCGTGTCCTTTGTAGGGACATGGATGAAATTGGAAATCATCATTCTCAGTAAACTATCGCAAGAACAAAAAACCAAACACTGCATATTCTCACTCATAGGTGGGAACTGAACAATGAGATCACATGGACACAGGAAGGGGAATATCACACTCTGGGGACTGTGGTGGGGTGGGGGGAGGGGGGAGGGATAGCATTGGGAGATATACCTAATGCTAGATGACGAGTTAGTGGGTGCAGCGCACCAGCATGGCACATGTATACATATGCCCAGGCCCTACTACAGGCCAACCAAATTGGAATCTCTGGAGGTGGGACCCAGGCATCAGTATTTTAAAAAACTTGTGGCTGGGCATGGTGGCTCACACCTGTAATCCCAGCACGTTGGGAGGCCGAGGTGGGCGGATTACCTGAGGTGAGGAGTTTGACACAAGCCTGGCAAACATGGTGAAACCCCGTCTCTATTAAAAATACAAAAATTAGCTGGGCATGGTGGCAAGCACCTGTAATCCCAGCTACTCGGGAGGCTGAGGCAGGGATAATTGCTTGAACCCAGGAGGCAGAGGTTGTAGTGAGCCGAGATGTGCCACCGCACTCTATCCTGGGTGACAAGAGCAAGACACCATCTCAAAAACAAAAATGAGCAAACAAAAAAACTCGCTGGGGGTTCCAATGTGCAGCGAAAGTTGAGACCCTCTAGAGCTAATAGAAGAGTATCACTGCCCGGTAAATGGGTCCTGCTCCCCATTCTGCTATTTACATATGAGGTCCCCTGTAGGAGGGCCTGGTGCTAGGTGTCCCGGCGAGATGTGGACATCTTTCTGGCTCTTCTCCTTCTCTTATCTAAGTCCTCACATGGTGGGAAAATACCTCTCTAATGCTATGTAGAAAGAGAAGCAGGGAGTGCCCCTTCTAGCGTGGATGCCTTTGGTTCCCAGATCTGGATTTGAGGGGCTGGCTCTATCTCTTAAGAAGACATTTACCTAGCATTGGTAATGGAGATGGGGCCTTAATAGGGCTAGGGAGGCACACCCAACTCCAGACCCAGCTCTCTGCTGTTCCCCTTCCCAGTGCACACAATCCCAATTCCCACTCCAGAAAATTTTTTAAAAACATATCTTAAAAAAAAAACCTCGAAAAGCCAAGCAGACCCTCAGCTTCAAGGTATCTCCTCATTCCCTCTCTCTCTCTCTCTCTCTCTCTCTCTCTCTCTCTGTCTCTCTGAATCTACAAAGAAGGAGTGAGTTTTGTCTCTCCAAGTACTCAGAGCCTTAGATCACAAAGGGGCCTTAGATCCTGGTCTTTGGGAGATCTTTGACCACCACCTCTGCTGTGGCACGACCATTGTCAAAATGCTAGAAAGAAGAGAGACTGGCTCTTAGACCAAGGGAATTTGGGATTTGAAAGGACTTCCAATTCCAGTTCTATAGATTTCCTTCCCATTAGCCTCTTCATGTGCATCAAATGTAAATGGCAGGCTAAACCTACAGGATGAAGAGAGTTGAAAGACTGCTGCCTAAAAATGCCCTTTTCCAAATCTGTGGGTGCAGAAGCACATTGAAAGGCAGCTACCCAGCCTGGCGGTGTGGCACATGCCTGCAGTCTCACATACTTAAGAGGCTAAGGTGGGAGGACTACTTGAGCCCAGGAGTTTGAGGCTTCAGTGAACTATGATGGTGCCACAACACTCCAGCCTGGGAAACAGAGCTGGACCCCATTTCCAAAAAAAAAAAAAAAAAAAAAAAAAAAGTAGTTACCCAGGTAAGGTGGATGATCAAGTACACCCAGTGAGAAGCACACAAACCTTACCCTTTACCCAAACTCTCTCCCTTACCTGGCCCATTTCCGGTCTCTAGAGGAGGATCAGTTAGGGGGTGTGACCCAAGTTACCCAGATAATTAACTGTGGAAGCAAGTTTTTTTTTCACTCCTTTGGCCTCTAAATATGAGAGATCTTTACATCTCTTGCCTAGCTCCCTCTTATTCTCTACCCTCTCCCCAACACGCACGCAAATCCTAACAACAAAAAATCCTAAATATAGGAAGACAAACCTTCCTGACTTACCATTTTGGCCCACCTGCAACCCCTGTCCCCCGCCCCCTCCCCAATGTTTTTCTCTCCTGAGCCTCTGCTCTTCGCTTCTAAAATAAAAAAAAAAGAAGAAGAAGAAGGAATTTTCAATAGTCCAACTTGTCAAGCGAAGACCATCTTTTAACCTTCAACAGCAGCGAAAGCCGTGTGAACTCTTGGTGAACCAAGACTGAAGTCATAAATCACTCGTACAAAGGCGGCTGCGGAGGCTGGCGCGGGCTGCTGCACCTTTAACGCTTTCTGGCGCTGACAGGCGGCGGCCCAGCTAAAGTTCACAGCGCCCGGGGAGGGCCCGCCTCCGCCTCCCCTCCCGCCCCCGCCTCCCCTCCCCCAGGCCGGCCCCGGCCCCCGGCCCCGGACAGGCCCGCCGCGCGGCCGCTTGAGCTGCGAGCTGAGGAGGCCCGTTGGCTGTTCCCGCAAAGAGTGGGGGGCGCATTTTCTCTCCTGCCAGCCCGCTCCATCCTGGTCGTTTATTCCCGGCCTTCCCTCACCCCCCACCCCCACAGCCTGCTGTACGTAAATAGGCAAATAGATCTACAGGGACACAATAATTTAGCTTGGTTGGTCTTTGGCATTTTCTACAAGACCCCAAGAGATGGACTTTCCTCTCCCCTTCCTCCTTTTAGAAATGGCATCCTTCATCTCTGTCTAGGCAGGCCCAATTATCCAGATCCTCGGGGCTCCAATAGGGTCTGAGTCATTGGAACCAGGAACACCTGGCTGAAACATGCCACATAATTAGATTTTCTTTTTCTTTACCTTTTCTTTCTTATTTTTATAAGAGGCCCGGAATTAGCCTCTTCGACTGGGGCGGAGTAGCTGGGGTGTGAGAAAAGAACACCTTCATACAACTTCCAGCTTTCAGCCCCTTGGAGAGATTTCCAAATTCCCCGGAGCTTCTAGGACTTCCTTTCCTCGATCTCTCGGCCACCTCCTCCTCCTTCTCCGATCTTTTTTTTTTCCCTCCTCCCACTGTCTTCTCTACGGTTTAATCAAAGTTCAGCTACTCCACTTGCCTCTCCTCTCATTTCTTTCGGAAAGGGGAAACCAGACGACCCAGCGGCCACGGGACGAGTCACCCCAACTCAACCCCAGCAGGACGCTGGAGGGGCCTCCCTTGCCCACCTCTCTTCGCTAGCACTGGCCTCCCGCACCTGGGTCTGCAGTCCCTCCGCCATCTCACAAGTGTGCAGCCGCTAGGCCTGGGGGATCCGAATGACTGGGGCTGGATAGGAATGCCTTCGTGTTTCCCAAGACCCCCGGGCCTGCTCCACAAAGTTTGAAGGGTGGGTACACCCCGACCCAGGCAAGTTACTCCCCCAAACCCATGACTGACTAATCTGATATGACAAAAGCCCATGATGGATTTGGTATATGTTAATTCACAATGCCCTTTCCTCCAGAATTTAACTATAAGTTAATACACACCGGAAACCATGCGCATACACTCTCCTTAATGGGCTTAGTAATGTATTAGTGAGTCCTAACGATGCATACAAATGTGCTCTGCGCTCTGTAGACCCCTCAAGATTTATGGGCCTTGAGCTCTCTGAAGCTGTAAACAAGGAGAAAAAAAAAAGAGAAAGCGAAAGCGACTGGGGGGAAGAGACAGAGGCCTGACTCGCCCCTCCAGGTTTTGGAGAGAAGGGATTCTTTATGTATTTTCCTTTCCTTGCAAGCTCGGTGCGTGTGGGTTTTGGCGTTGGTCTGGGGGTGGTGTTCTGCCTGAATGCTGGTGTGCGTGGGCAGTGTGTTGTTTGCGTGCTGGGGTAGGATGCCTGCCTCTTCGGATTGCTGTGCAGGGGCCTGAACACAGCAGGCATTTGTGAGCATATATGCGTGAGTGTGCACTGTGTTAGGGTGTGTGTGTGTATGTGTGTGTGTGTGTGTGTGTGTGTGAGAGAGAGACAGACAGGGAGAGGCAGGCTTCCCCCTGGGCCAGGCTGCTGTCCCTTGAACGGTGGTGAACAAATCTCTAACGACAATCTTAATAACAATAAATAATGAATAATAATAATAAAACAGTAGTTAACAGTCCCTGCATAACAGAATAACAATAAAATGCAAGAGGAAATATTTTGAGGTGGAGACAGAAGGAGTCAGGATCACAGCATCTGAGGGGGAGATAGGAAAGGAAGGGAGGAAGAAAGCTTCTTAATATGCTCTTGGTGGGGCTGGGGTTGGGAACCCCTTTCCCAGACAAGGGATGGAAGAGGAGAAGGAGAGCCAGGAGGCCACTCTTTATTGCTTTTTTTCTCAGGCTTCTGCTTTGTGTGATCAGGGAAGGGATCCCACATATGGGAATGGTTAATGGATTTTGGGACTCTCTAGGAGCCCCTGTTTTAAGAAGGAGGCCAAATGTGCAGGCTCAGGCCAAGCAGCAGAGATGAATGAGGTGATGACCACAGCCTTGATCCGGCAGGAGCTCAGAGATGCCCGGGAAGACGGGGGGCCCGAATGGAAGCAGAAAAACACTTATGGCCGCTGGGAAGTTGGGAGAGCCAGGCTGGGGCTCCGGCAGGCCCAGGGAAAGTTCCCTTTCTAGGCTCTTTATTAAAAAATTTAAAAGGAGGAGTTGAGGCGCCTTGAATTTTCCTTCGCGAGTTTGGAGACCAGCCGATTTTTCATGAAGCAAGCAAGGGCCGCGGTCCCGGATCCTGCAACATATACCTCATTTTCTCCAGGTACAGTTTTCTGGTCATTTAATTCGTTTGTTTTCTTGGGGGAGATGGGAATCACAGGCGTAGAGATAGTAAGTTTGCTAGAGAGGAAGCCACCCCACAGTTTCGGGTCTAACGAAATCCCTCCTTTAAAAACATTTGTACCCCCAATAAAAATAAAATTAAAGAGGAATATAGAAACACAAATTAGCCAACTTTTTTAAAACAGAAAAAAGAAAAGAAAATCATCGTAACAGATGAGCGTGAGAACTTCTAAAAAATTTGTCACGAACCCTTTCAGAGGTCTGGATTCTTTTTCAGTAGCCGGTGACCCATTTGGTCTGAAAAGAGAAATACACTATCCACTGAGTCACTTATTTAAAGCCAGCACACACACACACACACACACACACACGCATTCAGAAAGCCCTGGGTGCCCTCGCATTTGAAAACAACACCGGGTGGAGGACGCTGCGATACCTAATTGGACAAAACAGCAATAAAATAAGACCAGTGGAAGTGCTGAGCACAGGGCGCAGGGCTAGGGCCCAGGTTTTGTGTTCCAGGCTGCCGGCGAGGCAGCGGCCCCGGGAGATGGGGCGCCGGGCGGTCAGGCACCGGCTGGCGACTCTGCTCGGCCTCCGCAGCCCGGCCTGCAGCCCCTTTCCCCCAGCCTCTGGGCCTCGTGGGCTCTCTCCGCTCCGACGCCTGTTCGGGGCTTCCCTGTTGAGAGGGTTTTAGGCCGAAGGGCCGAACGACTCAAGCCAGACTCTGCTTTTTCATTTTTCTCCCTTAGGCCTCTCCACTTGCCCGAGCTCTCAGCCACCAGGAGACAGACGGAAGGGGCTTCTGGGCTGTGTTGGGAGCGGGCATTGTCCCCTACCCACTCCTGCACAGTTTCCCAAAGTCCAGCGACCTCCGACCCTCCTTGGGGAAAAAAATACCAGTACCCAGACACCTCTGCACCCTGTTATATGACTGGGCTTGCTTCAGGAATATCTTACAAAGAAGAAGAAGGAGGAGGAACGGCTTGGAGTCATGTTTACATCTAGTTCTACTGATCCGTTCACATCTGGAGAGTTTATTTATAACTCCCTCTATAACTCTCTGTTTGGAGGCACTGGTGGCTCTACTGACAGACTGATGTCTAGGAAATATTGCTCTATGTCTAATGGTACCTAAATGTGCTGTGGTTGTATTTACAGATTTACGTTTGAGGGAAATATAATTATTTCCATTGTATTTGTGCATATACAGTAGTTATAGGAGCAGATTTATATATGGGAAAATATGCGACTCCCTTACAGCCATCCGGCTTTATGTACATTTGATATCCTGACAGATTTATATCTCTGAAGAGCTATATAGATTAAAACGTATATTGTTAGAATTATGTATCAGGAGATATATACTTATTGATTGCGAAATAGAGTAGTTAGAGCATTCACTTAGAGCCATATATGGCTATGGAGATATTTCTATATTATTATCACTATATATAGGCATATCTATTTATAACTGCATAGTTATAAAAATAGACATAAGTAATTATAGTCCTATATGTGCATGCTGCAATCTCTCTCTAGAGTTATAGACACTTTCAAATATAACTCTATAGAGAGATCTGTATGTATATAAGGTGTAATTATCTAGTGATGTGTTTACGTTGGGACTTAGGCCCGTCTCTCTAGAACAGACACATTTATATGTAGGGGCTGGGAGAGACTTATTCACAGATATCTGCAGAGGGCCAACTGGAAACACTGTATCTACCCTCTAGGAAACCAGCTAGAAGAGTTGTGTACTTATGGAGGGATGGAGTTACAAAAGGGTAAATAGAGCTCAGGGAGCCTTAAGGAGGGGAGGTGAATGGAGGGTGGGTGGGCTCGGTTTGAACAGATAGTGGGAGGAAAGGGGTAAACACCAGCACCCACCAGAAGGCGAGAACCAGTTTTGTGAGGGGCTGGTGCAGATGACTGTGGACAAGGAGCTTGTAAAATGAGAAGCGGCTAACAGTCCTGCCACCTCACCCTGAGACACTCTCCACCGAGGAAGCAGACTTCAGTTTGGCTTTTAGTGCACTGTAGGATAGGGACTGTCGTGTCACTCCTGTAGTCCTAGAGCGTTTCTCTTGAACCCTAATTTTTAGGTCTCAAAGAGTGGGCTTCAGAGATAAAGAGGTTTAGGCAGGGACAGGGCGAGGAGCGTGGGGTGTACTTTCGCTTTCCAACAAGTAAGGTAATCCAGGAAAGTGAGTTAATTTGGCCAAATAAAGCTTGTTTTTATGTGGGCCTCCTGTGCCCTGGTGGGGATGTAGGATGGGACCAGAATCTGGTGGACTGAGGAGTGAATTTCCAAGTATTGGGCCTGCTCTGATGGGGGCTTGGGGAGGTTGTCCTCACCACCCGCCCTCCTTCTCTGAGGCCTGAGTGGCCTAATTCCCTCTGGGTACAGAGGGACTCCTTCAGCTCCCTAACAGTGCTGCCCTGGGTCTTTTCAGGGAGAATTTGACTTTAGGAACAGGGAACATGGACTTACCCCACTAGATCTCACTTCTCCTACTCACAGCTACACCACTCTTACGTCAGCCTCCTTCCAGGCGCCACTCGGCGAGGGGTCCACAGTTCTTCCCCTGCTACCAACCAGCCCAGTGGGGAAATACCTCCCACGACTGCCAGTTTTTGTGTTTGTGTGTGTGTGTGTGTGTGTGTGTGTGTGTGTGTGTGTGTGTGTTTTAACCAGGAAGTTACAGATAACTTCATTAACTGCGTGAAGGAATTGTCCTGAACTCAGTCTCTGTGGCCAACCTAGCCTCCAGGATCTCTAGGATGCTAGGAAGGGAGTGGAGACCCCTGGACCAGGCTAACCACCATGTGCCATCCTCCACACACCCCTGCCCACAGGACTAGGAATTCCTGCAGTGCAGGGACTCTGTCTGCTGCCTGGCACAGAATGGTTGCCCAAACATACTTCTTGAGGTAAACGGAATGGCAGTCAATACAAAAACTCACCCTCACTCTGCACACCACCATAGCCACTGCTGGCTAGCAGGCACCCTAGCCAGGCTAGGAGATAACATGGTGGCTGGCAGCAGCTTGGGCTTTGACCGGACCAGTGGTTAGTAGCGTGGGAGAGCATCCTGAGTCTAGGATGGGGCAGGGACTGGAGCAAGGCACCTGGAATCCAGAAATTTGGGGGTAAGCCAAGGCAGACCCACCGCCCCAGTGCACTTCTGCTTTCTATCTCCAGTCTCATGGCTCCCTGGACCCCCAAAAGTTATGAAAACTAAACCAGAGCTGAGAACTGGGCTAGGATGGAATTGCCTGTCAACCCGAGGGATGCAAAGAGGAACCACCGTTGGGTCCATTAAGAAATCCACAAATAAAATAAAAATAAATCAGTGTGACACAGACAACCTGGCTGAAGGAAAGGTTTCTCTCTACGCCTCAGCCCTGCTCCAGGGCTACCAAACAGATCAGGCTTAATATTTAAAATGTTTAATAGTTAAAATTTTTTAACAATTTAACTTTAAAAAGGTCACACATTTTCTGATCCAGCAATGCCCCAATCAGATTGTTTCATTTTATTATTATTATCAACACTGTCCCCTTTTTGGCACCTGTAAAATAGTTCCTTTCGGGAGTTTGGAGCCAGGCCAGGCACCGTCGGTGCATGGGATGAGATGGGCAGGTTTGGAGCTCCTCTGTCTAGTGAGGATCACGGTCTGCAGAGAAGGGTTGGCCTCCCCGTCTCCTATCAAGGCTTAAAGCAAGGAGAACCATCCCAAATTTAGTTCCTTTTCCCCTAAGTATCCTTAGAGGCAATCCACCCTGTGACTAGGTGACTAGGTGAAGGACTGAGGTCCAGAAAGGAGCTATCTTAAACCTGGAATCCCATTTCCTAGTCTGCAGCCTTAAGCAGTTACCCTCTCAGACAACTAGCCCTCTCCTTCCTCCGCATGAAAACCCATGGCTTACAGGGATGGTTGTTGCTTTCCCTAAAGAAATTCAGGAAGGGAGATGTGAGGGTCAGTTCTCAGCGGTGGCGTTCTTTAAAGGGGACGCAGCCTGACTGCCAGGAGGGGAGAACGAGTCGGCCCAGCCAATGCGCATGCGCGAAGCACAAGCGGTTTCTCCCGTCACAGTGGTTCCCACGGTTGTCTTAGAAACCAGTCCCCGAGGCTTGGCAAAGGGGGAGACTTCCGTGGCAGTGCTTGGGTGTCAAGGCTCTGAGGCTCCGGCCTGACGGCTCCACTGGGTCGAGGGGAAAGTCTCCGGATGCCAAGAGTCACAAAGGGCCGAACAGGGTGAGGAAACCCGACGCAGAGTCCGGAGAAGGCAGCATGGAATCCCTCCCTCAGGCCTCTCTGGACGGTGTTGGTGGGGGTGAGTCTCCCCAAAAGTCGTGACGCGGTGATCTCGAGGACAGGACGGCCTGCGTGCCCCTGGGGTGCTCTCTCACCGAAGGGTCGTTCTCGTCGAAAGCAGAACCCCACAGCCTCAGGGGTTGCCTGGGTGTGTGTCTTTCAATGCCTTTGCTATAAGACTCTGTGTGTGTGTCTGTGTGTGTATGTGTGTGTGTGTCTCCCATTCTCTCTTCTCTCTCTGTCTCTCAGTCTCTGTGTGTTTCTTTCCCTCTCTCTGTCAGTTTGTGTGTGTGTGCCCGTGTGCGTGTGTGTCCTTGGCCGAATGTGCCCTGTGCACCACAAAGCTGTTTCTCGCATGGCGGCCTGTCTTTGGTGAGCCTGTTTCTGCCTCTCTGCCTGGGTCATGAGACCGGTTGTCAATCCTTTTCGCCGACGCGTTTCCGCTTTGGGTGTGTGAAGGCCTGGCCCACGTGAGGAGATTCTTCGGTCCCGGAGCAATTGAAATATCCCCATCCTGAGCGGTCTCTTTTCTAGGATCAAGATGAACACACTGCAGACGAGGACACGAGCCCCACAGGAGCTCTTTGTCCCGCCGGAGACCAGCGGACCCACGTCAGAGAAGATGCTTGTATCTTTTCACGGCTCTTCTCTGAGAAATGAAGCCACACCACAATACGGTCTGGAAGAGGAAGCCGGGAATGGGAGATGGCAACAGTCCCTGTCACTGGAATGCTGGCCTCTCTGGACAAGCCACCCTTTTGGAACCCCATCCCTTATGACCCTGGCAGTGGAACGGTGATATATCCCGCCTGGCCGCCGGCGTCTGCCCTGTCCTCCCTCCTGCTCTGCCTCACCTGTTTCTCAAGTGCCTCAATGCCTCTCGCTGACGCCCAATGTCTTCAACAAAGATGACTTCCCAGTCCGTCAGGGAGACATTTCTTCGAGATCCGTGTCGTGATTGTTTCTCTCTCCAAACCTGTTTCTGCTTGATTGGGCAGGTCGCATGACCTGGGAGCTCCTGGCTTCCATTCGTGTCTCAGGCAGGGAAGCTTCCTTCTTCTCCACGTTTCCCCTCATGGTGGGTGGATTGCCTAGAATGAGCGCTAGGCGACCATGACTGGCCTTGTCTTCCAGGAAAGGTAGTGTCGCATTTCCTCTGCACTTCCTGTCTCATTCATGAGGGACATCCTCTCCTCTGCTCCTGGGTGGACTGACTCCCTTGATCTTCTGGCTGAAACGAATGTAAGGGAACCAAAGGGACTGGGCTGGGGCTGGGGCTGGGGCTGGGGCTGTGGCTGGGCGCAGCCTAAGTTGCGTCAGGGCTACCAGGGCGGTGGAGGGTTGGGGGTGGGGCGAATTTTGCAGAAACCTCTTTGCTCCTCTGGTAGGCATGTGAAAACGTGGCTTGGGTCAGGCACAGGACCCCCACCCCCCGGGTCCTAGGTGTTCTTCGATTTTCCCTGGCATTGATGGAAAGGTCAACTGTTTCCCCATTCAACCGGCACATGCCTGGACACCACCCTTTGTTTCGCCGTCGCCCCGTATGCCTCCGGTGACACACATTAACACCAACTGCTGTGGGATAGGCCAGTGCCACGCGTGGTCACATGGTCTCCACCTCGGATTCGCCCCTGTTCCTCTATGCAGGTGTCCTGTAAAGCGCGGTGGGCTTTCCGGAACCCCAGGGCTTTTAGAAGCGGGGCAGGCCACTGCTCTTTCAAAGGAGGAGGGAGGCAGAGGGCTGATGGATAAGTGAATTTGCAGCTGACACTAGGCCTTGAGACCTATGGGATCATTCTGCACTGCAGCGAGGCCCTGCCTGCCTCACCAGATGTGGTGAGCCCATCCTATTTCACTCGAAGGGGGCCAAAATTGGATCTGAACAGGAGGACGGAGAACACAGCAGGCGTCCTGAAGCTCCCCCTCCCTCAGTGGAAGTCGGCTCAAGCAGGTCCTGAGGTGAGGACTCCTCGGGGTTTGGCCCTGGGACAGGAGAAGACACCCACGGCCCCCTCTCCCACGCCGCCCCAAACTGGACCCCGGATCTAGCCGCCGCCGCGGGGCTAGCAGGAGCCTCGCTGCTGCCACGCTCAGATGTGGCAGTATTTAAAGGGGACCCAGCCTGACTGCCAGGAGCGGAGCGCGAGTCGGCTCAGCCAATGCACATGCGCGAGGCGGGAGCGGCTTCTCCAGTCACAGTGGTTCCCACGGTTGTCTTAGAAACCAGTCACCGAGGCTTGGCGAAGAAGGAGCCCTCCGTGGCAGTACTTGGGTTTCGGGGCTCTGAGGCTCCGGCCTAACGTCTTCTTGGGGTCAACGGGAATGTCCCCAGATGCCAGGAGTCGCAAAAGGCCGACTACCATGAGGAAAGCCCAGCGGAGACGGGGGAAGCAGCACGGGATCCCAGCCTCAGGCCTGACCGGACGGTGTTGGTTGGGGTGAGTCTCCCCAAAAGTCATGCCTCCGTCAGTGATCTCTACGACAGGTCAGCCTGCATGCCCCTGGGCTGCTCTCTCACCCGAGGGTCCTTCTCGTAGAGAGCAGAACATCACAGCCTCAGGGATTGCTTGGGGGTGTGTTTTTCAATGCCCTCCTCCTTAGAAAGAGCAGTGGCCTGCCCTGCTTCTAAAAGCCCTGGGGCTCCGGAAAGCCGACAGTGCTTTACAGGACACCTGCAAAGAGGAACAGGGGCAAATCCGAGGCGGAGACCATATGACTACGCGTGGCACTGGCCTATCCCACAGCAGTTGGTGTTAATGCGTGTCACTGGAGGCATACGGGGAGACGGCGAAACAAAGGGTGGTGTCCAGGAACATGCCGGTGGAAGGGGGAAACGGGTGACCTTTCCATCAATACCAAGGAAAATCGAAAAACACGTGGGACACGCGGGGTGTGGGGAGGGGGGGCCTGTGCCGGACCCAAGCTACGTTTTCAAATGCCTACCAGAGGAGCATAGAGGTTTCTGCAAAATTCGCCCCACCCCAAACCGTCCAAGGCCCTGGCAGCCCTGACACAACTTTGGCTGCACCGAGCCCCAGGACCAGCCCCCAACCCTAGACCAGTCCCTTGGGTTCCCTGACATTCTTTTCTGCCAGATGATCAAGGGCTTCAGTTCACCCAGGAGCAGAGGAGAGGATGTCCCTCAAGAATGAGACAGGAAGTGCAGAGGAAATGCGACACCACCTGTCCTGGAAGTCAAGGCCAGTCACGTTCGCCTAGCGCTCATTCTAGGCAATCCAACCACCCATGAGGGGAAACGTGGAGAAGAAGGAAGCTTCCCTGCCTGAGACACCTAAGGAAGCCAAGAGTTCCCGGGTCATGAGACCAGCCCAATCAAGCAGAAACAGGTTTGGAGAGAGAAACAATCACGACACGGATCTCGAAGAAATGTCTCCCTGACGGACTGGGAAGCCATCTTTGTTGAAGGCATTTGGCCAGAGCTAGAGGCATCCAGGCCCCTGAGAAACAGGGGAGGCAGAGCAAGACGGAGGACAGAGCAGAGGCCGGAGCCCAGGCAGGATACAGCACCGTGCCACCGCCAAGGGCATAAGGGGTGGGGTTCCAAAAGGGTGGCTTGTCCAGGGAGGCCAGCGTTCTAGGGACAGGGATTGTTGCCATCTCTCATTCCCGGTTTCCTCTTGCTGACTGTATCGTGGTGTGGCTTCATTTCTCAGAGAAGAGCCGTGAAAAGACTCAAGCATCTTCTCTGACGTGGGTCCGCTGCTCTCCTGTAGGACAAAGAGCTCCTGTGGGATTCTTCTCCTCGTCTGCAGTGTGTTCGTTTTGATGCTAGAAAAGAGGCCGCTCAGGATGGGGATGAGACTTCAATTGCTCCGACGCATCTCCTCACGTGGGCCAGGCCTTCACAGAGCCAAAGCGGATCCACAGCAGCAAAAACGATTGACAACCGGCCTCATGACCCAGGCAGAGAGCAGAAAGAGGCTCAACAAAGACAGGCCGCCATGCGAAAAACCGCTTTGTGGCACACAGGGCACCTCCAGCCAAAAACACACACGCACACGGGCATGCACACACAAACCCACAGAGAGAGGGAAAGAAGCACACAGAGACTGAGAGAGGGAGAGAGAAGAGAGAATGGGAGACACACACATACACACACACACAGAGTCATACAGCAGAGGAATTGAAACACACACCACCAGGCAATCCCTGAGGCTGCGGAGTACTCCTCACGACAAGAACGACCCTCGGGTGAGAGAGCAGCCCAGGGTCACGCAGGCCGACCTGTCCTCGAGATCTCGGATGGCGGCACGACTTTTGGGGAGACCCACCCAACCAACACCATCCGGGCAGGCCTGAGGCTGGGATCCTGTGCTGCTTCCGCCGTACCCCCCTGGGGCTTCCTCATCCTGGTCGGCCCTTTGTGACTCCTGGAATCCGGAGACGTTCACGTCGACCCCGTGGAGAGGTCAGGCCGGAGCCTCACAGCCCCGACACCCAAGCACTGCCACGGAGGGCTCCTGCTTTGCCAAGCCTCGGGGACTGGTTTCTAAGACAACCGAAGGAACCACTGTGAAGGGAGAAGCCACTAGAGCCTCGCGCATGCGCATTGGCTGGGACGACTCGCGCTCAGCTCCTGGCAGTCAGGCTACGTCCCCTTTAAATATCGCCACTGTCGCCTGGCGGCCGCGATGCTCCTGCTGCCGCCATGGCGGCAGCTGGATCCTGGGTCCTGTTTGGGGTGGCGTGGGAGAGGGGGCCGCAGGAGTCTCGTCCTTTCCCAGGCCCAAACCCCCAGGGGTCCTGTCCTCAGGACCTGCTTGAGCCCACTTCCACCGATGGAGGGATGGAGGGGGAGCTTCAGGACTCCTGCTGTGTTCTCCGGACTCCCGTTGAGATCCGATTTTGGCCCCCTCCGAGTGAGATAGGATGGGCTCACAAAAACTGGTGAGGCCGGCAGGGCCTCGCTGCAGCACAGAATGATCTCATAATTCTCAAGGCCTAGAGACAGCTGAAAATTCACTGATCCATCAGCCCTCTGCCTCCCTCCTCCTTTGAAAGAGCAGTGGCCTGCCCCACTGCTAAAGGCCCTGGGGTTCCAGAAAGCCGACCACGCTTTACACCACACCTGCAAAGAGGAAAACAGGCGAATCCGAGGGGGAGACCATGTGACCACGCGTGGCACTGGCCAATCCCACAGCAGTTGGTGTGAATGCGTCTCACCGGAGGCATACGGGGCGACGGCGAAACAAAGGGTGGGGTCCAGGCATGTGCCAGTGGAAGGGGGAAACGGGTGACCTTTCCATCAATGCCAAGGAAAATCAAAGAACACCTGGGACCCGGGGGTGGGGGGCCGCCTGTGCCTGACCCAAGCCACGTTTTCAAATGTCTACCGGAGGAGCAAAGAGGTTTCTGCAAAATTCGCAACACCCCCAATCCTCCACCGACCTGGTAGCCCTGACGCAACTTCGGCTGGCACAAACCCACAGAGAGTGGGAAAGAAACACACAGAGACTGAGAGACAGAGAGAGAAGAGAGAATGGGAGACACACACACACACACGCAGAGTCATACAGCAGAGGCATTGAAACACACACCCCCAGGCAACCCCTGAGGCTGCGGGGTTCTGCTCTGGAGGAGAACGACCCTCGGGTGAGAGAGCAGCCCAGGGGCACGCAGGCCGACCCGTCCTCGAGATCACGGACGGCGGCACGACTTTTAGGGAGACTCACCCCAACCAACACCGTCCGTGCAGGCCTGAGGCTGGGATCCCGTGCTGCTTCCCCCGTCTCTGCCTGGGGTTTCATCATCATGGTCGGCCCTTTGCGACTCCTGGCATCCGGAGACGTTCCCTTCGACCCCGTGGAGAGGTGAGGCCGGAGCCTCAGAGCCTCGACACCCAAGCACTGCCACCGAGGGCTCCTGCTCTGCCAAGCCTCGGGGTCTGGTTTCTAAGACAACCGTGGGAACCACTGTGACGGGAGAAACCGCTCGCGCCTCGCGCATGCGCATTGGCTGAGCCGACTCGCGCTCCGCTCCTGACAGATAGGCTGCGTCCCCTTTAAATATCGCTGCCGCCGCGGCGGCGGCTGGATCCTGGGTCCTGTTTGGGGCGGCGTGGGAGAGGGGGCCGCGGGTGTCTCGTCCTGTCCCAGGCCCAAACCCCCAGGGGTCCTGTCCTCAGGATCTGCTTGAGCCGACTTCCACCGAGGGAGGGGGAGCTTCAGGACGCCTGCTGTGTTCTCCGGACTCCCGTTGAGATCCGATTCTGGCCCCCTCCCACTGAGATAGGATGGGCTCACCACATCTGGAGAGGCCGGCAGGGCCTCGCTGCAGCACACAATGATCCCATAGGTCTCAAGGCCTAGCGTCAGCTGCAAATTCACTGATCCATCAGCCCTCTGCCTCCCACCTCCTTTGAAATATCAGTGGCTTGCCCCGCTTCTAAAAGCCCAGGGGCTCCGGAAAGCCGACCGCGCTTTACAGGACACGTGCCACCAGGAACAGGGGCGAATCCGAGGTGGAGACCGTGTGACCACGCGTGGCACTGGCCTACCCCACAGCAGATGGTGTGGATGTGTGTCGCCGGAGGCATACGGGGCGACGGCGAAACAAAGGGTGGTGTCCAGGCATGTGCTGGTGGAAGGGGGAAACGAGTGACCTTTCCATCAATGCCAAGGAAAGTCGAAGAACACCTGGGGCTCGGGGGGTGCGGGTCGAGATGGGGGGCTGTGCCTGACCCAAGCCACGTTTTCACATGCCTACCAGAGGAGCAAAGAGGTTTTGGCAAAAATTGCCCCACCCCCAAGCCTCCATCGCCCTGGTAGCCCTGACGCAACTTCGGCTGCACCCAGCCCCAGCCCCATCCCCAGCCCCAGCCCCAGCCCAGTCCCTTTGGTTTCCTGACATTTGTTTCGTCCAGAAGATCAAGGGAGTCAGGCCACCCAGGAGCAGAGGAGAGGATGTCCCTCAAGAATGAGACAGGAAGTGCAAAGGAAATGGGACACCACCTGTCCTGGAAGTCAAGGCCAGTCACGGTCGCCTAGCGCTCATTCTAGGCAATCCACCCACCCATGAGGGGAAACGTGGGGAAGAAGGAAGCTTCCCTGCCTGAGACACGTATGGAAGCCAAGAGCTCTCGGCTCATGATACCTGCCCAATTAAGCAGAAACACGTTTGGAGAGAGAAACGATCATGACACGGATCTCCAGGAAGTGTCTCCCTGACGGACTGGGAAGTCATCTTTTTTGAAGGCATTTGGCCAGAGCGAGAGGCATCCAGGCCCCTGAGAAACAGGGGAGGCAGAGCCAGAGGGAGGAGAGAGTAGAGGCCAGAGCCCAGGCAGGATACAGCACCGTGCCACCGCCACAGACATAAGGGGTGGGGTTCCTAAAGGGTGGCTTGTCCAGGGAGGCCAGCGTTCCAGTGACAGGGACTGTTGCCATCTCCCATTCCCGGCTTCCTCTTGCTGACTGTATCGTGGTGTGGCTTCATTTCTCAGAGAAGAGCCGTGAAAAGATACAAGCATCTTCTCTGGCGTGGATCCGCTGCTCTCCTGTGGGACAAAGAGTTCCTCTGGGGCTCTTGTTCTCGGCTGCAGTGTACTCATCTTGATCCTAGAAAAGAGGCCACTCAGGATGGGGATGAGATTTCAGTTGCTCCGGGAGCGACGCATCTCCTCACGTGGGCCAGGCTTTCAGGCACCCAAAGCGGATCCGCCGCGGCGAAAACGATTGACAGCCGGCCTCATGACCCAGGTAGAGACGCAGAAAGAGGCTCACCAAAGACAGGCCGCCATGCGACAAACCGCTTTGTGGCGCACAGGGCACATTCGGCCAAAGACACACACGCACACGGGCATACACACACAAACCCACAGAGAGAGGGAAAGAAACACACAGAGACTGAGAGACAGAGAGAGAAGAGAGACTGGGAGACACACACACAGACACACACACACACACTCACACACACACACACACACACACAGAGACACACACACAGCGTCATACAGCAGAGGCATTGAAACACACACCACCAGGCAACCCCTGAGGCTGCGGGGTTCTGCTCACGACGAGAACGACCCTCGGGTGAGAGAGCAGCCCAGGGGCACGCAGGCCGACCTGTCCTCGAGATCACGGATGGCGGCACGACTTTTGGGGAGACTCACCCCAACCAACACCGTCCGGGCAGGCCTGAGGCTGGGATCCCGTGCTGCTTCCCCCGTCCCAGCCTGGGGTTTCCTCATCGTGGTCGGCCCTTTGCGACTCCTGGCATCCGGAGACGTTCCCGTCGACCCCGTGGAGAGGTGAGGCCGGATCCTCAGAGCCCCGACACCCAAGCACTGCCACAGAGGGCTCCTGCTTTGCCAAGCCTCGGGGACTGGTTTCTAAGACAACCATGGGAACCACTGTGACGGGAGAAACCGCTCCCGCCTCGCGCATGCGCATTGGCTGAGCCGACTCGCGCTCCGCTCCTGGCAGTATGGCTGCGTCCCCTTTAAATACCGCCACCGCCGCGCGGCGGCAGCGAGGTTCCTCCTGCCGCCACGGCGGCGGCTGGATCCGGGGTCCAGTTTGGGGCGGCGTGGGAGAGGGGGCCGCGGGTGTCTTGTCCTGTCCCAGGGCCAAACCCCTAGGAGTCCTGTCCTCAGGACCTCCTTGAGCCGACTTCCACGGAGGGAGGTGGAGCTTCAAGATGCCTGCTGTGTTCTCCAGACTCCCGTTCAGATCCGATTTTGGACCCCTCCGAGTGAGATAGGATAGGCTCACCACATCTGGTGAGGCAGGCAGGGCCTTGCTGCAACACAGAATGATCCCGTAGGTCTCAAGGCCTACTTGTACTGTTGTACATAATGTATATAATTGACTTTTATTCACTCGACAAAATTTCCTAAAAATACATCCAAATGATTGCATTAATTAATATTTTGTTCCTTTGATGACTGAGTAGTATTTCATGGTTTCTGGTATAAATTCACCACAAATTAAACATTCACCTGGGCTTATTGACCTTTTCAACTGTAACAAATTAAGCTGTTGTAGACATTCGTGAACAAGTTTTTGTGGGACCACAGTTTCATCACTCCAAATTAAACACCCACAACTGCAATTGCTGGGATCTATGGTCTATGCATATCTGGTTTTTATTTTACTTTAAAAAATTTTTAATTATTTTCTTAAAATTTTATGGGTACACTGAGTGCCCACAGAAGCTAGTAAGGATACTGGGGCATTGGAGAGGAGGTAGAGAAGGTTAATCAGCACACACAGAAAAAAAATGTGGAAAGAATGAATAACATATCTGTCTTTTTAAAAAACTGTCAGCTATTTTTCAGAGTGGCTCTATTATTTTACTTTTCCACTAGCAACTTATGAGTGATCGTATTTTTTACATCCTGAATAGCTTTTGCTATTGTCACAATTTTTAAAAGTCATTTTGATAGGTGTGTAGAAATATCTCACTATGGTTTTATTTGACATGTCCATGATGATTAATAATATTGAACATGTTTCATGGATTATTTGACATCTGAATATTTTTCTTGTTAAAACGTCCATTGATGTCTTTTGTCCATTACCTAATTGGATCATTTGCATTTTTTAAAAAATTTGCTGTTGTGTTTTGTGTCATCTCTATTTATTTTTGTCGGTTTTGATAGATGTTTATCAATTGATTGATTTTTTCAATAAACCAGCTTTTTGTTTCACATTTTTTTCTGTTTTCAATTTCATGAATTTTTGTTATTGTGATGATTATTTTTCTTCTTCTGCCTGCTTTCAGTTTACTCTGTTCTTTTTCTAGTTTCTTGAGATACAAGTGTAAGTTATTGATTTGAGATCTTTTCTTATTTTTAATGAAGCATTTAGTACTATAAATTTCTTTCCCACCACAGCCTTAGCTGTATTTCCTATATTTTGATATGTTGTATTTTCTTTCATTTGTTGAAATATATTTTTAGATTTTTATTTAAGACTTTATATTTAATCCATAGATCATTTGGAACTGTGTTGCATAATTGAAATGCATTTAAACATTTTCCTGCTCTCTTTCTGTTACTGACTTTTATTTTAATTCCACTATGGTCAGAGAACATACTCTATATGACATAAATTCTTTTAAATGTATCAGGGTTTGTTTTATGGTGCAAGAAATCATCTAGTATTTTAGTTAATATTTCATGAGCTCCTGAAAAACTGTATATTCTGCTGTTTTTTGTGGACTGATTCTATATTTAGAGAGAGATATATATATAATTGACATATATTTATCTGTATATGTGTGTCTGTGTGTGTGTGTGTGTGAGTTTGTGTGTGTGAATAAAATCTTGTTGGTTGATTGTGCTGTACAGATCTTCTACATGCTTGCTGATTGTCAAATTTTTGTCCAATAATTCTATCAATTGCTGAGATAAGGCTGTTAAAACCCACAACTATAATTTATTATTTTTTAGTTCTATAATTTTTCTCTTCATGTTGTTTAAGACTTTGTTATTTGGTGCATATATATTTGGAATTGTTATGTTTACTGGTGAATTGATCCATTTATTATTAGTGTTGCAGTCTCCTCACTCCTTAATTTAGTGAGGTCCAAGATCTTGTCCCACAACCAAGAGAATAAGGCACACAAATACCAGAGAGTGAGTAAGGCAAATTAACATTCATTAAGCAACAGAAAAGCTCTCAGCAGCAAGAGTGGACCCAAACAAGGGTTGCCAGAAATGGGGCTGAGTTCTGATCCCTTTATGTGACAGAAACAAGGAAGTCCTTTGTGGGTCCTGCCTTAATGGAAGGGGTAAAATTCCCTGCTGGGAGTGTTCTGTCTGTGCATACCTAGGTTTGGCAGCAGTGACTCCATCTTGATTATTAGTCATAAGTGCCTAAGCAAAATTCATGGGGGCACCAAAACTGCAATGCTAATGATATTACAATTAGCTCTGGGTCAAGTTAAGGACATTTAGTTGATTTATTGAAACATAATTGGGACAGTCCCTTCTGAGAGACATCTTGGTATAAGAGGAAGTTGTTAACCACATTTCCACATTCTAGCTACACCACAAAGGTAGTGCAGGTGCATTCCCATGGGTGCTGTCTTTCTCCCAAGACCCTTCCTCTCTATCTGCCTAGCCAGCCTCTAACTGCCTCCTCTGTTGTTAGTAATGTTCTTTGTAAGATTTTTTGAATCTAACTTCTAGATTATCAGATATTAATATAGCCACTTTTGCCCTTTTATTGATAAATATTTCCATGGTATGTATTTTTATATTATTTTACTTTCAACATACTGATACTATTGAATTAAAGTGTATTTCTTACTATAGCAATAGTTAAGGTTGCATTTTTTAATTTATTCAGCTAATTTCTCTTTTGATTGGTGTATTTATGTCACTTATATTTAATGTAATTATTAATGTACTAACACCTAAGCATTTCATTTTATTATTTACTACATATTCATTTGTTTTGTTCTCATTTTTCAGTTTTCCTTTTTTTTTGGACTTACTGTGTGCTACTCGAGCTTTCATGTTGCTTTACTTACAATGTTTGAATACATCTACAATATACAATCTTTGCTTTGGAAATTTGTATATACTTTTTATGCTACTCTTCATATTTTAATACCTGATTTAATATCCGATTTATAAAACAATATATAAATACCAATGGTTTTACACTTTTGATTAAAGCAAGGAAGCTCAGCTTATATTTATTTTCCTTTATCTTCTATACTTTTAAGTATCACTTCCTTTAGTATCAAGTGGAGTTATAATTTTTGTTTCTATCATCAACTATGATTTATAATACTCACTAGGAAAACACATCTATTGGATGTATTCATATTTCTGCTAATTCTATTAATATATCTTCCTTCTTTCTTGATGTTCAAAATTCCTTTTTTTTCTTTATTTTGTTTGAATAACAGTTTTAGTAAACATTTAATGGTAAGCTTGCTAACAACAACTTTTTAAACAGTTCAAAAAATATAATTTTCCTTTACTCCAGAAGCATAGTTACAACATCTGTAGCATTCAGAGTTGGCAGCTCTTTTCTTTCACTACCTGAAAAATATTGTGTAACTTGTTTCTGACCTCCATTGTTTCAGACGAAAAAACGTATTTTCATTTACATTGGTTTTCCTCTATAGGTGATGTTTCACCTATAGGTGACTGTTTCTATCTGGCTGCCTTTAAGACTTTGTCTTTAGTTTTGTCAACAACCTACATTGGGGAAAGGACACAATCTCCAATACATGCTTCTGGAAAAATTGGATATCCATATGCAGAAGAATGAAACTAAACTCCTATCACTCACCTTATACAAAAATAAACTCAAAATGGATTAAAAATTTACATGTAAGACATGAAAAATTAGACTACCATACACTGTTGGTGGTAAGTTAAATTATTTCACTTATTATGAAAAACTGTATGGTGGTTTCTCAAAACAAAAATAGAGACACCATATGATCTAGTGATCCCACTACTAGGTGTTTATCCAAAGGAAAGGAAATCATTACACTTAAGAGGTATCTGCACCTCCATATTTATTGCAGCTGTCTTCACAATAACCAAGATATGGAATTAAGCTAAATATCCATCAATGGATGGATAAAAAATGTGGTATATACATATACCAAATTTGTATATACATTCATATATATATATATGAATAATATTCTGCCATAAAAAGAATGAAATTCTGTCATTTGCAGAATCATGGATAAGACTAGCGAACATTATGTTAAGTGGAATAAGTCAGACACAGAAAAATTAATACTGTCTGTCCTTACCCATATGCAGGAGCTAAACAAATTTGAGCTCATTAAAGTAAATGGTAGAATTGTGGTTATTAGATGTTGGGAAGGATGTGGGAGCAGAGGTTGGTTAATGGACACAAAATTATAGCTATATTGGAGGAATAAGTTCTGTTGTAGTGCTCTATAGCTGGTCACATGGAAATAACTATAATTTATGGTATATTTTCAAAAAGCTAGAAGAGAAGATTTTGAATGTTGTCAACACAAAAGTATGATAAATGTTTGAGGTGTTTGAAATGCTAATTACCCTGATTTGATCATTACGCATTGTACACCTGTATCAAAATATCACTCTGTTTCCATAAATATGTACAATTATTGCATGCCAACTAACAATAAAAGGACAAGATAAAGATTCAAAAAATAGGAAGAAATATCATTTTTCTGATACAATTTCTTCTCGGTGTGCCCATGTTGTTTCATGATTGCAAAGCGTTCTTTTAAGTGCTTTTAAAGTATTGTTTTCATGCTTCTTAAAATTGCTTCCAGAAGTAATGTCAAACTCATTCACCTATAGTTTATGAGATCTATCTTCCTTTAAAAAATTAGTACACTGCCCATTTCTTGTCTTCTAAAACTTTTACTATTCTCCATAATCCTCAAAGATATCTAGAGCAACTTAAAAATCTCTTTCCTAAACTTTCTTATTGTTTTGGAATGAGTTCTACTCCAATACTAGGGCCCAGGGCTCATAGTGCCTCTTCGTTCATCTTGAGATTTAATTAAAAGCAATGTTGAGTCTTCTCTTTTGGATCTAAAGATCTATTTGATGAGAAAGACTGAAGAAAAATAAGGATAAGGGTATTTCCTCCATGTTTTCATGGCACAAAATCTTTGCTAACTGTGATAAGGAGAATAATGCCCCCCCCACCCCCCACAAGACTGTCCCTGTCCTATTCTCCATGTCAGGAAGGATATGCTATGTAATATAAGAATATATGATGTTACAATGCAAGAAAGTATTAAGGTTGCACATGACATTAAGCTTACTAAACAGCGGAACTTAAAATAAGAGATCATACTTGATTATCTGGGGGGGGCCAATTTAATCACAAGGATCCTTTAAATGTGGAAGAGTGTGGTAGAAAATATTTAAAGATACTACATTGCTAATTGTACTGGAGGAAAGAACCAAGAGACAAGGAATGGGGAAAGCGGACAAGAGACAAGAAATGAAGACAGCCCCTAGAAGCTGGAAAAGGCAAGAACATGTATTCTCCTTTAGAGTCCCCAGAAGGAAAGCGGTGCTGCTGACACCTTGATTTTAGCCTAATGAAAACCATTTAAGATTTCTGACCTTTATAATTTTAAAGTGGTAGATTTATGTTTCTAAACTACCAAATAAAAATGTTTTGTCTTTAGTTTTTAAAAGTTTAATCAAAATATTTCTTGAAATGTGTTTATTCCGTGTAGGGTATCTTAGGCTTCTTGAATCTATACATTTGTGTCTTCTGCAAATTTGAGGTTTTTTTGAAGCACTATTTCTTCAAGTATTCTTTCAGCCTCATTTTACTTTTTTTCTGGTACACGTAATAAAAATGTTGGATCTTTTGTTGTTGCCTCACACATACCTACATCTCTGTTCATTTTATGTATCAGTCTGTTTTATTTATGTTGTTCAAATTGGTTAAATTCTACTATTCTGCCCTCACATTCACTGATTTTACCTTCTCGCATCTCAATGGCACTATTGACTCCATCCAACACATTTTTCATTTCTGTTACAGTGTTTGTTTGCTTTTATAATTTACATTTGGTTCTTTTTTGTTGTTGTTTTTTTACAAATCAAGTTTGGTTAATATTTTGCGATTTTGTTATATATTTTAAGATAATTTCTATTTGATGTTGAAACATTTTTGCTAGATATTTTAAAATCATATTCAGATGATTCCAACATCTGATGCGTTTTGGTGTTGGTGTCAGTTAACTGTCTTTTTTCACTCAAATTGTTATTTTCTTGGTTCTTTGTATGATCGGTGATTTGTAATTATATTCTGGACATTTTGTCTATCATGGCAGACAATTCTGAGCTCTATTTAAACTGTTCCTTTTGGCAGGCAGTCACACTGTTTAGCTTTAGCATGTACATCCTGGGTGTGGGGCAGGTACACTGTGTACTATTTACTAGCTTGTCTGAGTTCAGTTAAACAGAACACACTCATATGCAACAAATTACATAAAGCAGATGTATCATTTACAGACAAACAGCAAGAGACAACAGGTACCTATGTGAGCCGATCCATTACGAGCCAGTAGCCCAAGGCTCAACAAAGTTGCCTGAAGTGGATGGAATGCATGTGAAGTGCCTGAAGTGGATGGAGTGATTGTGCATGGCCCACTTGTACCACAGTTGAGGGACCCCACAAGACAGCTTGCCCTAGGTTACACACCTCAGGACCAATGGGAAACTATGGCCTAAAGTTTTGAAGAACATTCTCTGTCAAGGGAGAGAGTAACAAGGCCTAGGCTGTTTCAGGCAGTTCTTCCCTGTCTCAGGATATTGCATTCTCAGCATATACTACAGTTGCTCTTGACAACTGCAAGCAAGAAAGAGGGGATAATTGGGTCAGTCCAAGGACACCTGGAAAGTTGACCTGCAGTCTCCTGCTCCAACCAAGATATTTCCCTTAGAAAAGCTGGTGTATTTCATATGCCCATTGACCTCTCCAGATCTGGAGGTGGAGGTTTGTCTTGTCAGATCAATGTAACACCTTGGCTGACTCTGTCTCAGTGAAACATAATTGAGTCATAGCCAGAATACATTTTACTAGTCCCAGGAGGACTACTACCACTAGCAGCACAGCCAGACCTCTCTGCAGTAGTAATTTAGCCCTGGGTCTCAAAGATCTAGGTAAGAGGTTGCCATAGAGGTTAAAGAAGGATTCTTCAGGTGGCCCCACTGTCTACAACCAATGGGTCAGCTTCTGGATCTCCTCTACCTATGTTTCTACAATACCTAAGATGTTTATCCCAATACAGTAAGAGGTGCTGGCAATTGTATACACTTCTCCCAGTTGAGCTAAAAGAAAGTCTGGAGGGCCGAGTGCGGTGACTCATGCCTGTAATCCCAGCACTTTGGGAGGCCAAGATAGGTGGATTACCTGAGGTCAGGAGTTCAAGACCAGCCAGACAAACATGCAGAAACCCTGTCTCTACAAAAAAAAAAAATACAAAATTAGCCAGCAGTGGTGGTGCACGCCTATAATCCCAGCTACTCTGGAGTCTGAGGCAAGAGAATCACTTAGACCCGGGAGGCAGAGGTTGCAGTGAGCTGAGATCATACCACTGCACTCCAGCATGGGCAACGAGAGCGAAACTCCATCTCAAACAAAAAGAGTCTGGAACAATTCTGTTGTTTAAAATAACTTTCTAGGTGGATCTGGGAGATGTTTCCTTGGCTTCTAAGACAGTGGCAATGGAGGAGGCAATATTTGCCATGGTTTGGGACAGGATTATTTTCATTTTTTTATGAGCAATAACTCCTATGAATGGTACCAAAGATCTCATAAAAGACGTAAACCCAAAGTCAGTTACACATCCAGTCAGGTCTTTGGTAAGTCTGGTATACAGCATTAGGCTCCTGAGTCAATGGAGCACTTCATTTTGGGGGTGAATTCTAGGAGCATCCCTAGCACACTCAATGGGGCAGGACCTGTAAGTTTTCCAGGCATGACTTTGCCCACCCTGCATTTCAGTCACCCCAGATTGCCCACAGATAAAGATGTAGCCCTCTGGCACACACAGACCCCCTGTGCTAGTATTATTTATGAGGATGAAGGTATTGGCACTCACTAGCTAAGTCTCATTGATGGCAGTAGTTGCCTGAGTTTTCCTCATACATTTTACCCCATACAATCCTAAAGCCTCTATGCAGAGGGCTAGCACTCTCCGATACTTGTTCTCTTCATCATCATGAGCACACATCTTTGTAATTAAAGGAGCCTGGTGCATCAAAGCACCTGCCCACCAAAGATTCATTAGTTGTGGTCATGACATTTTTCCACAAAGTTATTTAAGTTAAAAGATAGCACCTTTGAATTCTTCCTATGTGGCATGTGCTAGGTCCTCACTCAGTAAGCTAGGACTTAGGGTCCATTACTGTACTCTGTGGCATTAGGAGTGCTGGAGTAGTTAACCACAGGCAAGATGAAAGGATCGTTCTAGTCAATGAGAGAACGAGGTCGTGGATGGAGCATCCAGCACTTTGTCAGGTTACCCATGGTGTAACCATGGCACTTTGGAAGAGGCCACTAAGGCATTATGCTCACAGGCCTATAATGCCCCATCCATGTGGAAAAGCA
This sequence comes from Homo sapiens, assembly GCF_000001405.40. Classification (NCBI taxonomy): domain Eukaryota; kingdom Metazoa; phylum Chordata; class Mammalia; order Primates; family Hominidae; genus Homo; species Homo sapiens. The sequence goes on along the minus strand of NC_000009.12, from coordinate 61,845,429 downwards.
GACTGACAGTTTAATGCCCACCTCTCACCCTTTCCAGGGTCTCAGATGTTCTCTACCTATTGAATAAGAATTAGGCTGAGTTGGTATAGCAACCCGGTCTGTCTGTTTTAGTCCCAAGCTACTTCTGCAGACATCCATTGCCCTTGTTGCTTGACTCAAACCTTTCTGCCTCAATCATCCACTCCAGTACAAAGCTGGCATATCTCATAACATCATCCACCCAAATGGAAGGATCAGAGGCATCCAGCATCATTAGAGGGATTCTAGCAGTCTGTCATTCCTTAGTCCTGTCCCCGACCCCTGTGGAATCCCCTTATAGGGGAGGTACCCAAGGGAAGTATAAACTCCAGATTAGAGACAGGGTGGCCTCTCTGGGGTACTATGGCACCCTGAACTGCAATTCATCCCCAGGACATGTACTCTATAGGGGAAAAGGAAAAAGAATGGTTGAGAACACAGACTGAGACTTTACAGGCACAGACAGCCTAGTCAGGTGGGTTTCTCATCCACCTCCAACCCAACCAAGCTCAGTGTCCCTCAATATGCACTGCAGTGCTGTTTCCTTTGCATTGGTGCATAGTGTTTAGTGTCCCTATTGCCCTAGTCAGATGGGCTACCCCCTCACTAGCAGGACATCTTGATGTTCTTTCTTCAGTTGCTTTGTGAGTTCCATTATTCAATAACTCTATTGGCCTGAGGATGACAATGTACTTAAAAAGCCCATCTTTTTTCACTAATGTGTACCCATTATCTAGTTGCTTGAATAGTAAAAAATATTCCTTGGTCCAAGTAAAATCCCATGGGCTATGTAAAAGGATGGCATAAATTCCTCTCAAGTGTGGCTATAGTTGCCTCAGCACCCATATGATTGACATATATTTGTCTTTTTCAGACAACAAGCTGTTTTTCTTAGTCCTTGTTCTCACATGGATATCCTCTAACAGTCCAATCCTTCCATTGCCATTGTCCTGATCAGATGGCCAGGCTTTTGGCAATGGCCCATAAGTCACTGAAAATATAGCAAGATACGCGATAGAGGTAGCCTGCATGGCCATCACCACTGCATTTAGTTTGGCCCGTTGGGTAGAATGCCCATGTCCAGTCTCAGTCAAAAGATAGCCAACCACTGGCTGAATGGTGGTCCAGTGCATGTCGTCTGGCAGAGCTATCAGTAAACCATGCCTGTCAGGCCTCTGAGCCCAAGCTAAGCCATCATATCCCCTGTGACCTGCACGTATACATCCAGGTGGCCTGAAGCAAGTGAAGAATCACAGAACAAGTGAAAATGGCTGGTTCCTGCCTTAACTGATGACATTACTTTGTGAAATTCCTTCTCCTGGCTCAGAAGCTCCCCCACTGAGCACCTTGTGACCCCCGCCCCTGCCCGCCAGAGAACAATCCTCTTTGACTATACTTTTCCACTACCTACTCAAATCCTATAAAACGGCCCCACCCCTATCTCCCTTCACTGACTTTCTTTTCAGACTCAGCCCGCCTGCACCCAGGTGAAATAAACAGCCTTATTGCTCATGCAGTGTCTGTTTGGTGGTCTCTTCACATGGACGTGTGTGACATTTGGTGCCTGTTATCACTCCCCTGCTACAGCATGGGCTTGTAAAACCTGTAAACTCTCCTTACAATTCTCCCATTTTACCTATTCAAACTCCAGACAAGTCTTACATGTTAGTTCAGGATCTGCTCTGGCCATCATGTCTCCGTGCAGCAGTTGCCATCACCCTAATGCTTTTAGAGGCCCTAAAAATCACAAACTATGCTCAACTCACTCTCTACATTTCTCATAACTTCCAAAATCTATTTTCTTCCTCACACCTGACTCATATACTTTCTGCTCCCTGGCTCCTTCAGCTGTACTCACTCTTTGTTGAGTCTCCCACAATTACCGTTTTTCCTGGCCCGGACTTCAATCTGGCCTCCCACATTATTCCGGATATCACACCTGACCTCCATGGCTGTATCTCTCTGATCCACCTGACATTCACTCCGTTTCCCATATTTCCTTCTTTCCTGTTCCTCACCCTGATCACACTTGGTTTATCAATGGCAGTTCCACCAGGCCTAATTGCCACTCACCAGCAAAGGCAGGCTATGCTATAGTATCTTCCACATCTATCATTGAGGCTACCGCTCTGCCCCACTCCCCTACCTCTCAGCAAGCCAAATTCATTGCCTTAACTCGAGCGTCACTCTTGCAAAGGGACTACACATCAATATTTAAACTGACTCTAAATATGCCTTCCATATCCTACGCCACCATACCATTATATGGGCAGAAAGAGGTTTCCTCACTGCGCAAGGGTCCTCCATCATTAATGCCTCTTTAATAAAAGCTCTTCTCAAGGCCACTTTACTTCCAAAGGAAGCTGGAGTCATTCACTGCAAAGGCCATCAAAAGGCATCAGATCCCATTGCTCAGGGCAATGCTTATGCTGATAAAATAGCTAAAGAAGCAGCTAGCATTCCAACTTCTGTCCCTCACGGCCAGTTTTTCTCCTTCTAATCGGTCACTCCCACCTACTCACCGACTGAAACTTCCACCTATCAATCTCTTCCCACACAAGGCAAATGGTTCTTTGACCAAGGAAAATATCTCCTTCCAGCCTCACAGGCCCATTCTATTCTGTTGTCATTGCATAACCTCTTCCATGTAGGTTACAAGCTGCTAGCCCACCTCTTAGAACCTCTCATTTCCTTTCCATTGTGGAAATCTATCCTCAAAAAATCACTTCTCAGTGTTCCATGTGCTATTCTACTACTCCTCAGGGATTATTCAGGCCCCCTCCCTTCCCTACACATCAAGCTCAGGGATTTGCCCCCACCCAGGACTGGCAAATTGACTTCACTCACATGCTCTGAGTCAGGAAACTAAAATACCTCTTGGTCTGGGTAGACACTTTCACTGGATGGGTAGAGGCCTTTCCCGCAGGGTCTGAGAAAGCCACCACGATGATTTCTTCCCTTCTGTCAGACATAATTCTTTGGTTTGGCCTTCCCTCCTCTATACAGTCTGATAATGGACCAGCTTTTATTAGTCAAATCACCCAAGCAGTTTCTTAGGCTCTTGGTATTCAGTAAAACCTTTATAGCCCTTACCATCCTGAATCTTCAGGAATGGTAGGACAGACAAATTGTCTTTTAAAAACACACCTCACCAAGCTCAGCCTCCAACTTAAAACTTAAAAAAGAGGACTCTGTCAAGGATAGAGCCCCAAAACTCACCAACCAAACAAGTAATTATGCTGAACCCCCTTGAGCACTCTCTAATTGGATGTCCTTGGTCCTCCCAATTCTTAGTCATTTAATACCTGTTTTTCTCCTTCACTTATTCAGACCTTGTGTCTTCCGTTTAGTTTCTCAATTCATACAAAACTGCATCCAGGCCATTACCAATCATTCCATATGACAAATGCTCCTCTTAACAACCCCACAGTTTCACCCCTTACCACAAAATCTTCCTTCAGCTTAATCTCTCCCACTCTAGGTTCCCATGCCTCCCCTAATCCCACTCGAAGCAGCCCTGAGAAACATCACCCATTATCTCTCCATAGCACCCCCCAAAATTTTCACCACCCCAACACTTCAACACTATTTTGTTTTATTTTTCTTTTTAATATAAGAAGACAGGAATGTCAGGCCTCTGAGCCCAAGCTAAGCCATCGTATCTCCTGTGACCTGCACGTATACATCCAGATGGCCTGAAACAAGTGAAGAATCAAAAGAAGTGAAAATGGCTGGCTCCTGCCTTAACTGATGACATTACTTTGTGAAATTCCTTCTCCTGGCTCAGAAGCTCCCCCACTGAGCACCTTGTGACCCCCACCCCTGCCTGCCAGAGAATAACCCCCTTTGACTGTAATTTTCCACTACCTACCCAAATCCTATAAAACGGCCCCACCCCATCTTCCTTCACTGACTCTCTTTTTGGACTCAGCCTGCCTGCACCCAGGTGAAATAAACAGTCTTGTTGCTCACAAAAAACCTGTTTGGTAGTCTCTTCACACTGATGCACTGATGCATGACAATGCCATGCTGTCAGTAAGCATGTCTATGAGTCCTGGGCCCCAGGTTGCCACAGGAGAATCCAATGGATCCTTACAGGCTGCTTAAAAGGGATAGTTTGTTGTAGTCCTGAATTAATAAAGTAATGTCCTATTCTCCACTTACCATGTAGTACTGCTTTTGTTAAATAATCCACTGGGGCTTGGGTAGTTTAGGTGGCAGGCAGGATATGCCCCACTGTTATGGCTTGAATTCTGAGTTGTCAAAGAGTATGTCCCCTCAGGCAATGGTGATTTTTGTGCTACAAGAAGTCGGGGGCTCAATACCAATAATGCACTCACAAGTGAGAACCATGGTCACTGACATCCAATATGGACCAAAGCCATATCACAGGTAGATAAGCACTACTGGTCAATGCATTCATTCTAAAACCTTCCAGTGTCACCAGTTTTTCTCCCTAAGAGGACCTGGAAGTATTATGTGGACTCCTGTATCAAAAAAAAAAGTCTGAATTTCTTTCTTTTCTCCTCTTACCTTGACAGAAATATAAGGCCTTTGGCCTCCATTTGGGGACCCCGAGAACTTGGTCCCATTTCTGACTCTGCCATTCAGCCCAAGACATTGGATTTGCAATGTCCTTTCATCAAAGAAACATGCCTGGCCTTTCTCTATATCTGTCCTTTAGATAATGAGTCTCCCTTTCTGTGAAGGCCTTTATCACATGTATTGATTCCTTCTCAGATGCCTCAAGGAAGATCTGAGGACCCCTTTCTTCTTTCCCTCTCAGGTGCCTTAGTGTCTGGTTGAGTACACACTTCCCTCACTCTCTGCCCCCATGAATGACAGGGTAATTAAATAAATATCCCCAACCAAGGGACCTATGCTCCTCTATTTCCTCATTGCCTTTTGTTTGCCTTGATCCATGCAGCCATCTCATTCACATCTGTGGGAAGTGGCAGACCTAAATCCGACTTATCACCCTTCCTTCCTCTGAAAATATTCAATCCCCATGCCCCCAGGCTGCTGTCTTTCCCCTGGGCTGGGTACTAGGAAGTATCACCCCTCCTGCTTCTCAAATAAGCTATGATTACATTAGATGGGGCCCTGCTTGCTGGACGCATTTTGTGGATTAGGTTTACTGTGTGCTGCTTACCAGCTTGTCTGAGTGCAGGAGACAGAATACACTCATATGCAACAAGTTACACAAAGCAGATTTGTGACTTACAGGTAGGCAGCAAGGGACAAAAGAATGCTAGGATCTATGATGAGCTCGTTCCTGAAGACTCAAGAAAGCTGTCTAGGGCACATCGAGTCTCAGCTGTGCATTCCCCACTTGCACCACAGCTGAGGGGCTTTTTTTTTTTTTTTTTTTTTTTTTTTCGAGATGGAGCTTGGTTCTTGTTGCCCAGGCTGAAGTTCAATGGCACGGTCTCGGCTCACTGCAACCTCTGCCTCCTGGGTTCAAGCGATTCTGGTGCCTCAGCCTCCCAAGTAGCTGGGATTACAGGCGCCTGCCACCACGCTAAGTTTTTTGTATTTTTAGTAGAGACGGGGTTTCACAATGTTGGCCAGGCTGGTCTTGAATTCCTGACCTCAGGTGATCCACCCACCTTGGCCTCCTGAAGTGCTGGGATTACAAGGCATGAGCCACCACGCCCAGCCAGGACTCTTTAAGACAGCCTGTTCAGGGTTATATACCTCAGAGCCAATGTGAAACATTGACTTAAAGCTTTGAGGGACATCCTGCTTCCAGAGGAAAGAGCAACAGGCCCAGGCTAGTCCAGTCAGCCCCTCCTTATCTCACCATAATGTATTCCCAGCACAATCTACAGTAATTATTAAGACCTACAAGGAAGAAAGGGAAGAGAACTGGGTCAATCCAAGGCCACATGGAGAACTGTCCTGCACTGGCCAATTGTTTTGGCTGTAGTTTCAATACCAAGTTAATGTTTAGAGCTTTTGCATTGTGATTTCAGACTCTTTGATTAATATGGTGCTGCTGGGAATTCCACTGCTCCCTGTTAGTGCTGCCTATGGCAGTGGAAGCAGTTTCTCCAGGTTAGGCTACCAGGTGTCTGAGGTATGTGGTGAGGGGTGTGGTAGAATCCCCCAACCAATGTCCCCTGGCTACTCTGGGGTCATTGGGAAGAGAGTCTTAGGCCTGCAGGGACAAAGCAGCTTCTTAGGCCAGGCCACTTTCTCTACTAGGTCCCTCTTCCTGATTCTATTTTCCCACCTTTGTGCTTCCTGGTAGAAAAGGAAGCCTCAAGCTGTACTGGGAAGGAGAGCACCTCTCTTAGCATTTCTCCTAGCTGCTTCTCCTGGATGGTGGTGGGTGTCTCAAGCTAGTGGCTCCTGATTGATCCAAGGGAGGAAGGAGCTTACTTGAGGTATCTTCTGTTGCTAGATTGGGGGATTAGGAAAAATAAGTCTGAAGGCCTTCTTCAGGACTTCAGGATACACAAGATGCCTTGCTGTTGTGCTGTTTCACCATTCCTTGCATATCAAACTAACTCTTCTTCTGTTTACCTCCATCTCTTAGAGCTTTTTCATGTTAGTCACATGTGTCATTTTCAAAATATACAGTTGTGCATAACAAAAAGAGGCGGGAAAAACATGGATCTGTGCCATATTGTCTGAATCCGAAGTTCCTTGCATACTTTATACTAAATAAGCTTTATCTGTGAGCTATATTACTAGTATTTTCTTTGCCTATAATTGTTTCAGGTGTCACATTTAAGAGTTTGCTTGATTATGATATTTAAATATTACAGAATGTATTTGCAGAATATATTTGCAGAATAACAATATTCTGCAAATAATGCCCTTGATATTAAAATTGAAAATCACTTTTCGTAATAGATCAAGGAAATTAGAACCTAATGATTTAATGGTGTACACAATTGCAGCATTAGTTTTCTATTCAAAGCAACATAAAATAAATGACAAATTGAAAGAAAAATAGGACTTTATTTACTCTATTCAAATATTAAAATAAATAATAATATGTCTATTGAAATGTCATAATCAGGATATCATTTATTCCAATTAATTGATTAAATATGTAATCAGTTAAATGTCATAGATTTTATTTTTATTTTTATAGAGGGAAGATGTCATTCTGTCACCAGGCTGGAGTACAGTAGCTGGATCATAACTCACTATAACCTCAAAAAAGCCTCCCAAGTATCTGGGATTACAGGTGTGAGCCACCACGATAGGCTAATTAAATTTTTTAATTTTCTATAGAGATGAGGCTCTCCCTGTTACCCAGGCTTGTCTTGAACTCCTGGGCTCAAGGGATCCTCCCACCTCAGCCTCCCAAAGTGATAGGATTACAGGTATAAGCCATCATGCCTGGCCCTAGAATTTTTAAATTAATGGTGGTTGATACACATATTTACATTGTATTTTAGCCAGATTTACTGAGGTATAATTTACTTATGCAAAATTTACTAATTTATTTATTTATTTATTTATTTATTTTTTGAGACAGAGTCTGTCTCTGTTGCTCAGGCTGGAGTGCAGCAGCGCAATCTCGGCTCACTGCAAGCTCCGCCTCCTGGGTTCACGCCATTCTCCTGCCTCAGCCTCCTGAGTAGCTGGGACTACAGGCGCCTGCCACCATGCCCGGCTAATTTTTTTTGTATTTTGAGTAGAGATGGGGTTTCACCATGTTAACCAGGATGGTCTCAACCTCCTGACCTTGTGATCCGCCCGCCTCGGCCTCCCAAAGTGCTGGGATTACAGGCGTGAGCCACTGCGCCCGGCCGAATATTTCCATTATAGCATATACTCGAATGCATCTTAAAGTATTTATAAAGGTAATACTCATTGTATTTACTTATATGACTTTTTAATTAGATTATAAAATCCAGTTACCTTTTAGTATGCTCAAAATTGTGTCAAATAATATTAATTCTTGAGTTAATTATGCATTATAAATTATTGTCTCTTAATAAAATTTCACGTACACTTTCACTCTGTAAAGCTGGAATGCATGTGGAGTTGCTTCAATTTTTCTTTTTTGTTTGTTTGTTTGTTTGTTTGTTTGAGACAGAGTCTCGCTCTGTCGCCCAGGCTGGAGTGCAGTGGTGGGATCTCGGCTCACTGCAAGCTCCGCCTCCTGGGTTCACGCCATTCTCCTGCCTCAGCCTCCTGAGTAGCTGGGACTACAGGCGCCCACAATCGCGCCCAGCTAATTTTTTGTACTTTTAGTAGAGACGGGGTTTCACCATGGTCTCGATCTCCTGACCTCGTGATCCACTCGCCTCGGCCTCCCAAAGTGCTGGGATTACAGGTGTGAGCCACCGCGCCCGGCCTCAATTTTTCAATTGTATTTTCACTTTTCTCTTTTTATGCCTACCTAAATTTGCTCCTATAATTGAATTTATCATTTAGGAGTGAACTTTTGTTTAAGAAAATGTAATCTTTTTCATCAGCATACTCAATATTCCAATTTTCCATTATAGATTATAAGAATAAATCTTTAGGTAATATAGGCAAACAAAATTTAATATATAGAATTAGTTTCTTACACGATTGGAGAGTTGGTGGAGCAGGTCTTGGGCTGATCTTCTAAATGATTGCTAGAACTCCTCCAGAAAAACGACAGAGCTGGGACTGTTGCTCCTTTTGCCATGACTGAGAAGCTGGAGAATCAGGATCTCCTGTGCAACCACTGGCACTAAAATTATGCTAACTTTGCTATTTGTTTTTTTCCCAGTTTCAAAGTTTATCTTATTAACTTAAAATTTAAACAAAATTGTTAGTCTAAACATCATTAAATGTACTCATGGGAAACATATTTACATAGAGAATAATAAAATAATTTTTTGTAACTTGAGGCACATTGTCCATTTTACAAATGTACTTTTAGAAAAACTGCTTTGAGAAACAATAATTTTTTCTGTCATCCTTCATAAAAGCTAGACACACATTTCTAATGCAAATTTCTTTTTTTTTCTACTTTGATGTGGAAGCTGGGAAGCTCGAATGTTTGCATTTTAATTTAACAATACGAAGAAAAATTTCATCTGTTTCTCTCTACATTGTTGGCCTTAGACTTACTGTAGCAGCCTCCATTCATATCTCTTACAGGGATACCTTATAGTTTCATATCAGGTCATTCCTGTTCCTCTTTCCTTTTGTGATGCACCTCTTCTTGCTAAAGATTTTGGTCACTATCTTTTGTTTTGTGTTTACTTATTTTAGCTTGTATATAAGTTCTGTTCTACACAACATTTCTGATTTACATGGCAGGAAATGTGTGAAACAGTTTGCCACCTTCCTGACTGATCTGGGCCTAAACTTTGCCCCTATACTTTGAATAAACAGTTGCATTCTCTAACACATATTTTATTTGATCCAAACAATACATTAGTCCAACTACCAAACATATATCTTAGATCCTCTGTAGCTATAACATTTTCAACAGTCATATTTATGGAATCCATCTCCCTCTGTTATGTTTTTATTGTTATCCACATAGAGGAGATAGATATAAATGAACTCACTCTGGTCAGCCAGGGACCACACAGTGGCTTAAGATATCTTAATCCAGGTATCTGCAGACTAACCCTAACCTAACAGTGAGTTGCTACCTTTGTTTTTTTTTTCTCTAAGCATTAAAATACTTCTGTCATAGCTGCTTGCTTCTTGATCATAGGATCTCAGCCAAGGTTCATATTTGAATAACACAGAATGTTGGCCACAGAACTAAGGACTGGACATTTGGTCATTTGTGACTGTCGTTACAGGAAAGTAAATGGTTTTGTTACACTGCTTGTCAGGAAAAAGAATAGGAAGGCACCTTCTATCTCAGGCTCTTTTCCTTAAAGAAGGTAGGTTTAATGTAAAACCTGAATTGTGAGTAAGCCTGGGGATATCATTTTTAGCTGTTCCAAATTGAGCAAGTACTTAGTCAAACTACCAGAGTTTTGGAATATGCCTGAGTAAGCCAGTCTGAAATAGCCGATGGTCCAGCTTAAGACTATTCAATATCCATGCACCTGCCTTTTCTAAAGCTTAAACTTCAAAAGAGTAACAGTAACAAGTACATGATCCTGTCAAATATAATTCAAATATATGTTGCACAAATTAAAATGCAGTGGTCCTATCCAAAATAGGTATCCATGATATTCACTCCTCTTCGGATTCAGTCTCAACTATGTCTTAATATCCTGAAATAAGATAATAAATTATGAAGTTATTCAAACCAGCCTACCCTAAAAATGATGGGAAAAATGGAAGATAAAATAAGACAAACAATTATATACATGACAATGCAGAAGAGAAGAAAACCCAAGAATGTATTACATACTTAATTTTATAACTGATCATGGAACTGTGGATGGTATTTGTACCATTCTTTTTATATTATTCATTCCACACTTCTCTATAGTATCCTAAATTATCCAAGTTTCCACAGCAAGAGCCCACTCTTCATGAACAGTGCCCTTAGTTGTCTTGTCAAATTGGAGTTGTTTTAATCTTCCATTAATGTTTACCACTTGACAGAAAATCCAAAAGGCATCTGAGGAGTCCAACTCCAGGCAGAAACCCTATGTGTAACCTTTCAGGCCTAACCATAGGCCATGACAATGGCTTTACCTGGCAGGCCTCACTAGAGAAAGATACTCTCCCTATACCAGAATTGGCAAACAGCCAGTGCATTACAATATCTAATGGGAGCTGCAGTCTAGGACTCATTCCCCGCTAGCCAACCATCCTCCTGTGCATGTCTGCCATTCAAGTCTCAGGCACCCCCATCTGAGCTATCCTTATTAGGGACCCTCAATAGAAAACCTTTGCAGAGAACTCCTTATGATAGGGAGAGAGGGATAAGGGAGAGGAGAAAGGGGAAACATTGAAATCATTATTCTCTATTCTGAATCTGAACTCAGTATTTTCCCATTCTTAGCCCTTCCTCCTCTTTCTGTCCCAAGGACCCAGGTCCATAAGATGAAAGGAGCTTTTTGTTCATGGCTCCTTGGTCAAAAGATCCTTGCTGAGAAAATTCCCACATCTGCATTTGTGCTGAGCTACATGACCTTGGCCTGGAGCTGTTTCATGGGACAAAATGGAACATTGGAGGAGCTAGCGATCTTTCCTCTTTAGTTTCTTGCTTAAACTATCTCAGTTAGTAAAGATTTGACTGTTACTGTCATTTTGGCTTATTGTTTTAATTAGCTATTTCAACTCCATGGCAGCTTAGCTCTTGACAGCATTCTGGAAAGTACATAGGATTCTAGACATTTTTACTGCTTTTGTTATATGAATTACATGTCTTCATAATAAGGAATTAAGGCTGGGAGTGGTCACTTGTAATCACAACACTTTGGGAGGCCAAGGCGGGTGGATCAACTGAGGTCGGGAGTTTGAGACCAGCCTGGCCAACGTGGTGACTGAAATCCCATCTCTACTAAAAACGCAAAAATTAGCCAGGCATGGTAAAGTGCGCCTGTAGTCCCAGCTACTCGGGAGGCTGAGGCGGGAGAATCACTTGAACCCGGGAGGCGAAGGTTGCAGTGAGCCGAGACGATAGTGCCATTTCACTCCAGCCTGGACGACAGAGCAAGACTCTGTCTCAATAACAATAATAAGAATAATAAGGATTTAATATCCAAACCATTCTTGTAACATATTTAATATTGCCATTCAGTGGTAAATAAAAATAATATACAATCATGCCCTGCCTAATAAGAACATTTCGGTCAATGATGAACTACCTACAGAACAGTGGTCCCATAAGATTATAATGAGCCAAACAATTCATATATATATATATGGAGAGAGGAGAGAGAGAAAGAGTTAACCATTAAACAGCCTCAGACAGGTCCTTGAGGAGGTATTCTATAAGGAAGCATTGTTATCGTAGAAGATGAAAGTTCCACGCATGTTATTGCCCTGGAAGACCTTCCAGTGGGACAAGATATAAAGGCAGAAGACAGTAATATTGATAATCCTGACCCTGTGTAGGCCTCAGCTACTGTATGTGTTTGTGTCTTATTAATAAAATGTTTTAAAAGTAAATAATATAAATTTAAAAACTTTATTTTTCTTTTTTTATTTTATTATTATTATACTTTAAGTTTTAGGGTACATGTGCACAATGTGCAGGTTAGTTACATATGTATACATGTGCCATGCTGGTGTGCTGCACTCATTAACTTGTCATTTAACATTAGGTATATCTCCTAAAGCTATCCCTCCCCACCTCACCCCACCCCACAACAGTCCCCAGAGTGTGATGTTCCCCTTCCTGTGTCCATGTGTTCTCATTGTTCAATTCCCACCTATGAGTGAGAATATGCGGTGTTTGGTTTTTTGTTCTTGCGATAGTTTACTGAGAATGATGATTTCCAATTTCATCCACGTCCCTACAAAGGACATGAATTCATCATTTTATGGCTGCATAGTATTCCATGGTGTATATGTGCCACATTTTCTTAATCCAGTCTGTCATTTTTGGACATTTGGGTTGGTTCCAAGTCTTTGCTATTGTGAATAGTGCCGCAATAAACATATGTGTGTGTGTGTCTTTATAGCAGCATAATTAATAATCCTTTGGGTATATACCCAGTAATGGGATGGCTGGGTCAAATGGTATTTCTAGTTCTAGATCCCTGAGGAATCACCACACTGACTTCCACAATGGTTGAACTAGTTTACAGTTCCACCAACAGTGTAAAAGTGTTCCTATTTCTCCATATCCTCTCCAGCACCTGTTGTTTCCTGACTTTTTAATGATTGCCATTCTAACTGGTGTGAGATGGTCTCTCATTGTGGTTCTGATTTGCATTTCTCTGATAGCCAGTGATGGTGAGCAATTTTTCATGTGTTTTTTGGCTGCATAAATGTCTTCTTTTGAGAAGTGTCTGTTCATGTCCTTTGCCCACTTTTTGATGGGGTTGTTTGTTTTTTTCTTGTCAATTTGTTTGAGTTCATTGTAGATTCTGGATATTAGCCCTTTGTCAGATGAGTAGGTTGCAAAAATTTTCTCCCATTTTGTAGGTTGCCTGTTCACTCTGATGGTAGTTTCTTTTGCTGGGCAGAAACTCTTGAGTTTAATTAGATCCCATTTGTCAATTTTGTCTTTTGTTGCCATTGCTTTTGGTGTTTTGGACATGAAGTCCTTGCCCATGCCTATGTCCTGAATGGTAACGCCTAGGTTTTCTTCTAGGGTTTTTATGGTTTTAGGTCTAAGGTTTAAGTGTTTAATCCATCTTGAATTAATTGTTGTATAAGGTGTAAGGAAGGGATCCAGTTTCAGCTTTCTACATATGGCTAGCCAGTTTTCCCAGCACCATTTATTAAATAGGGAATCCTTTCCCCATTGCTTGTTTTTCTCAGGTTTGTCAAAGATCAGATAGTTGTAAATATGCGGCATTATTTCTGAGGGCTCTGTTCTGTTCCATTGTAGAAAAAAGCTTATATAATAAGGGTATAAAGAAAGAAAATATTTTTTGTACAGATGTTCAATGTGTTTGTGTTTTAAACTAAGCGTTATTGCAAGAGTCAAAAAAATTATAAAGTAAAAAAGATACAGTAAGCTAAGGTTATTTTATTATTACAGAATAGTTTTTAGAAATGTAATGTAGCCTAAGTGTACAGTGTTTATTAAGTCTACAGTAGTGTTCAGTAATATCTAAAGACTTTGCTTTCTCTCACCACTCACTCACTGTCTCATCCAGAGCAACTTCTAGGCCTGCAAGTGCCATTTATAGTAACCATCCTATACAGGTGTGCAACTTTTTATTTTTTATACCATATCTTTTTATTGTATGTTTTCTATGTTTAGATATAAAGATGTTTATCATTGTGTTTCAATTGGCTACATTATTTAATATAGTAACCTGATGTAAGGGCTTGTAGCCTAAAAGCAATAACTTCTACCTTATTGCCGAAGTGTGTAGTAGGCTACACCGTCTAGGTTTGTAAAAGGACACTATGATGTTCACCTAGGGAACACATTTCTCAGAATGAATTCTCATCATTAATCAACTCAAGACTGTACTTATAAGTGAATCCACTGTCATTACTATAGTTCAGGTCACCTTAAGTTTCTTCTTGGACTTGCCAATGAACTGTGGAATTAAGAAGCTCTCTGCCTACAGTCTTGTTTATCTATTGTAATCTGTTTCTTGTAGTCCCTATTTTAGATCTCATTAATGTCTTGTCACTTCCATTAGAATAAATTATAAACACTTTGGATGGCCTGAAGACATTTGTAATTTATCCTAAACTCATCTCTACTCTCATCGCTTGACATCTCCCTCTTCTACCCACACATATATATTTAAGCCCACGTAATTACTGCAATTACCCCAAATTCTGTACTTCTCACCAGTGTCTTGCAAAACCCACTCCATCTAACTAATAAGACTTTTCATTTAACTCTCCAGTTGTAGTTGATATTCTAGTTTCAAACTCTATTTTCTCTGTGAAGGCTGTACTGATATCACAATTTTGTTTCTTCAGTGTGAGCATTGGCAGCCTGTGGCCTATGGTTTTGGTACAGCCTGCAAGGTAATAATGGTTTTTAGAGATTTAAATGATTGAAACAATTTTTTAAAATAACATTTTGTAGCATATAACGATTGCAGAAAGTAAAAACTGCAGTGTTTTCATAAATAACAAGGTTTTTTTTTGGACACAAGATCATTCACTTACATGTGGTCTATAGATGTTTTCAGGCTATTATGTCAGAGTTGAGTGGTTGCAACAGAAACTGCATGATTGTCAAAGCCTAACATACTTAAAATCTGACCCTTTGTAGAAAAAGCTAACATTTGATCTAAAGTTTTCTGTAAAGATACATCTACATTATGTTTATCGTAATTTATATTTATCTGCCTACTGTTTGCAGTTTTGAAAAACTATAATCTTCCAGAAAATGGAAACTATAATATTTTTAATTAGACCTCAAGCAAAATTATTTTAAAATGTGGTCTCAATTTTTAAGAAAGTGGGGAAGAATGCTTTTTTTTCTTTTGTTAAACTTCTTTGCTTCCAGTCCAAGAAGTGACTGTCATTTATTTTTATCTTATTGCTTCCTTTCTCATATTAGCTTGATAAAAAGTAATGAAATAATATTCAGGTTTCTTAGTAGAGTCATGTTGTAAACATAAACTTTTTTTTTCTAGCCACTCTCAAAAAATGGAAAGCATCTGCTTTATGAGTCACCTAATTAATGACATTGAATTATCTAGTAAGTGGACTCTTCAGGTTAATTAAATATCTTCATTAACTTTTTCACTGCTTTTAAAAATAACATTTACACATTTATGCTAATAGGTTCATCATGTGTCCTTAATCAGTTATTTAGCTTTGGTGCAGAGTTAATAATTCCAATATTTGTTCAAACTGAAGAAAATCCAGGACTCAAAAAAGAAAGGATATTTTTATTCAGGTTTTGAGAAAATCATAAGTAAAACCCCCAACTTATTTATCAATAATTGTATGTTACATACATTTCCATATTTACAATTTTGATAAAATAGTTAAAATTAATATTTATCTTTAATAATTTAAATATTAATTAGTTATGTATTTATTGGCTCATATTATTTACATTATATATATATTTATATAATTTGCAGTCTGACAATGCAATAGAAAAAAAACCAAAACATTTTCTGAGAAGAAATTCAAGCCAGCTGCAGAAATGTGCATAAGTAACAAGAAGCCAAATCATAATCATGAAGACAATGGGAAAAATGTCTCTAGGCCATGTCCTAGGTCTTCACAGCAGCCCCTCCCATCACAGACCCAGAGGCCTCGGGGGAAAAAATGTTTTCTGGGGACAGGCCCAGGGCCCCTCTCTGTGTGCAGTCTAGGGACTTGGTGCCCTACATCCCAGCCACTCCAGCTGTGACTAAAAGGGACCAAGGTACAGCTTGGGCCAGGGAGTCAGAGGTCGCAAGCCCCAAACCTTGGCAGCGTCCATGTGGAGTTGAGCCTGCATGTGCACAGAAGTCAAGAAGCAAGGCTTGGGAGCCTCAGCCTAGATTTCAGAGGATGTATGGAAATGCCTGGATGTCCAGGAAGAAGTTTGCTGTGGGGGAGGGGGGGTGATCATGGAGAGCCTCTGCTAAGGAAGTGGGGAAGGGAAATGTGGGGTTGGAGCCCCACACAGAGTCCCCACTGAGGCGCTGCCTGTGCGAGAAGAGGACCACCATCTTCCAGACCCCAGAATGGTAAATCCACTCACAGCTTGCATATGCACCTAAAAAAACCTCAGTTGCTCAACACCAGCCTGTGAAAGCAGCTAGGTGGGAACCGTACCTTTCAAAGCCACAGGGGCAGAGCTGCCCAAGTCCATGGGAGCCCACATCTTGCATCAGCATGACCTGGATGTTAGACATGGAGTCAAAGGAGATCATTTTGAAGCGTTAAGATTCAACTGCCTTGCTGGAGTTTGGACTTGCATGCGGCCTGTAACCCCTTTATTTTGGCCAATTTGTCCTGTTTGGAATGGGTATAGTTACCGAATGCCTGTACCCCCATAGTATCAAGAAAGTAACTAACTTTCTTTTGATTTTACAGGCTTATAGGTGGAAGGGACTTGTCTTGTCTCAGATGAGACTTTGGACTGTGGACTTCTGAGTTAATGCTGAAATGAGTTAAGACTTGAGGAACTGTTGGGAAGGTATGATTGGTTTTGAAACTTGAGGACACATTTAGAGGGGACACAGGCAAAATAATATGGTTTGGCTCTGTGTCCCCACCCAAATCTCATCTTGAATTGTAGTTCCCATAATTGCCATGCGTTATGGAAGGACCTAGTGGGAGATAATTGAATCATGGAGGCAGTTTCCCCTATACTGTCCTTGTGGTAGTCAGTAAGTCTCACACGACCTGATGGTTTTATAAGGGGTTTCTGCTTTTGCTTGGTCCCCATTCTCTCTCTTGCCTGTTGCCATGTAAGACATGACTTCTGCCTTCCACTATGATTGTGAAGTCTCCCCAGTCATGTGGAACTGTGAGTTCATTAAACCTCTTTTTCTTTATAATTTACCCAATCTCAGGTATGTCTTTATCAGCAGTGTGAAAACAGACTAATACACTGTCTTTAACATTTTTTCTATTGTTTTGACCTTGGAAACTGATGATTATTTGTCTTCAAGATGATCTTTTTGTGGAGTATCTTACTGAAGTTCTCTGTATTTCTTGAATTTGAATGTTGACCTCTCTATCTAGGTTAGGGAAGTTCTCATGGATGATATTTTGATCCATGAGATCAAAAATATCAAAAGTCAACTTTTGCTAAGTTGACTCCATTTTCTCTATCCTTTTTAGGTACACCAGTTGTAGATTCAGTCTCTACATAATCCCATATTTCTCAGAGGTTTTGTTCATTCTTTTTCATTCTTTTTTTCTATTCTTATCTGCCTATCTTATTTCAGAAAGCCATTCTTTAAGCTCTTAGATTGTTTCCTCCATGTGGTTTATTCTGCTGTTAATACTTACGATTGCATTGTGAAATTCTTGTGGTGTTTTTCAGCTCTATCAGGTTGGTTATGTTCTCTATACTGGCATTTTGTCTGCCAGGTCATGCAATGTTTTATTGTGATTTTTAGCTCTGTTGTATTGGCTTACAACATACTCCTATAGCTCAATGAATTTTATTACTGTTTACATTCTGAATGCTATTTCTGCCATTGCAGCCTCAGCCCTGTTCTGAACCCTGGCTGGAGAGGTGATGCAGTTATGTGGAGGTAGGAAGTTACTCTGGCTTTTTGAGTTTTCAGTATTCTTGCACTGATTCTTTCTCATCTTTGTGCACTTATCTAACTTCAGTCTTTGAGATTGCTTACCTTTGGACGGTATTTTGTTTTCTTTCATCCTATTTGATGATGTCGAAGATTTGTTTGTGTTATAAGGTAGATTCAGCTGACTGGCTTCATTTCTGGGAGATTTTATGGCACCAACACTCAGCTCCCAACTTCTGGACTGGGTGCTCTAACTCTGGGGTACTTGTATTAGGCCCCAGCTTTGTTCTCTTGTGTCGGGTCCATCCCGCACACTCTGGCTGAGCGACCAATGAAAAAAGTATTCAGACACAGTTATTTTGCCTGAGAATGCAGCTAGGGGACTGCACTGCTTAGCATCACCAATGAGAGTACAGTCCCACTAAGCCAGAGAACTTTGTATTAATTTAGTACAGATTTGAAGACAAAGGCCTGGAGCAAACATAATTTGTGGGAAATTAACATTGTTGACCCCTAAGTAGAGAGCAGTCTTGCACATGAATGATCAAAGGTTGGTTTCCTGAGACATAAGTAAACCAATTTTTCTAGATATGTTTCTTTACATTCCCTTGTTATCTAACCTTTGCCCTTAAGAGAATTTAGCTGCCTTCAGCTAAATTATTCTCCAAAGTTTTTGGCCTTCCAAGAAGGTTTGCATTTTTCCCTATAACTTTTCTTACATCTTCTCCCATCACCCTTGAGGCTGGAAATTAAAGAAAGAAAAGTAAAATTAAAAAGAGAAAGAAACAATCTTTCTGTATTAGGCTGACTCATCCCAAAGGCAGTAACAGGCAAAGCCCAGACCCAGGCAAAGTCTCGATAGCATTATCTAAGAAGCTGGGGCTCAAAGAATGTGCTCTGGAGAGTCTCCCAGGGCTCCCTCAACATAGGGAGAAGAAAAACAAATTTTCCTTTCTCTTTTGATTCTGTTATTCATCTAAGCAGCACAGTGAAGATCATGAGACACCTGAGCAGGCCTGGATTGCAGTCCCCTAGATGCCATAGCAAATGTTATGAGATAAGCCCATGCAAAGCACTGGAACAAGCCTAGATAACAGCTATCTGGGCTGCATAGCAAGAGTCATATGTAAGCCTGAGTTGTGAACTTGTCGTAGTATGATTGACTGCCTTTGTTCTTCTTCTGTATCCTTGCTTTTGAATCATTATACTTTGCACCACTGTAAGCTTGTTTCAAGTTAGACCACCCCCTTTTAGAAGTGTGCGTAAAAGGCAAGTGCTGTCTTTGTTCAGGGTCCAGTCTTTGGATATTAATCTGCTGGTTCTGAGTGCACTCAATAAAAATCCTTCTGTTTCACCTACCAATCTCTCCAGTCTCCTGATTCCCACAACAACCTGATCGATCTCTTACACTGTGGCTCCTCGAGATTTGGAGTCCACTGTGCTGGGGATAGCAAACTGCAGTACCTGCAGCAAAGTACTAGTGGATATAGGGGTGTCTGCCTCTCTGCAGGTGTTCACCACAGTATTGGAGGCAAGGCAGCTGTTGGGGGAGTAAGGGCCTTCTGCTGGAGACAGAGTGCACTGCTGCACTGTAGGTGGTGATGGCTTGGGGTGGGGTGCTGGCCAGTGGAGGTCTTGGCGCCTTATCTGTGGTCTGCAAGCAGGAGCAATTGCTCAGGTTGTGGGGGGATCCCCTGCTCTGTGTGCAGCACAGCACAAGGGCAGGGCACTGGTGTAGATGGGGCTTGATGACTCTGTGCCCAACAAGGATCCATCTGCAGTGGTGGTTGGTGGGGATTATGGGGGGCACACTGCATTCCCATGTGCTGTTGAAGCAAGTAAAGCCCACCCATGCAGATATATGCCAGCAAAGTGATGTGGGGAGTTGCTGTCTCATATCATTTTTAATAAATCTTCTGATATTGTCTCAAATCTTGGAAACCTATGTCAGCTCAAAAAGACATCCTTGTATAAAACTGAAATGCTTCTACCTTTAAAATGTATATGTGATAGATTATTTATTCATAGTAGCTGAATTTAATGCAATTAATGTTGTAATGAATACAGGACATATTAATATGCTAAGAGTAGACTACTTAAATGTTTGCATTTTCAGTAACTCAAATATAAGCATGTCTATACATGAACTAAAACAGAATTTTGCCCAAATCACTCAAAAAATTAGTTAAATTAAATATGTTTAAAATATACTTAAATACTTTGTATATAATAGATTGTTAAGTAATTAAAATAATTTACATGTTTTATTTAGGTGTCCTCAACTTTAAAAATATATATCTACATATAATTTACATTATATTACTGACCACATGGCTAAATATGATAGTTTGGCAGAAATCAATTCATATTAATTATGAAAGACCTACTTTTGGTAAAAATATTTCTCAAGTTTGATATCAATTCTGACTCTATTATTGACATTGATGTTAAATGTAAACCTCTGTTTTTGTCTAAAATTTGATGCTACAAAATATTTCTGTTGTCCATATTCTTCCAGGGACAGAATATCATGAATTAGCATTTTTTTTTTACTTATATATCACAATATCACATACTCAGAAAGCTGTTTTGATAAAATACAACTTTATCAGTCATTGCCCAATACTGCAATTATATGTCACAAATGTATCTGTATAATGAAACGTAACATATGCAAATTTTTTTTGCTGATTATAATTAATGAATCAACCAAATGAGAAAAAAACTCTCAATTCGATATTGACTTAAATTTTCCAATTTACTAAAAGTGTTGGTAATATTTGTTTTAAATATTTAAATGTTTGAATCATATGAATATGTGAAATGAATAAATATTAACGGTATCTTTTACAAGCAGACACTTCAACATTTTGGAGAGGTAAGTGCATACATATTTTTTGTGTGTTCATTCACGTATAAACAATCTGTGATTAACTTTGATCATACTCCTAAAAAGACTAGGATTTTTTTCTGTTTTGTTTATTTTTATATAAAATTTACATAAAATAGGGTGAACAAATTTAAGTAATATTTATAAGTTTTGACAAATGCATATACATATATAATTAAAATATAGTAACGTTTACTATTATGTTGTAGTAACCATCATACCACAAAGTCCACTCATGTTCTTTCTCATTTAACTGCATCTCCATTCCCAAGGCAACAACTATTCTATTTACAATAGAATAGTTTTTGTCTTCCAGAAATTCATATGAATGGAACCATACAACATGTACTTTTGTGTACAGATTAGTTAAAATAATGTTTTTGATATTCATAAATGCTGTTGCATATATAAATAGTTGGTCTCTTTCAATAGGTAGGTGGTATTTTCTTGTGTGAATATACCAGATTTTTTTCTATTTGTTGTTGAACACATCAGCTTTACTATTTTGGGGTAATTAAAAGTTAATTCATTATTACAATTCTTATTCAAGTCTTTCTGTGGAGAAGAGTTTTTACTCCTTTTGAATAAGTGCCTAGGAGTGACTTGATTATAGGGAAGTTGGGTGGATGAATAATTACTTTTATAGAAAACAGCCAAATTGGTTTTCAAATAGTTGCAAATTTATTTAATTTAAATTGTCATTTTGTAAAAGTATTTTTAAACATATTTTTCTTTGGTAGGTTACATGTGACAGTACATGTATAGTAGTTGAATATCTGCTGACATCTTTATTTTTACAAAAATAAATTCTACTTCCATTCAAGTGCACAAATATGACCCAATAAATTTTCCTAATATCTCTTTCTAGTTAATACCTCTCATTAATGAAGCAACCACTTTTCTCATATCTGCACAGTAGTTGTATCTGTTTTTGGAATTAAAACAGTGTGCACTAATTTCTGCCTGGCATCTTTTGGTTCAACATGTGTTTGAGATTAATTGTGTCATTGTGCGTATCAAAAGCTCATTATTTGTTAATTGGTGAAAGGTAATCTCTCTTGTGTGATTACGTCACACAATGTTTATCCACTTTTCTTTGATAGACATTTAGAATTTTTCAAATTTTTGACTATCTTAAATAAAGTTTCCATATACATGTTTATACAACTTATGTTTGGTTATGTTTTTTCTGATCGAGGGCCTGTAAACACCTTATAATGGAGTTCTTTGTCATAGTATAGGTGTATGCTTAACATTATGAGAAAATAAGATATTTCCAAAGAGTTTTCAGAAGTTTTTAAAACATTTTACATTTCTACCATCAAGGTATGAGAGTTCCAGTAGCTCTAAATCCTTACAAAACTTTGTGCTGCCAGTCTCTGTGAATCTATTAAAGAAATTTTAACCTAACTACAGTTTAATATAATGGAAGTTTTTGTTAATGTTATCTTTGTGAGTGCTGGATATTTTGTATTTCTGTACAAAATATGAGCTTTTTCTCTAGGACACAGTTAATTTGTTCAAAACCGCTTGATCCTTTTAGATACTTCTTTTATGATTTTTTGATGCGTTCAACTCAGTACTCAGTTTAAATCTAATTAATTTCTACCCCTGAGGCAAGACCTTTTAAATTGCTTTACCAAATGCACTGTGAATTGAGCTTTTTTCTTTCATTTGGCTGGCAAATACAGGTATAATCCAGGTCATATGTGAATGTCAGGCACTGGTTTTTGTTGTTGTTATTGTTTGTTTGTTTTTAATCTTTGAAGATGCTTGTTTCCCTGGCAGTGAGCAGATTACTCACATGTATACACTAATCAGTATTCTGCTAAGCACTGAAAGGAGAACATCTGTAGATATCAGAGATTTCTCTCTTTGAATCTCTAGCTTCTCAGACCTAGAAACTCTAATTACCTTAGTCTCCTGGAACTCTTGGCTTTGTACAACTCTAGGAGCCCACTTTCTCTGCCCCACTGCTGGAAACTCTAGCCACTAAATTAGGGCAGTAGCAGGGTTTAACTCCTTTGTTTTCTGTCTTTCGGGAAGTACTTCATTCCCTCATATCCAGAGTCTTGTATTTCTGTGGGTGTTTCCTTGATTTTGTTTTTCAAGCAAGAAGATAAATCTAGCCTTCGGGTAGTCTTTCTTTAATAATTAGTGAGGGGTACTATTATACCTCATTACATATTTGTGTTTCTTCATTCAAAATATTTCTGTTCAGAGTAAATCCTGACATCAGAAGCAAGATATTCTGAACTATTTTGGGGTATTTTGAATTCAGGAACATTTCAAAACGGAGCAGCAGGCATGTTGATGGTATTTAACAATGTCATGTCTCTTATTCTCTGAATATTGTCGAAGTGTGAAATTCTCTTAAGAGTCACTTGAGAGCATAACAAAGCTAAGAGGTGGGCAATAAATATTAAATGTTCAAACTTGCCCTCTTCACATATTTAAACATAGCCTTTCTTTTCACCTACTTCTAACACTCTTTTTAGAGTAAGTCATTAACTAGGAGGAATAACATCTTTGAAAAAGTGAAGCAGTGTAGGATAATGTTTCCCTTATGTTAAGTGTATCTGTTAGGTTTTCTGGTGTATTTTCAGCAGACTTCAATTAAAATATGTAAATAAAATGTTGTATAGTATCTTTCAAATATAGAATTCTGTTTTAATAAACATGTTTATCCAAACATATCATGAAGTAATTATTATAATTATGGCTGATATATCTTTGCTTTATTTAATAAAATGATTAATAACATTAACTTTCTGTTTTCAAAATTTAAAATATTATATGTTAGCAGAGAGAACAATTTATAGCGATATGTACATTTTTTTCCATTAAGTACACTGGTATAGTTTAATAATAATGCCTAATAAGATCAATGGAATTATTTCTTGTTCATTTATATGTCATTTACCTAATTATTCTCAAACTCAGAATGCAAAGGGAAATCAATTATGTTACTATGCCTTTGTCATAACTATTGCCTCATAAATAGCATGCATTTAGATACACGCTTCATACTATTGCAATTCAAATACTGTGAAATACCAACTCAATTTACCGTTGTTTTGTAATTTTTTGGAAATGAAAAATTTCTTATCCACCTAAATGTAATCTTAACTAGAATGCTTTGGTAAACTTTCTTAACAAATTTTTCTTCATTATACTTACATGTATTTTGTGATATAATACAATGTACGTACAGTTTCAGTTATATCAGTTTTTAAGAAGATTTGTATTTTCCCCCCGATATAATGAAAATTGATTTGGCAGTGACTACTAGCATTACAAAGGTGGTTGGCATTTTAATAACTTGAATGAGAAAATCTGCAGCTCCATATCAGTGTGTAGCAACACAAATACATTTTATCAAAAAAGAAAATAATTTGCCTGAACAGTTAACTGAAGTTAACATTATTTTTATTTTTAATCTTCAAGATTAAATCCGGATAAACAATACCACTATACTAAAAACATAATCAACATACTTGATAGTTTTATATATTAGGTAATAGATTTTTGATGTGAATACCTAAAATGGAAAAAAGTGAGTATTTTTAATTCTTGGATTATAAAGCCTTTATAAGATAAATGATTTCAAATTACTTCCTTCAAGTGTAGCACAAATTTTGAACTTTATCAATTTATTTCCTTTATCTACAGAGGTGATCAAACTCTTGATTTTTTGGTTTAATCTTTACTACAGGCTTATAGATTATATTATTTTTCTCAATTATTAAGTCTCCACCTGTATCAAAAAATGATGCATATCTACTTCTGTCAGGTAACGGCAGATAATATTAATAGATATATAAATATTTTATAAAACCTTCTTAAAGGAAGAAAATGGTAAGTATGTAAGGAATTACTTGATCAAAAATCACTTTGGGAGGTTGAGGTGGGTGTATCACGAGGTCAGAAGTTTGAGACCAGCCTGGCCAACATAGTGAAACCCCATGTCTACTAAAAATACAAAAATTTGCTGGGCATGGTGGTGAATGCCTATAGTCGCAGCTACTTGGGAGGCTGAGGCAGGAGAATAGCTTGAACCCAGGAAGTAGAGGTTGTGGTGAGCCAAGATCACACCAATGCACTCCAGCCTGGGCAGCAGAGCAAGACTCTGTCTCAAAACAAAAAGAAAGTATGAGAATTAATTAGGGCTAAAGTATCTGATATTTTTCGAGAAGGTTGTTTGATCCAGAAGAAACTCAATGGTGGATAAGTGAGAAGGCAGTAGTAGAAATGTCAGGCAAAAATGGGAAGTTTTCTTGGAAATCCACTTCCTAAAACCTGTGCTATTGTTTTAAAGGCCTGAAATATCAGAGTATGTTTAAAACAAACGATTACTGGCCCTTGTCCCTCCACTTCCGGGAAAATGTGTGGATTGCTGTCCTGAAAATGAATAAACCAGGTTAAATAGTAGAAATGGGAAAAGTTGTGGTTTTGAAGGATAGTCCACAGGCTGGCTGTCACAGCAGGAAGCTACTAATTTAATTTATATCGTTCTTAAAGTAATCTACAGAGATAACTAGTAAAGATAAAGAAAATGATTCTATATAGGAAGTCATCATTCCAGGATTTGAGGAATCCTTCCAAGTAATTTTGGCAGAAGCAGTAAGCATCATGCTTTCAAAGCTAATAAAGAATGCAAGGAAACAGGACACATTTTGCAATAAGTAGCAGGAAAAATAATGAAAAAAGTCACAAAAATTGCAGATCTGGTATTATTACAGACACATTGAAAAACATGTACTGTATTATGTTCTAAGAAGTAAATTTGAAAATATCTGCCAAATGAAAACAATACAATGTAATCTTTCAGTTTTAACATGAAACTAATAACAAATTTTAAAGATAAATGATATTATGACTAAAATTAAACATTAGGAGCATGAGTATGATAATATTTTGGACACAGCAAAAGAGCTAGATCACTGGAAGCTAAATCAGAAAAGCAAATGAGCACAGTTCAATACAGTGAGATGAAAAAATGGAAATGTAGAAGAGTGGTTATCACAAATAATGAGTTGTGTGAGGTGATATATTTAAATAGAGAGCTAGAATAAAATAAATGGAGCAGATAAATATGTGAATACTTAATGGTTTAAACTTTCCAAAATGATGAAAGATACACGTGTCCATTCAAGAAACACAGTAAATTTCAAGGAAAAAATAACCACTGAATTAACACTTAACAATAAATCTGATGTGAGAGAAAGAGAGAAAATGAGAGCTGGAAAGACAGAGAGTGACAGAGAAAAAGAAATCCTTAAAACAACCATAGGGGGAAAAAAAAACACTTTAAAATGTGGCAGCCGTACTACTTATTAAGAGCAACATAGTAACCTAAATACGTTTTATAATTTACTTCCTTTCGTCACACTAAAGATATCTTGATTTACAATCTTGATTTTTAAACCCAATATATAAATCCTTAATTTATGAACACCTGATACTCACCAAGGAAACCCTAAAAGACAGAAGAGCCAAAATGGCCATCAAGACAGAGCCAGGAAGATCCTCCACTGAAAGAGCTGACTATCAAGAAAACCAGCACACTCTGAGCAGATCTTCAAAAGGAAAGCATTGAGAGTGGAAGGAGAGAGGATGGAGACACTGGGCTAAAGGATCAGAAAGCTGGGAACCCAGCATGGGGTTGTGGAGCACCAGGACTCATTCCTGGCCCTGAAAGGTGAGGGAGGGGGTGAGTTAAATACGATGGAGTGGCTTACTCTTTCCAAAGAGCTCCAGAATCCTAGCTTTAGGAGACTTCACAATCCCCATGGACATTCGAGCTAGCAAGGAGAGTTGCTTGGAGAAGTAGCAAAGACAGGATTCCAGTATGTGTAGAGCCCAGATAGTTTGACATAAGAATGGTTCCAGTGAAGCACAGCCAGGGACACCCATTTCCTAAGGCTTACCACACGCCTCTGAGTGACTTAGGTCATTATTGATTGTCAGACCTGCACAGAGAAGGGCTGTCTTGCCCATGGGATATGCCAGTGTGATTAGATGCTCTCCTGTCGACTGGACTCTCCTGGGGTCCCCGCCAGGCCATACCCTCTTGGAGGGCAGCTTTGCATGCCCAACGAGGGTGCTTCTCAGTGGCCATCACCATAGCAGCAGACTCTACTCTGCTCTCATTGGAGAGCTTCTGCAAATATACCTCCAACAGTGCACACCTACTTACAGTCCCCCCTCACTGCATTGCCGGCATGCACTGTGCACAGTCTCCAATCACTGTTTCGCCAGTGTGCACATATGCAGAGTCCTCACTGCAACTGCATGGGCCCCACTGGTGTGTGTGTATAAACCCTGACAACCTGCCACTGCCAGGGTGAGTATGAGTATAACATGCCACACTGCACCCCTGCTGCAGCTGGTGCACATGTGCGTAAGCATGGACCCCTCAGCAAATGCTCCAATGAAGCACTTTTGTTGGCATCCCCCGTTGGACTGTTGTTGCCAGTGGACTGAGAATGCTGTGGCCCTGTCAGTGCAGCAGGTACTTCATCTTGAGGGGGCATATAACAAAGCTGTGGGCCAGGTCCCAATCCCCCCAGTGTTAGAGCACACATCCCAGGAGAGCTGAGCTGAGCCTTGGCCACCTGAAATCATCCAGAGATGAAGCCAGTCAATTAAATGCAACTTATAGCATAGTAAACCCTTAACGGCATCAAAGTATACAAGTAAAAAGCCCCATCCAAAACAAACAAACAAACTAACTTCAACGATTAAAGGAACATTAGCTCACAGAGATGAGAAAGAACCAGAACCAGCATAACTACACTGGCAATTCAATAACCCAGAGTGTCTATTTTTAGATGACCACACTAACTCCCCAGCAACAGCTGTTAACCAGACTGAAAAGGCTGAAATAATAGACAGAATTCACAAGCTTGATGGCAATGAAGGTTACTGAGATTCAGGAGACAGTTAAAAGCCCATCCAAAGAATCTAAGGAATCAATTAGAAAGAAACAAGAGCTAAGAGACGATATAGTCATTTTTTTAAAAGACCCAAACTCTTGCCAGGCACAGTGGTTCACATCTGTAATCCCAGCAATTTGGGAGGCCGAGGCAGCCAGGTTACCTGAGTTCAGGAGTTCGAGACCAGGCTGGCCAACATGGTGAAACCCCATCTCCACTAAAAATACAAAACTTAGCCAGGCATGGTGGCACACACCTGTAGTTCCAGCTACTCGGGTGACTGAGGCAGGAGACTGGCTTGAATTCAGAGGTTGCAGTGAGCCGAGATCACACCACTGCATTCCAGCCTTGGTGCCTTGGTGACAGAGCAAGACTCCATCTCACACACACACACACACAAAAAAAAAAAAAAAAAAAAGGAAAGAAAGACAATGACCCAAACTCGTCTAAGAGCTGAAAAACTCACTATGAGCATTTCATTGTTTAACTGGAAGTATTAACAACAGAAAGGACTAAGCTGAGGAAAAAAACTGAGAGCTGTGAGATGGATTCATTGAATCAACTCAGTTAAACAAATATAAAGGGGTGGGTCACTGTATTAGTCTGTTCTCATGCTTCTATAAAGAACTGACTGAGACTGGGTAATTTAGAATCAAAATAGTTTTAATTGACTCACAGTTCTGCATGGCTGGGGAGGCTCCAGGAAACATACACTTATGGTGGAAGGGGCAGCAAACATGTCCTTCTTGATATGGCTGCAGGAGGGAGAAGTGCAAAGTAAAGTGGGGGAAAGCCCCTATAAAACCTTCAGCTCTCATAAGAACTCACTCATTATCATGAGAACAGTATGATCCCCATGTCTAATCACCTCCCATGATGTCCTTCCCCCAACATGTGGGGATTACAATTTGCATTACAATTCAAGATGAGATTTTGGGTAGGGACACAAAGCCAAACTATATTATTCTGTCCATGGCCCCTCGCAAATCTCATGTCCTCACATTTCAAAACACAATTATGCCTTTCCAAGAATCCCCCAAAGTCTTAACTCATTTCAGCATTAACCTGAAAGTTTGAGTTCAAAATCTCATCTGAGAAAAGGCAAGTCCCTTCCACCTATGAGCCTGTAACATCAAAAGCAAGTTAGTTATTTCCTAGATACAATGGGAGTGCAGATACTGGGTAAATACACCCATTGGAGATAGGAGAAATTGACCAAAACAAAGGAGCTATAGGCCCCATGCAAGTCTGAAATCCAACAGAGCAGTCATTAAACCTTAAAGTTTCAAAATGATGTCCTTTGACTCCATGTCTCACATCCAGGTCACACAGATGCAAGAGATGGGATACCATGGCTTTGGGAAGCTCCACTCCTATGGCTTGGCAGGGTACAGCCTCCCTTCTGGCTGCTTTCACAGGTTGGTGTTGAGTGCCTGCAGCTTTTCCAGGTGAGTGGTGTGAGCTTTTGGTGGATCTATCATTCTGGGATCCGGAGAATGACGGCCCTCTTCTCACAGCTCCACTAGTCAGTGCCCCAGTGGAGACCCTGCATGGATGCTCTGACCCCACATCTTCCTTCTGCACTGCCCTAGCAGAGGTCTCCATGAGGGCCCTTCCCCTGCAGCATACTTCTGCCTAGACATTCAGGTGTTTCCGTACATCCTTTGAAATTCAGGCTGAGGTTCCTAAAGCTCAACTCTTGTCTTCTGCACACCCACAGGCCCAATATCACATAGACTCTACCAAAGGTTGGGGTTTGCAGTATTATTAAAATGCTCATTCTGCCCAACCCAAGTTACAGATTCAATGCTATTCCTATCATACTACCAACAACGTTTTTCGCTGAACTAGAAAAAAAATTCTAGAATAAATTTGGAACCAAAAAAGTGCCTGAATAGCCAAAGTAATTCTAAGCAAAAAGAACAAAGCTGGGGGCATCACACTCCCTGGCTTCAAACTATACTACAAGGCTACAGTAACTAAAACAGACACATAGTGTAATGGAACAGTTTTGAGAGCACAGAAATAAAGCCATACATAAACAATCATCTGATTTTTAACAAAGCTGACAAAGACAAACAATGGGGAAAGGACATCTTATTCAACAAATGGTGCCAGGATAACCTGCTGACCATACACAGAAGATTTGAACTGGACCCCTACCTTTCACCATACACAAAAATCAACCCAGGATGGATTAAAGACATAAATGTAAAACCTCAAACTATAAAATCTCTAGAAGAAAACCTTGGAAGTACCATTCTGGAAATATTATGCAAGAAATAAAACCTACTTGATTGTGGTGGATTAGCTTTTTGATGTACAGCTAGATTTGGTTTGCTAGTATTTTGTTGAATATTTCTTTATCTATGTTCATTAGAAATACTGGTCTGAAGTTTTTTTTTTCATTGCATCTCTGCCAGGATTTGGTATCAGAATGATGTTGTCCTCATAGAATGAGTTAGTTATGAGTCCCTCCTCCTCAATTATTTTAGATAGTTTCAGTAGGTGTGGTATCAGCTCTTCTTTATACATCTGGTAGAATTTGGCAGTGAATCCTTTGAGGCCAACACTTTTTCTGATTGATAGGCATCGTATTGCCAATTCAGTTTGGACCTTCCTATTAGTCTGTTCAGAGTTTCATTTTCTTCCTGGTTCAATCTTTGAAGATTGCTTCCAGGAATTTATGCAGCTTCTCTGGGTTTTTCAGTTTGTGTACATAGAGGTGTTCATAATCATCCCTGAGGGTTGTTGTATTTCTGTGGGGTCACTGGTAATGTCCCCTTTGTCTCTTTTGTGATTGTGTTTATTTGAATATTGTCTCTTTTTTTTCTTTATAAGTTTAGATAATGGCCTATCAACATTATTTTTTCTTTCAAATACCCAACATTCAGTTTTGTTGATTTTTTTACATTTTTTTCTCATCTCCATTTTGTTAATTTCAGTTATGATTGTGGCCATTTCTTTTCTTCTACTACCTTCGAGGTTGGTTCTGTTTTGTTTTTTAGGTTCCTCTATCTGTGATGTTAGGTTGCAAATTTGAGATCTTTCTAGCTGTTGACGTAAGTGTTTAGCACAATCAACTTTCCTTTTAACCATGCTTCAGCTGTGTTCTAGAGTTTCTGGTGTGTTGTATTTTTGTTTTCATCAGAGTCTAAGAATTTCTTGATTTCTGCCTTGATTTTATTGTTTACACAAAAGTCATTCAGGTTCAGGTTGTTTAATTTTCACTTAATCCTACAGTTTTGGCAGATCTTCTTGGTATTGATTTGTATTTTTATTGTGCTCTGGTCTGAGAGTGTGGCTGGTAAAATTTTTTTTTTATTTGTTGAGAATTGACTTATAGCTGAGCATGTGGTTGATTTTAGAATATGTGTCACGTGCAGATGATAAGAATATATATTCTGTTGTTGATGTGTGGAGTGTTCTGCAGATGTCTGTTAGGTGTATTTGGCCAAGTGTCAAGTTTAGGTCCCGAATATCCTTGTTAGTTTTCTGCCTCAGTGATCTGTCTTACACTGTCAGTAAGGTGTTGAGGTCTGCCACTGTCATTGTGTAGTTATGTAAGTTTCTTTGTATATCTCTAAGAGCTTGTTTTGTGAATCTGAGTGCTCCAGTGTTAGGTGCATATATATTTAGGATAGTTAAGTCTTCTTGTTTAATTGAATCCTTCATCATTACGTAATGCCCTTTATTGTCTGTTTTGATCATCGTTAGTTTAATGTCAGTTTTATCTAAAATAAGAACAGCAACACCTGTTTTTCTTTGTTTTTCATTTGTTTGGTAGTTCTTTCTCCATCCCTTTACTTTGAACCTATGGGTGTTCTCACATGTGAGATGGGTCTCTTGAAGACAGCATACAGTTGGGTCTTGATTCTTTATCCACTTTGCCACTCCATGCCTTTTAAGTGGGTGTTTAGCTTGTTTATCTTCAATATTGACATGTGCACATTCGATCCTCCCAGCATGTTGTTAGCTGGTTGTTATGTAAACTTGATTGTGTAATTACTTTATAGTGTTGATGGTCTATATACTTGAGTGTGTTTTTCTGGTGCTAGGTAACAGTCCTTCATTTTCATGTTTAGCACTTTCTTAAGGATCTCTTGTGGTCTCTAAAGGCCTGGTGGTAATAAATTCCCCTAGCTTTTGCTTATCTGAAATGGATTTTATTTCTCCCTTGTTTATGAAGCTTAGTTTGGTGGGACATAAAATTCTTGGTTCAAAATTTTATTTTTTCAAAAATGCTGAATATGGATTCTTAATGTCTTCTGACTGTGGGATATTGCTGAGAGTTCCCCTGTGAGTTTGATGTAGTTTCCACTTTATGTGACCTGCCCCTTGTCGTTAACTGCCTTTAATATTTTTTTCTTTTGCATTGACCTTCAAGAATCTGATTACTTTGTGTCTCTGCAATGGTTGTCTTACATAGCATCTTACATAGGTTATCTGAATTTTCTAAATTTATATGTCAATCTCTCTAGTGAAATTGGGGAAATTTTTTACAGAATCCCTTACTTCTCCAAGGTTTTTTCTTTTCTTTTTCTTTCTTTTTTTTTTTTGAGATGGAGTCTTGCTCTGTAGCCCAGGCTGGAGTGCAGTGGCATGATCTCGGCTCAATGCAAGCTCCACCTCCCGTGTTCCTACCAATCTCCTGCCTCAGCCTCCTGAGTAGCTGGGGCTACAGGCACTTGCCACCATGCCCAGTGAATTTTTTTTTTTTTGTATTTTTAGTAGAGACAGGGTTTCACCGTGTTAGCCAGGATGGTCTCAATATCCTCCCAAAGTGCTGGGATTACAGGCATGAGCCACCATGCCTGACCTTTCATTTTTTAAAATTCTTCTTTTCTTTATTTATTTTCTGGCAGTGTTAACTTAAATAATCAGTCTTCAATCTCTGAGATTCTTTTCTTGGCTTAGTCCATTCTGCTGTGAATATTTCCAATCATTTTATGAAATTCTTGTAGTGTATTTTGTAACTCTACCTGCTAGGTTTGGTTTTAGTTTGTTTGTTTGTTTGTCTTGTTTTGTTTTTTCAAATGGCTAATTTTTTTCTCTTTAATCATTTTACTGGATTCCTCAGATTCTTGGAAATAGTGTTCAACTTTCTACTGAATTTCAATGATCTTCATTTCCTTCTACCTCTCAGTTCTATATCTGTCATTTCAGCCATTTCCTTCTATTTAACAACCATTGCTGTAGAACTAGTGCAGTCATTTGGAGGTAAAGTGACACTCTGACTTTTTGAGTTGCTAGAGTTCTTATGTTGGCTTTTTTCTCATCTGTGTGGGCTGGTGTTTCTTTAACTGTGGTATAATTTGAGCATAGTCAGTTGACTTTGTTTCTGGATGTTTTCAAAGCACCTTTTTGCATGATCTTTATTAGTAGCTGAATTATTGTCCTGGGTTTCACAGAGGCTTATATTAGCAAAGTAATTTTAGAGTTGAAGTTTCTGCCGCAATCTGGCTGATGACACTTAGGTATAATGGCTGATAGGTAGGCTCTTGTTCAGCCTACCTACCTATAATGGCTGATAGGTAGGCTCTTGTTCATACACAAATATATATTTTCTCACATTTGCAGCCATGCTCCGTGTCAGTATTCTGTGTGTGTAGGCTTCCCTCCTACTGAAATGCTGGCTGCATAGCTTGGCTTGTCACTGCAGTGCTGCACATCACAGCCCTGGGGTGAGCTCAAGGTTTTTGTTTCCTCACAAGCTTGGGGACAAAAGGGGTGAGGACCTTGGCAGTGGTAATGTGTGGAGGTCTATCACTTGTCTTTTGCAGCTCCACCATACAGAAATGCAGAGATGCTGCCAAATGGAGTGGTCAACCTTTGATGGGGCCTGTGCATTTTGGAACCAAGCTGGGGGACACTACTGGTGATGAGCAGAGGGTGTCAGGGCTTGTGAGAAGACAGATTCATCTCTTCTCTGTAGGGTAGCTGCAGTGTGCTGGAGGTGTGAGTAAAGCACTTGGGGTCTTGTTCCCTCCCCAGTTGGAGGGCAGCAAGGGCAGTACTGCTGAATAGCGGTTGCAGAAAAACTTTCAGTTGCTTCTGGGATCTCCACCCCAGAGAAATGCAGAACCACTGCCACTGGGCATTTTCAGCCTGGAGTGGGGCTGCTGCACTATGAGCCTTTGCTGGGACCCCTGCCTGGTGAAGAGCAGGGGATCAGGGGCTCACAGAGAATAGAGATTGGGCTCCATGCCATATGGTGATCATATGGTAATCATAGTGTGCTGGAAGCATGAGTAAAGCATTCAGGCTCTTTTATTTCTTTCCCAGTCTAAGACAGCAAGGGCAGGTACCACTGCATTGGCAGTGGCAGTTGGCTGTCATTTGCCTCTGGGAGCTCCATCACAGGATAACACAGAGCCACTGGCAATAGAAATGTTCAGCTTGGGTGAGGTAGCTACTCTGCAGGCCCAAGCAAGGAGTTCTGCTTAGTGAAGGATAGGAGTTGGGAGCTCACAAGGAAGAGAGACTGGGCTCTACGCTATATGGCAGCTGTGTCATGATGAAGGAGCTAGTGAAGCAACCAGGATTTTGTTCTTTCCCCAGCCCAAGGGGAGTTTCTTAGTCCTTTTTTACACTGCTGATAAAGACATACCTGACACTGGACAATTTACAAAAGAAAGAGGTTTAATCAATTTGTAGTTCTACATGGCTGAGGAGGCCTCAAACTCATGGCAGAAGTCAAGAAGAGGAGCAAGTCACATCTTACATGGATGACTGCAGCCAAATAGAGACCTCGTTTGGGGAAATTCCCATTTTTAAAGCCATCAGATTTCATGAGACCCATTCACTATCATGAGAACAGCATGGGGAAGACTCACTCTCATGATTCAATCATTTCCCACTGGGTCCCTCCCACAACATGTAGAAGTTATGGGAACTACAAGATGAGACTTGGGTGGGGACACAGAGTCAAACCATAGTATTATACCCCTGGCCCCTCCCAAATCTCATATCTTCACATTTCAAAACCAATCATGCCTTCCCAACAGTCCCAAAAAGCCTTAACTAATTTCAGCATTAACTCAAAAGTCCACAGTCCAAAGTCTCATCTGAGACAAGTCAAGTCCCTTCCACTTATGAGCCTGTAAAATCAAAAGTAAGTTAGTTACTTCCTAGATACAATGGGGGTACAGGCATTGGGTAAATACAGCCATTCCAAATGGGAGAAATTGGCCAAAACAACAGGGCTACATGCCCCATGCAAGTGTGAAATCCAGAGGGACAGTCAAATTTTAAAGCTCCAAAATGATCTCCCAGTAACTCTATGTCTCACATCCAGGTCATGCTAATGCAAGAGGTGGGTTCCCAAGGTCTTGGGTAGCTCCTCCCCCGTGGCTGTGTAGGGTACAGCCTCCCTCATGGCTGCTTTCACAGGGTGACATTGAGTGTCTTAGTCTTCTCTAGGTGCACGGTGCAAGCTGTCAGTGGATTTACCATTCTGGGGTCTGGAGGACGGTGGCCCTCTTCTCACAGCTGCATTAGGCAGTGCCCCAGTAGGGACTCTCTGTGGGGGCTCCAACCCCACATTTC
Source organism: Homo sapiens (assembly GCF_000001405.40). Taxonomy (NCBI): domain Eukaryota; kingdom Metazoa; phylum Chordata; class Mammalia; order Primates; family Hominidae; genus Homo; species Homo sapiens. The sequence goes on along the minus strand of NC_000009.12, from coordinate 61,810,321 downwards.
CCTTCCACACTGCCCTAAACAGTGGTTCTTTATGAGGGCCTCACCCTTGCAGTGAACTTATTCCTGGACATCCAGGCATTTCCATACATCTGAAATCTAGGCAGAGATTCCCAAACCCCCATTTTTGACTTCTGTGCACTCACAGGCTCAACATCAAGTGGAAGCTGCCAAGGTTTGGGGCTTGTACCCTCTGAAGCCACAGCCTAAAGTCTACATTGGCCCCTTTCAGCCATGGCTGGAGCAGCTGGGACACAGGGTGCCAAGTCCCCAGGCTGCTCACAGCATGATGACCTTGGGCCTGGCCCACAAAACCACTTTTTTTCTCCTAGGTCACCAGGCCTGTGATGGAAGGGGCTGCCATGAAGACCTCTGGCATGCCTTAGAGACATTTTCCCTATTGTCTTGGGGATTAACATTCATCTCCTCATTACTTATACAAATTTCTGCAGCTGACTTAAATTTCTCCTCAGAAAATGGGATTTTCTTTTCTATCACATTGTCAAGCTGCAAACTTTTTGAACTTTTATGCTCTACTTCCTTTATAAAACTGAGTGACTTTAACAGCACCCAGGTCACATCTTGAATGCTTTGCTGCTTAGAAATTTCTTCCATGAGATACCCTAAATCATCTTTCTCAAGTTCAAAGTTCCACAAATCTCTAGGCCTGGAGCAAAATGCCACCAGTCTCTTTGCTAAAACATAACAAAAGTCACCTTTGTTCTAGTCCCCAAGATCCTCATCTCCATTGGAGACCACCTCATCCTGGATTTCATTGTCCGTATCAGTAACATCATTTTAGGCAAAACCATTCAACAAGTCTCTAGGTGGTTCTAAACTTTGCCACATTTTCCTGTCTCCTTCTGAGTGCTCCAAGCTGTTTCAACCTCTGCCTGTTACCCAGTTCTAAAGTTGCTTCCACATTTTCAGGCACTTTTCAGTAGAGCCCACTCTACTGGTACCAATTTACTGTATTATTCCATTTTCATGCTGCTGATAGACAGACCTGAGACTGGGCAATTTACAAAAGAAGGAGGTTTAATCAACTTACAGTTCCACGTGGCTGGGAAGGCCTCACAATCATGGTGAAAGGTAAGTAGGAGCAAGTCACATCTTACATGGATGGCAGCAGGCTAAGAGAGAGCTTGTGTCAGGAAACTCCTGTTTTTAAAATCATTAGATCTCATGAGACCCATCCACTATGACGAGAACAGCATGGGAAATACCCATCCCCATTATTCAGTCATTTCCCACCAGGTACCTCCCACAAAACATGGGAATTGTGGGATCTACAGGATGAGATTTGAATGGGGACACAGAGCCAAACCATATCAGGCAGCAAGGGTGGTACCACTGTATGTAATGGCAGAGGGGCTGTGGGTTGTCACTGGGAATTCTATCCCAGAGAAATGCACAGGTGCCACTGTCTGAAGTGTTCAAGTGGTGACAACACCTCCATAAGGCAGATGTGCTGAGCTGAAGACCTGCTATAATCCTTAAGCCTCTTTGCTATCTCTTGATCTGAGGGCATTATGGGCAGGGGCTATAGCAGGCAAAAACGGCAGGCCTGTCTTATACCTATGAGAGCTCTGTCCCAGGGAAATGCAATGCTGCTTCTGGCCCAAGTTGTCAGGCTGAGGTAGGTGGCTGTGCTGGAGGCTCAAGCCAGGAGGCCCTGACCAGTGAGGAGTAGAAGGGGCCATGACCAACATTAAAAACTATATGACTGCTTTTCCAGAAGGCAGCTTGCCCTGTGCTGGAGGCCCACAACAGTCATAACACTCTTCACTCCCTCCTGACCTTGAAGGCAGTTGGGTAGTGGCTGGAGCTGCAATAGCAGCAAAAACAGCAGATATGTCTATTGCATCTGGGAGCTTCATCCCAGAGAAATGCAGAGCTGCTGCCAGTTGAAGAGGTCAAATGGGTGTTTCATGGCTGTTCTGGAGTTCCAGGTCAGTGTGCCTTGCCTGGAGAGGTTAACCAGAGGCAAGGCATGAAGTCCCTCTGCTCCTCAGAACCATGAATGTAGCCACTAACTTTTGGCATGCAGAGAACTTGGCGTTCTTGTTGGTGAAGCTATGGCAACTAGCACTGGGGTGCTTAGGGGTCTAAGACCCCTGGGACTTCTCATGTGCCTGATCTGGAGCTCTGCCCAGATTCTATGCAGCTCTCCTTGTTAGTCTGAAGGCCCCAGGGGGAGGGACTCAGGGTGGATCACCTGTGCCTATGATTACAAAGGTCCGTGACAGAAGTATGGGGCCATGGGGCTCTCTCTCAGTCACTATTTCTTTGTGGTAAGGATCCTCCCCTGACTCCACCCAATCCTGGGTGGGTGGCTGTTGTGTCTTGCTGTTTTTGTTCTCCATGGCTTCTGTTGCTTCCTTGCTGAATCCCAACATGTCCTCTTGGAAGATCCAGTTGAAGTGCTAGTGTTTACTGGCCAGTCTATTTCCTTTTCACGAGAGTGGAGCATACTAGCTGCTTCTAGTAAGTCATCTTGGCACTTGATCACAAAAGACATTTGTTTTTCACAGTTCTGCAGGCTGGCAAGTCCAAGTTAAAGGTGCCAGCAGATTCAATTCTTGGTAAGAGTTCTTCCTGGCTTGCAGACAGCTGCCTTCTCATTGTATTTTCACTAGGAAGAAAAAAGAAGGTCTAGTGTCTCTTAATTGGATAAATTTTTAAAACCAAAATTATTGAAGGTGATTCTAATACACCTTTCTCAGTAACTCATATAAATATACCGGATGCATTATTAAGATTATTAGTGTATTTAAAAATATACAATTTCTGGCTGGGCGCAGTGGCTCATGCCTATAATCCTAGCACTTTGGGAGGCCAAGGCGGGTGGATCATGAGGTCAGGAGATCAAGACCATCCTGGCTAACACAGTGAAATCCTGTCTCTGCTAAAAATACAAAAAAAAAAAAAAAATTAGCTGGATGTGGTGGTGGGCACCTATAGTCCCAGCAACTATGGAGGCTGAGGCAGGAGAATGGTGTGAACCCAGGAGGTGGAGTTTGCAGTGAGCCGAAATCGTGCCACTGCACTCCAGACTGGGTGACAGAGCGAGATTCCCTCTCAAAAAAATAAAATAAAATAAATAATTATATAAAAATAAACAATTTCTGCCCTTATTTATCTATATAATTTTGTATAATTATTTTATGATTGCTTATTATTCATTTTAGTGGCCACTTTGAAAATAATTAATGTTTGTATAAAAATAAACATTAATTTAATAAACTAACAGAATAGCATATAAATTTCCACTAACATCCTATCAAAATTTATATAATTATAGTATTTTATAAGTCATTTTAGTGCTATATAAAGTTAAGAAAAATGGCCAAAAGTCTAAAAAAATTTAAAAAAATAAAATAGGAATAGAAAAAGGAAGAAAATAATTTATTTTTTAAGTTAAAAAATCATTTTTTTAAATGTAGAGAAATACATGTTTTTAAGAGAACACATACCTTTAATCACAAGAAAAAAGTGCCTTTAAAAATAAAAATATTATATAACATAATAATATAAAAGTTTCTTTTTGAATTTTGAAGTTGTTATAGTTTTAAAATTGTATGTATTTGGCATTTCTTTTATTTTGCTTTATGTTAACATTCAAATTTCATCTTCGAATTTTAATTATCCTTAAAAATTTCTAGGTGCCTCTTAGTTGAATTCTAGACAAAATTTATCTTTACAACTTTTTTTTATTATACTCTAAGTTCTAGGGCACATGTGCAAAATGTGCAGGTTTGTTATATATGTATACATGTGTCGTGTTGGTTTGCTGCACCCATTAACTCATCATTTACATTAGATATTTCTCTTAATGCTATCCCTCCCCCATCTTTTTATCTGCTATACAAATATATTTTTATGCAATATCAGTCATTAATATAGTTAATGATATAGTTAGCATAGTTAATTACAAAACATAGTAATTTTATTGTTAAATATTATAATTTTAAATTATTATTGATGGTTTTTACAATATGTATCATATTAGTAATACACCTTAACACACCAAAAGTATGTCAGCCCATAATGATGTTATTTTACTCATTTATTTTAGTTTCGTGTTTGAAATTTTTATGTTCAGCTAATAGAAAAAAAAATAACAAGACAGAGAAATACAAATATAGCAAATATCGTCCAAGCAATAATCCCCAACTGAACAATGCCAAGATATACATTGTCTGATTTCTTCTTTCATTTAGATATTTGCATGAATTTTAAAGCTTTTGTATATTTTTTATTTTATTAAAAATAATTTTCTGTCTTGCTTAACATGTTACTTATTTAAAAACATAAAATATTTAATCTACTTCATATCATCCAAATATATGAATTAGCTCATTTTCTCTTCTCTATATATGATCTTGTGTCTTTATTCAGACAAAATAGTTCTGTCATTTAAATGTTTCCTTATCTTTGGCATAGTGTGATTTTTCTTTTTAAAATTATTATAGTTCAATAATATATCAAGCTAGTGGGAGAAAAGCAAAGGTGAATTAAACTATGTTTCAGTAAAATGTAAAAAAAAAATCTGATTTTAAGTAATTACTAACTATGTACAGTCACGAACTCATGAACCAACAGTATAGAAGAAATAATTGGTGCGATTTGGGCAAACTAGAAAAAGCCAAGAAAAATGAAAAGATCTTTTTATATGATCATTCTTAATTAGAGCCACTGACAGTGAATGTAAGAATGTTTAATGTATGTGACCTATAAAGATTTGCTAGATTCTGACTGACTCAGAGGTTATATATTACTTCTCACACTTCTTTATTAAAATTATTTTGTTTTTTTTTTTTTTTTTTTTTTGAGACGGAGTCTCGCTCTGTCGCCCAGGCCGGACTGCGGACTGCAGTGGCGCAATCTCGGCTCACTGCAAGCTCCGCTTCCCGGGTTCACGCCATTCTCCTGCCGCCCGCCACCACGCCCGGCTAATTTTTTGTATTTTTAGTAGAGACGGGGTTTCACCTTGTTAGCCAGGATGGTCTCGATCTCCTGACCTCATGATCCACCCGCCTCGGCCTCCCAAAGTGCTGGGATTACAGGCGTGAGCCACCGCGCCCGGCCATTTTGTTTTTAACTTAAGCATCATTTTTATAACTAAAGTGACAGTTATACATGAACAAGTATAATAGTTTGTCTAAAATATTTTGTACCAAAGCAGGAAGACTGAAGTGTGAATAATCTCAGTAAAAATGTATAAAATATATTTTGGACATGCAGTCACTAAAGTGACAGTTATACATGAACGAGTATAATAGTTTGTCTAAAATATTTTGTACCAAAGCAGGAAGACTGAAGTGTGAATAATCTCAGTAAAAATGTATAAAATATATTTTGGACATGCAGTCATTCATTGAAATGTACACATGAAGTAAATCAAGTGACCTCATCATTGAATAAATTGAGAAATATATGAGGTTGAATTAATTTCTTCTTCCACAGAATTTTTTTATTTATTTCATTTTTGTTCAATGTTTCTTGATATAAAATAGATTATTTTCTATTATTTTCAGATGTCTCAGAAATCTTTCCAGTTCTTTCCTACGGTCTTCAATACATTTTTAAAAATTAATGCAAAATGTGGACCATTTAAAAACTAGATTTTCTCAAAGATTGAGTGTTGAAGGTAGTGCCCCTGGAGATTATTTGTTAAAGAATGTTTAAAACTAACTAGCACATGCCTAGTCTTTGACATGATTTGTTTTGTAAGATCCTTGTCATCATGATATGTATTCAGGAAAAGGAGTATTCTCAGATTACAGATAAAGAAGCTAAGTCAGACATGTATTGAGTATGTAACTTGATGTGAGCCATAAATAAAAATGTGCCAAATATATTAGGTAATTGTATAAATCTAAAGCATTCTATAACAGTATATTATCTCTGGCTGGTGAATCTAGCAAACACAACATATAGTTATCTCTCCATATAGGTGGGGATCAATTCCAGGGGCACCTTCATGTACCAAAATCCACATATACTCAAGTTTCCCAGTTGGCCCTGTGGAACCTGTTTATAGGAAAAGGCAACCCTACAGAAAACACCGCACTTTTTATTGAGTTTGGTTGAAAAAATAATATGCATATAAGTGGACCTGCGTAGTGTACACATGTGTTCAAGGGTCAACTGTAGCTGAAAGCAAACCACATTTAGTTTGTACATATATTTTAGAGAGAATATTTGTGAAGTGTTTTATTTTTTAAAAAAAAAAGCTAACTAAAGAACTAAAAGAACCAAAAGCAAACCAAAATATAAAAAATAAACATTTTTCTAGCTCTGCAATGTAAGACATTTACTTTAAATTATTCAAATGTACCTAAATAGGAATCTAATTTCAAGTTTATGCTATTTTTGAAGTAAGAAACATGCTGTGTCATTTATGAAACTAGAAATATATGATTGAAAAAGAGTCTACATAGTGAGAGAACTTGACCATAATCTTTGAAAGTAAAATCAAACGAAAGCTTATGTAAAAAGTGTGATCATTAGGCTTTAATTTTTAAAATATGATAATAAAATAAGAGATATTGAATGTTGCTAAAATTTTTAAATATGTTATGATAACAGCATACATGGAATATTATACATTTATTCAAATTATGTTTTAAAAATAATGACATAAACATACTTCTTATACATTATGATTGAAATGCTGAGGTTTTATTTAATACATAACCAATAAAGCTAAGAACCCCTTAAAAATCAAGACGTACTCCTTAAATAAAATATTGAGTGAGTACTTATAAGGCAATAAGTTTTGTAAAATATGCTAAAAATTTTTAAAAATTCTCTACATATTCGAGACATACTTGAAGATACTGTGGGTTTTGTTCCAGACCATCACAATAAAGCAAAAATCACAATAAAACAAGTCAACAAAAATTTTTGGTTTCTCAATGCATATAAAAGTTATGTTTACATTGTACTGTAAAGGGTGTAATAGTATTATGGTTAAACAAATAATGTACTTACCTTAATTTTAAAAAGCTTTATTGCTAAGTAATGTTAATCATCTGAGCCTTCAGTGAGTCATAATGTTTTGGTTGCTGGAGGGTCTTGCCTCAGTACTGGTGGTTGCTGACTGATCAGGGTTGTGATTGCTAAAGGCTGGGGTGGCTGTGGGAATTTCTTTTTCTTTCTTTTTTTTTTTTTTTTTGAGTCAGAGTCTCACTCCGTCGCCCAGTCTGGAGTGCAATGGCACCATCTCGGCTCACTGTAACCTCCACCTCCCAGGTTCAAGCAATTCCCCTCCCTCAGCCTACCAAGTAGCCAGGATTGCAGGTGCCTGCCACCACACCCAGCTAATTTTTGCATTTTTAGTAGATATGGGGTTTCATTTTGGCCAGGCTGGTCTCCAACTCCTGACCTCAGGTGATCTGCTCTCCTTGACCTCCCAAAGTGCTGGGATTACAGGTGTGAGCCGCCGTGCACAGAGTTTCATAAGACAGCAATGAAGTATGCTGCATTGAATGACTCTTTCATGAAAGACTTCTCTGTAGCATAGGATATCATTTGATAGTACTTATCCACAGTAGAACTTCATTCAAAATTAGAGGCAATCCTTTCAAGCCCTGCCATTGCTCTATCAATTACATTTAGGGACTATTCTAAATCCTCATTGTTATTTCAATAATGTTCACAGTATCCTCACCAGGAATAGATTCCATCTCAAGAAACCACTTTCTTTGTTCATCTATAAGAAGCAACTGCTCATCTGTTAGTTATATTACAAGATTGCAGCAATTCAGTGACATCTTTAGGCTCCACTTTTAATCCTAGTTCTCTTGCTATTTCCATTACATCTGCAATTACTTTCTCCTCTGAAGTCTTGAACCCCTCAAAGTCATCCATGAGGGTTGGAAGCAACTTGTTCTAAACTCCTACTAATGTTGATACTTTAGCTTTCTTCCATGAATCACAAATGTTCCTAATAGTATCTAGAATGGTGGATCTTTTCCAGAAGATTTTTCAGATCCATCAGAGGAATCACTATCTATGACAGCTACAACCTTACAAAATGTATATATTAAGTTATAAGACCTGAAAGTCAAAATTGCTTCTTGATCCATGAGCTACAGAATTGGTGTTGTGTTAGGTTGCATGAAACAACATTAATGTCCTTGTATATGTTCATCAGAGCTCTTGGGTGACCATGTACATTGTCCACAAGCAGTAATATTTGAAAGAGAATCTTTTATTTGGATCAGTATGTCTCAACAGTGGGCTTAAAGTATTCAGTAAACCATGCTATAAACAGGTGTTCTGTCATAAAGGCTTTGTTGCTTCATTTATAGAGACAAGCAGAGTAGATTTGGCATAATTCTTATTAGCCTTAGGATTTTCAAATGGTAAATAAGCATTGGCTTCAACTGAAAGTCACTAGCTGCACTAACCCCTAACAAGAGTGTCAGTCTGTCATTTGAAGCTTTGAAGCCAGGCATTGACTTCTCCCCTCTAGCTATGAAAGGCTTAGATGAAATCTTCTTTCAATATAAAACTGTTCTGTCTACATTGAAAATCTGTTGTTTAGGGTAGTCACATTCATCAATTATTTTAGCTAAATTTTCTAAATAATTTGCTGAAGCTTTTTCATCAGCAGTTACTGTTTCACTTTCCACTTTTATGTTGTTAAGATGGCTCCTTTCCCTCTACCTTAAGAACCAACCTTTGTCAGCTTCCAACTTTTCTTCTGCAGTTTTCTCTTACCTCTCTCAGCCTTCATAGAATTGAAGAACATTAGAGCTTTGGTCTAGATTGCGTCTTGGCTGAAGATAATGTTGTAGCTGATTTGACTTTCTGGCCAAACCACTAAAACATTCCAAGTCTCAGCAATAAGGCTGTTTCTCTTTCTTATTGTTCCTGTGTTCACTGGAGTCGCAGTTTTGATTTCCTTCAAGAATTTTTTCTTTGCATTCACAACTTGGCTAACTGTTAAAAACAAGAGTTCTAGCTTTAGATCTAAGTTGGCTTTTGACATGTCTTCCTTGCCAGGCTTAAGTATTTCCGGCTTTTGATTTAAAATAACACACATGAAAGTCTTTCTTACACTTGAACACTTAGAGCCTATTATAAGGTTATTAACTGGCCTAATTTCACTATTGTTGTGTCTCACAAATTGGAGTCACTAAGAGAGGGAGAGAGACAGGGAAGTTCTGTTCAGTGGAGTAGTCAGAAGACACACAATATGTATTGATTAAGTTGCTATCTCTTAAAGGTATGGTTTGTGGTTTCTCCCCATATTACAGTAGCAACATCAAAGATCACTGAATACAGATCACCATAACAGATATAATAATAGTGAAAAAGCTTGCAATATTGTGAGAATCACCAAAATGTGACACGGAGACATGGAGTGAGCACATGCTGTAAACAAAGTGGCTCTAGTAGACTTCCTCAATGCAGGCTTGCCACAAACCTTCAATTTGTGAAAAAGGCAGTATGTGAAGTGCAATATAGCAAAGGTATATGTAAGGTACCAGTACATCACCATGATAGACCCAAACTTTATACCAGGCACTACCGAAAGAGTAAAATTAGCACAACAGTTAGCATAGACAACATGACAACTTTTGTAGGGCCATAGTATAGTTTCAGATATTGTTCACATTCTCTGCAACAAAAGAAGTTAAGATACATTACAGAAAGGAGAATATGAAAGCAGTATTAGTAAAAGGGAATATCCCAACAATAGGAAAGCACCCCATTTGGATATTTACAAAAATTCTAAAAATTATCTTGTGAAAATGTGAAATCCATATTTTAAAGGTCTTCGAAAAAGAGAAAAATAGACTAAAATTTTATTAATTAAAGTAAATATTAACTCCAATAAATGAGGAGAATTAGAATGCATTAAGGTGTTTTAAAATTATAAAACTTACTAAAGTAATTTGGAAAAAAATGTGTATCGATAACACTCATTTAAGAAAACATGGTCACGATTTAGTCAAATCTCATCTTTTGTCCCTTGTTTTTGTTTTTAAAAGTTGTAATAATAATTGATATTTACTCAATATCTTCATATATTGAGTAAAACCATATACCAAACAAAAATTGCATCCTTTATATAAGTAGAGAAATTAGACTTAAAATAAATAACAAGTGAGAGACCATGGTGCCAACCTAGTTTGTCATTTTTCTTTAGAAAATCCTAAGTTATTTGTTGTCAAAATTATCAATATTTTATATTTTGTTGCTCTTGCAAGTAAAGCATTTCTAATTAAAGACCTTAGGGCTTCACATATCCTTCAGATAGCTGGTAAAATGCTGCTTTTTGCTAGAAGCCTTCTCCGCCCTTTCTATATAACAGCAACCTCTCTTCTCAGTTTCTTGTCATCTCCAGTACACCTTCTAGCTGCTTTTCTAATTTTATTTTTCCCAAGCACAACTTAGCACTTTACTGGAAGTCATCTGTTTTCTGCTTCACAAAGCAAGGACTTGTCTCCGTTGTGCCCAGCTCTAGCCTCAGGGCCTAGAAAAGTACTCAGCGTGTAATGTGCACCAAATACATGTATATTGGATTAATATTTAAATGTGTATATACTTAGCTGTGAATAAATAGCATCAATATTCTTTTTTTAAATGTTAAAAATATAAAGTGTATAGCCTTCAAAAGTACACTGTACATAAATAATTTGAAGGTGATGAAGAGGACCCTGAAACAGGAATGGATTCCTAATTCCTAGCAGGGATTTAATGGCCATCACGGAGCAGCCAGATGTTATAAGATAAGGATATAAGATCTGAGAGGCATGGCAGGTAAGAATAGAGCTAACATACATTTTACTTAAAATTTTTGAATTGGCTATATTGAAAAAAGTTTAACACATGTTACCACAGCAAACACTCTAAAAACTCTCTACTAAGAATTTTGGCTTAGACCAAGGCCAACATTGCTCTGGACATAAAATGGCCTTTTATACATGATGATGATATTTTCAAAACTAAGTAAGTTAAGTACATTATTTAAAAGATTTTAGTCCTGTTTTACCTGTTATTTCACTACTAAAGGATTTTTCTACTCTGAGTTCACTTTATCATTCTTTTTTCAGAATTTTATCTGTGCTTATTTTAAATAAACATGAAAATTACTACCATTTAAGATAAATATCCTTTTATCTTTCAATTATTTTTCCAGAGCAGTGCTTTAAGTATTCATATAATTATGAGAGTTTCTAAAATTTTACATATTTTATAACAGTTCATTCTGTGTGAGTTTTCTTTTAATTTTTATAAGAAATATCTTGAGAACAGTGATACATAATATATTATGCAAAACCTGAAAAAAATAGTAAGTGATTTCCAGCATCAAAGGTCATTTATTCTTCTGAGAGCCTAGTGACCTTTAAGTTAATTTCCTATTTTATGGATTTTTATAAATTACTTAGTATGTGGGTTATGTGTACAGAAAGCACACCACGTAACTTTAAATTGTTCTCAAATCATTTTGTAAGTCATCAGATAAGTAGCTACTTAAGTAATCTATATATTTGTAATAAATATTTGTGTAGAAATAATAGAATGAGGAAGTCCTTCTTCATAACTTTGAATAAAACACTATTTCTCCAGTTAACCTGGAGGGCAAATAAACCTTTTAAAAATATAACAGAAAAGTTCGATAAGAGCACAAAGTGTGTATTAAGTAAATGTTACAAAGGATAAATGGAAGTGAAATACCTGGATTATCCTTACTGAGAATTCAACACCTATAAGTGAATTATAAGTGAAATCACAACTATCACAAACTTTGCTCCATCTCATTTTGGAATTGTAACAGCCTCAAGGGCATAATAACTTTCAAAAGACGGTCACTGAGTGCCAACTATATGCCAGCCCATATGCTAGGTATGGACTGCTAGGTTTTTTTCTTACTAATTAGAATCACTTAACTGCTTGAAAATGTGCATTGGTGGTAAACCTATTATCAGCACTTACTCTATCTTTAAAATTTTAAGTTAAATTTTTGATTTAATGTAGAATCATTTTATACACACACACACACACGCCACACACCGAAACATATAACTATTTTTCTTGAAATATCAAAATACCACAAAAGCATTATGATTTTGTTTTCCTAAAATGTTTTAGTGTAAATGACAGTTAGATCTGTAGTCTGATTGCCTTAAAAAGTTGTTTCATCTCTCTGAACTTGAATTATTATTATTATTATTTTTTGAGATGGAGTCTCGCTCTGTAGCCCAGGCTGGAGTGCAGTAGCACGATCTCGGCTCACTGCCAGCTCCACTTCCCAGGTTCACGCCATTCTCCTGCCTCAGCCTCCCGAGTAGCTGGGACTACAGGTGCCCACCACCACGCCCGGCTAATTTTTTGTATTTTTAGTAGAGACAGGATTTCACCATGTTAGCCAGGATGGTCTCGATCTCCTGACCTGGTGATCTAACCCCCTTGGCCTCCCAAAGTGCTGGGATTACAGGTGTGAGCCCGAACCCTGAACTTGAATTTTTTAATCTGTAAAATGACATGATAATATTAATATGCTGATCAAAGTTTGTTTGCTCTCAGATCAATTTCCTCAGCAGTTTTCTTTTATTTTTTCACTGTAACAGAAATCTGCATTTCCCATGCTTCCTTGTCATCTAGTCTTTGGGTAGATTCAGGCAAGGGAAGGCAAAAGCCAAAGATTGAAGGACAGGAAAAGGCAAGGAGAAGGGCCACTTCTGTTTTCGTTTGTTTGTTTTCTCTGCTTCTAATGACACCTACATCAGAGGTCATATTTCTCCCTGGTCCCATTTCTCACCAGCAGTAATTCTACTGTGAAATGGCTCATTACTGGATCTCTGGAACTTTAGTTTCTCCCATTGACCTTACTATCATGAGGAAAGGATTAGTTCTCTGCTAGTGCTAATACTTTCATCACTATTCCTTGCTTTGTTTCTTAGTTATTTTCACCCTGATGTTACCTGCTCCACATAATAAAATCAGATTGTTTGTAAGTCCTAGACTAGTTTCTGCCTTGCTGGCTATATCCTCAATGAAGAGCAAATATTTACCTCATGGGAGAAATAGACCTAATGGATTTAGGAGTTTAGCAGTTTACAGGGCACAAATTAAATCTCAATAAATATTTACTCTGAGTAAAAAAGTACAAAATAGAAGTACAATTCTTTTTTATTGTCATTGATTTCAGAGCAAAATGAATCAACAGTTGACAAATTAAGGATTAACTTATGCAAGATTATTCAACAAATATTTATTATTCATTTGCTCTATGCCAGAAATGTGTCTTCATGCCAGGTTAAGAAAAAGAGAAAACAGAAAAAAAAATAGCTGTCCCTGACTAAAAGAGCTTACGTTCTTTCTTTTTGGGCGAGAAAGGCAGTGAAAAATTAAAAAAAGAAACGCAGTATTAACATGCGGATAAGTTCTAGGGTGAAATTTGAATGCAGATCCAGAGTGACTGTCTGCCTCTCAAAAGAATTCTGCTGAGATGTCTAGAAGTAAGTAGAGTAGCAAGCAAATATCTACAGCGCGTGTCTCTTTCAAAGACAGAAAAACAAAGTGGTTTTTAAGGTGGGTGAATCTTGGCATTTCCAAGAAATATCAGGAGGCTCTTAAGGATAGAATGACCAAAACAATGAGGGCTGTGATAAAATAAATTGGGGGAGGTATGGAGAAGGATCCCATATTGTTGCTTTCACAAACAATGACAAGGTTTTGGGTTTTACTTTGAGAAGGGGAACAATTAGAAAGCTATGAGCAAGACTGTGAAATTATTTGATTTATGTTTTATAATCATTCTGACTCGTGGCTGAAAAACAGCCTCTAGGAATGAAAGTGAGAGAAATAGGGTCATCATTTATGAAGCTATTCCAATGATCCAGTGCTTTGGCAGTTGCCTGGACATGGCTAGTAAGAGGTAAAAGTAATCTGATACATCTTAAAGGCAGGTGTTCATGGATTTGATATGGCAAATGAAAGAAAGAAACCGCTATGTGTTATATTCCTTGAGCCAAAATTGAGGTGTAAAATAAACATGCTCACATAAATGGTTGATTATGTTCTTAAATGAAGGAGAAAATAGTTGCAGTGATGTTAAGTCATCAACCATTTAAAATGTTGCTTTTGAAAGAGATGAATCAAGGAAGGGATGGACATGAATTTTCCTTACCTAAAAAGCTAGTGAAAATTAAGAGTGACATGAACAGGATTAAAACTTTATTTTATAGTGGTACTGAGATGAAACATCACACTATCTGACTTCATAGCTTAAAAATATAATCACCCCACCAACTTCTCACTCTTTTCAAGGATTTTGTGAGTAACCAGCTTTAATTTGGAAAACCTAGACTTCTACATACAGATTGTTATGTTTGTGAGTATGATTATTTCTATCATTTTGTTTTACATTGTGCTTTATCATTCAATAATTAATATCTATCATTTTCCATTAACTAATTTATTTTATGACCATTTATTATTATTATTACCCTATGGTAGTCAATAATTACTGATACATATTCCATTGTTTTTTGGGATTTGATATAGAATCAGAGAAGTTTGTTGCCAACTCCTTTTTAGTTGAATATATATTGTTTTTGTCTTATATTTAGTTTTTGTAAAACTTCAGATTTTCCATCTTGCCCCACTATTTATTGCTAAAAATCATATCCAAATATGACAAGGTTTAGGAACACACACAGTTAATGAACACATGTTAAAGTATAATAACACAGAATACATTTTTGAAAGTAAGTTTATTAAAATTAGCAATATATTTCTAGTTATATGCATAAGGATATACCAACATGGATTTTGCCTGCCCAATATTAATTTTCTCTTAATTTCTTACTTACAGAACTTCAATTTGGTCATGAGTCTAAGCCCCAAATTATGTTTGCTGTCGTATACTCATGACAGCTCTTTTTCTTGATTTTTCTAGCCTTTATCCATTTGGAAATGTGAACCACCTTTTATAGGTGAGATACAGTATAGCTGAACACTTCTCTAAAGGTTTCTGTAAAAAAGCATAAATGTACAAGCCTATCATCCCGATTCTATTTAGTTTGCCTTGAATATGAATGTGATAAATGAAGTAAGATCTCACATCTTGCAACATGAAATGGGAGAAGGGTCAACATAGAAGAAATGTCAGAAGAAATGAACCAATAGAAAATTCCTCATTTGCTAAATTTTGTTAAAAGAAAAAAATAGATTTTAATATTAATCTGATCTACACAGGCAAATGTTAACTGCAATGAAAATGTCTTTTAGATAATTCAGAACACTTTCCATCCTTGGTAAAAGTATTCATTTTACTGACTCACTATTATATATTTTGTTAAGTTAGAAACTCATATTCAATCAAAGGAAATAAAAGTTCCCCCTAATTTCTAGGAATATAAAAAAATAGGTACACATAGCTTAGATAATATTTTCTATATTTGTTCAAGTAAATCAGTTTAGTAATTGTTTGAAATACTTCCAATTGATATGAGTCCAATTTTAGAAGGAATTTTAGTTGGAAGTGTTATTCTCTTTATGAAGATGTAAATGGCTCTGTTTACTGGCCAATATTTACATACACATACAGTCAATGAATGTTAATTTGCACACAGTGGCATATATAATTCAAAGTTCATTTTATTAGTTAATTTAGATATGGTTCAATGAGAGTTTCAAACTGAGGGCATAGAGTCATATAACATACTCTAGAAGAACAACTCACAAAAACTAAAATAAATTGCTTTACCATGTTTGCCTTTGTATTTCACTTTTTGTGTTCTGAAGAATAAGCATGGTAAAATTTACATATATCTAATGCATATAATGGGCAATGTATGAATTATTTTACAAATTACTCATAACCAGAAGAGTTCTGTTGGATTTTACCATATGGCCAGATTCATCTTGCCTTTCAAACTTATGTAAGTAATTTTTCCAAATCTCTTTTTTTCCCATAACATACATGCTGCTGAGTCCACTCCTCCAAACTAAGTAAAGATAGGAATGCTCATGGCCAAATCATAAGTATAGAAAGTGACTTTTGAACTGATGAAGACTTTCTTCTTGTCTACGCTTTAGTCAGGCTTCTAGGAACACTCTTTTTGACTCTACTTTGTCCTTGGGCCCTGTCTTTACACTGCCTAGTCCAGCTGTTGCAAGAATGCTGCTAAGTCAGTTTAGAGAGAATCTCCCACTCTTGATATCTGATCACTCTGGCTTGCCTTCAGCAAGAATCCTCTTACGTTAGCTAACAAGAAATCCCCTACCCTTGATGTCTCCTCTTAGTAATTTGTATTCATTGACAACCTTTCACTCTGCTCATTAGCTGCACTTCCCAGATATCTTTGCTGTGTTCAGAGTTGAACCTTATCTCTCTTGCCTGTTAGAATCATCTTGACACCTATCATTTTAATCTTAAATAAAGTGATCCTTAACCATTTTAACAAGTGTTGGAAATTTTTTTATTTAGCAGAACTAACAAATTGTTTGCGAACTATTGAAATAGAACTATTCTATTACGGCCTGCAGATATTTTTCTCAATTATAATTCACTTTCATACTGTGAAAGTATCTTTGCTTTGTGTATATCTTTTTCATATAAAAACTTTTAATTTGGCAGGGAATAGTGGCTCATGCCTGTAATCCCAGAACTTTGGGAGGCCCAGACGAGTGGATCATGTAGGTCAGGAGTTGAGACCAGCCTGGCCAACATGGCAAAACCCCATCTCTACTAAAAGTACAAAAATTATCTGGGCATGGTTGTGGGCACCTGTATTCTCAGGTACTTGGGAGACTGAGGCAGCAGAATCGCTTGAACCCAGGAAGCAGAGGTTGCAGTGAGCCAAGATCAGACTGCTGCACTCTAGCCTGAGTGATAGAGTGAGTGAGACTCTGTCTCAAAAAACAAAAAACAAAAAAACCTTTCGATTTATTTTCCAGAGGTCTATTTTTAATTTAGTAACAAGATTTTAAAAAATATTTATAAAATTAAATAACAATAGAATGTTAGAACTAGGCCCTATAAAATATAAAATTGTCAAAATTGGTTAGCATGATTGTAGCTTGAAGGATCCTATTGTTAATGTGGCAACTTCTGAAACCAAACATCATCATGCTTAGCATCAAGAGCTAAAGTAGTCATGAGTTAATGGAGAAGAACAACTAAGGAATTGGCTGCCGAAGTAAAGTTTATGCTAAATTTAAATGAAATGAAATAACAAAGTAGTTTGAAATGAACATTCCATTGATTATTTTTAAAATTTTATTTATTAACAAAGTAGCTTATACTAACTGCCCACTGTCTATCCCAATAGTTACAGCAATAACATATAGTTAACATTTGTAATTAAATATTTCATTTCATACAAATAGTATTTTAAAATTCAAGTGTTGATTTTTAAGCCTTTGAATGTTTGGCTGTTTAAAATTTAAGTGCATATAAAAATTGTAGAAAAGGGTCATTATTAATAAAATACTCAAAATATGGTAAATTTTGCATGATGATTTAATATATGCAAATTGACAAGTGATGTGAATAGTACATTTGAATAGAGAAAATATGTACATAAATGAATGGTATTTCAGAATCTAAGCAAATTGATGACTACATTATGTACTTGTCCCCAATGTAAATGAAATATTAATTAGAAAACTTTTTTTTTTCACTAAAGGGCTGAACATAAAGTGTGATGGCAAATTGGTGTGTTCTTGTATTTCTTGTCTTTGGGGATTCTTTTCAGTATATTTTCACTTAATGTTTTAGCAACATTTTTCGTCATCCTTTTACACTTATAGCTGGACTATGCTTAGTGATAGAAAATAGTTATATAATGGGATTATACTTGGCCATATGAATTTGATGGTATGAGTTAATCTGTGTTTCATCTTACTTGTGTCTACTTGTAAGTCATTGATGCTAATGTTATTAGTAATTTTTAGAGGGTAGAAATGTTTTCTATATGACATTTTTGAGAAAAGGAAGTCAATAAATCCCATTTGATATGCAACAGAAATAAAGATCTCTTATTTCAATTTTAAAATGCTTTATAACTTACATTGCTTTGTTTTATGCATTATTTGTTTTGATCAGATGCAAAATGAGTCAGTAATGTCATCTAACCACAAGTTTGATACATTTTTTTAAAGAAAAATTTCCAAAATACTTTAACTGAGCAATAGGCTAATACTTCATAAATTAAAATATTTAAATACTCAATCTTTCTGAGTGGATATTTGTTGCATATCTGATAACTTGGCCTAATTCTGTAATTGGGATGAGAACTACCCAATTTTATTGGTAACCTCTTTTCTGCTCTGCAACTTTGGAAATACTATGGAGGACTCCAAATTCATTTGAGACAAAAATATTAAAAATGTATCCCCTGATTAGGATTTCAGTTCCAAAGCTCTCCTTGGAGGGATATAGAGCTGGAGAAAATCACATTTATTTTTCGTCTCTTTAATATTGATATATAAAAGTCAGGTTAAAATTAGTATCAAATTGGGAAGCCTGCATGGTAAACCGGCTGGAATAATACACTCTGCAATATGAAGGAAAAAGGAAAAATTTAGTTGATTTATTTACCTAACTATAATTTTTTAAAGAATTTTAAGTTTCTAATAAATTTAACTATAAATTTTTAATTTTCTATCTTTCATTTAGTACCATCTATATAAACTTTTCCAGGCTACTTCTCTGAATCACCTGGCAAAATCTTATAATTTACCACCTAATTGAATAAAACACACACACAAAATAATCTATTTTGAATAATAAACATCATTTATAATTATCTTGTTGAGATTGAGAGTAATCATCAGGTGTGGAAAAACTATTGAGGAAATTTTAACAATTTAAAATGTAATAATCTTTTTTGTATTATGTGTGTTTTATACTCAGAAGTGCATATGTTTTATAAAATTATGTGAATTTATAAATGTGGTCAATATTAATATTAAATTGTATCTTTTAATAGTATCTTCAATTATCTTTTTTTTTGCTGCTGGATTCCATTTAGAAAAAAAATGTTCTATATAGCAGTGTTGCTTTCTTTTTCTTTTCTTTTTGCTTTTCTTTCTTTTTTCTATTGATAAAGTATTTACTTGATCTTGGGGAAGAGGTATATAATCAAGTGACCACATTTTTCTTTGTTACATATTATTAAAAATTTATAATCAATCTTTCCAAATTGTAATCGGTCTGAAACCCATTTGCTTTACTCAAATTATTTAGTGACTGTAAAAGTTTCAGAAACATATGAAAGTTACAAATTAGCTTTAAATGTGTCATGTTTAAAGCAGTTGTTTTAAAAGCTAAGTCATTATCCATTATTATGTAACTAGTATTCTAAATATCACATCTTTGCATTGTTTGACTTTTAAGGCATATGAAGTGTTTTGGATCAGAGAAATCATTTGCTTCACATCCCTAAGAGACAGACTCTATGGGTACTGAGTCATGCTAACAGTGGCAAAACCTGACAAACAATAAGCATCTTTTTCAAATATTTTAAACATTTCACATAAAAATTTACTTTTAGCATACATTGCAGCCATCGAGGAAGCCTAAAGTAAGGAAAACCTCAGTGAAATATGATGAAGTTAATAAAAAGAAATAGCCATCATTTTATTTGTTTAAATTGCCATTATCTCTCATATAATTATGTACAATATATAACATAGGATAATTAAGTCAAACTGTGTACCTACAGATATGGAGAGCCTTATATTTTAGGAAAAAGTAAGATGTAAATTAACTGGTAAAGATGAGCTTTTCAATCTATAAGGCATAGACACTTTTCCTTGGTGGATTTGAAAAGGTTCTTATAAATCTGAAAATAAGATAGTTTTTCTATAATAAATGGTAAAAAACACTTTCACATCTTAACCTTATCATAGTATCACAATGCTGGAATGTTTTTACTAGGAAATAAGTAAGCTAATTCAATTATAAATTGCAGTAGAGGAAAGGATGAAGGTTAAAAAACACTATTCAAATCCTTAGTCATGAGGTTGAATTCATTGAATCAGAGTGTGAATATATATCTATATTTGAGACAGAATGTGTATGTATGTGTGTGAGTGTGAGTGTGTGTGTACAGTCATTAGACATTTGCCTCATGGACAGTGGAGGAAAACATTTGCTGAGCTGCTTTCCTACCTTAAAGATTTACAACTGCACTGTTTTCAAGATATACTTTCTATATCTCAAATAATTTAATATATTATGTTTAGTTGTTGATATAACAAGATATCTGAATACCCCATAATTGAAATTATACCTGGAAATAAATACTTGAAATACTTGCTTCAGTGACATTTGTGGAAGTATACTTATTTAAGTTCAAATTATAGGTATATTGAACAAAATGATATTGGATTCTTCACTGGCTGCATACTTCTGAAACTTGTAAATAATTTGAAATTAGTTTCCAAGAACAGAAAGACAAATATTAGATAGGAAATACCAAATTCTTAAGATTCATACATATAAAAGTGAAATAAAAATCAAACTTAATCTTATCATGAATTTTCTACTGTGGCTTAATTTTAGAACTTGTTATAAAAATAGAAATGCTATTAATTTAATTACATTTATTAAAATCTAAAAATAGGTGATTATAGCTAGGACATTGACAAATGTAACTATACATGAGTAAATATAACTGAGGATAGCAACACATGAAATATATCATAAAATTGAATTATTCTATAAATAGTATTAAGTCTGTATTACTTGGAACTTGATTCCACTTAGAATGTCCCTGCTTTTATTTATTTATTTATTTTTGTAAACAAAATGAACAAGAGGTTATTACACTTCATTCACTGAGAAAAGGTAACACTACATCAAAGATAACTCACATACTTGCAGAAATATGGAAGGTAGTTCTTTCTTTTTTTTTGTTAAGAAATAGGGTCTCACTATGTTGCCCAGGTTGTAGTGCAGTGACTATTCAAAGGGGTCATCCCACTACTGATAAGCAGAGGAGTTTTATTCTGCTCAATTTTTGAGTTGACCACTCCTTAGGCAACCTGGTGGTCTTCTGCTCCCTGGAAGCTAACATATTGATGCCAAACTTAGTGCAGACACTTCATCAGCATAGTGCATACAACCCAGAACTCCTGGGCTCAAGTGTTCCTCCCGCCTCAGCATCCTGAGTAGCTGGGACAACAGGTGTGTGTCACCTGGCTGAAAGGTATTTTTAAATACAAATGTTGTCCAGGAGTGACAGAAGCTGGAGAATTGGACTACTTGATGGAGGCTTTGTACAAGCTTTGAACAATAATAACAACAAAATTGAAATGCCAAAAATATTGTTTAATTAGCAGTTAACCACCAATAAAAGGAAGCCAGCCATTTCACACAGAGGATTTTGTTAATTGATTGCGTGATTCAAGGAAATAATATTATTAGGTGTGTATTAGTCCATTATTGCATTGCTATAAAGAAATACCCGAGATTGAGTAATTTATAAAGAAAAGAGTTTCAACTGACTCACAGTTCTGCATGCTGTACAGAAAGAATGTTGCATCTGCTGGGCATGTGGGGAGGCCTCATGAAATGTATAACCATGGTGGGAAAATGAAGAGGGAGCCGGTGCTTCATATAGCGGGGAGCAGGAAGAAAAGTGAGAGGTGAGGAGGTGCTACACCCTTTTAACAACCAGATTTCATAATAACTCACTCACTCACTATCATAAGAATAGCACCAAGGAAATGGTATTAAACCATTAAAAAGAAACCACTCCACAATCCAATAACCTCCCATCAGGCCCCACCTCCAACACTGGGTATTACAATTTGACATGAGATTTGGTTGGGGACATAGATCCAAACCATATTATTTTGCCCTAGTCCCTCCCAAATTTTGTCTTTCTCAGTTTGCAAAATATAATCATGCCTTCCCATCAGTCCCTCAAAGTCTTAACTCACTTCAGCATTAACTCAAACATCCAAAGTCTAAAGTCTTATCTGAGATGAGGCAAGCCCCTTCTGCCTAAGACCCTGTAAAATTAAAAAAAAAAAAACACCCAAGATATAATGTATAATGGGGGTACAGGGATTGGGTAAATACTCCCATTTCAAAAGGGAGAAATTGGCCAAAAGTAAGGGGCTACGGGCCCCATGCAAGTCTGAAACCCAGTAGGAAAGTTATTAAGTCTTAAAGCTTAACAATCTCCTTTGACGCCATCCAGGGCATACCACTGCAAGGGGTGAGCTCCCAAAGCCTTGTGCTGCTCCACTCCTGTGACTTTGCAGGGTTCAGCTCCCACAGCTGCTCTCAAGGGCTGGTGTTGAGTGCTTGCACCATTTCCAGGCACACGGTACAAGTGCTGGTGGATCTACCATTCTGGGGTCTGGAAGATAGTGTCCCTCTTCTCATAGTTCCCCTAGATAGTGGTCCAGTAGGGACACTGTGTGGTGGCTCCAACCCCACCTTTCCCCTCTTCAGTGCCCTCGTAGAGATTCTCCATCAGGGCTCTGACCCTGCAGCAGATTTCTGACTGTACATCTAGGTTTGTTCATACATTCTCTGAAATCTAGCCTCAACTCTTGTACTCTGTGCACCCTCAGGCTTAATGCCACATGGAAGCCATCAAGACTTATGGCTTGAACCCTCTGGAGCAGCATCCTGAGCTGTACCTGGGCCACTTGGAGCCATGGCTAGAGCTGCAACAGATGAGATGCATGTAGTAGTGTCCCATTCTTCCTTCGTTGTCCTCTGAGCCTGTGATGGGAGGAGCTGCCGCAAAGGTCTCTGAAATGCCCTGGAGGGTATCCCTCATTTTCTTGGCTATCAGCATGTGCCTTCCTTTTAGTTAAGCAAGTTTCTGCAGCTTGCTTGAATTTCTCTCCTGAAAATGGGCTTTTTGTTCTACCACATGGCCAGGCTGCAAATTTTTCAAGTTTCTACACTCTGCTTCCCTTCTAAATATAAGTTTCAGTTTGAGGTCATTTCTTTGCTCACACACATCAAAATAGTTTGTCAGAAGTAGTGAGCTTACCTCCTGAATGCTTTGCTGCTTAGAAATTTTTTCCACCAGATACCCACCAGAACTTGAGATACTCTCAAGTTCAAAATTCCACAGATCCCTAGGGCAGACCCACAGTGCAGCCAACCTTTTTGCTAATGCCTAACTAAAGTGACCTTTGCTCCAGTTCCCATTAAGTTCCTTATCTCCATCTGAGACCTCCTCAGCCTGGACTTCATTGTGTGTCTCTATCAGTAGCTTGGTCACAACAATGTAACAAGACTCTAGTAAGTTCAAAACTTGCCCTCATCTTCCTGTCTTCTTCTGATCTCTCCAAACCCTTCCAATCTCTGCCCACTATCCAGTTTCAAAGCCACTTTCACATTTTCCGGTATGTTTACAACAATATCATATTCCTCTACCAATTTTCTATATTAGTCCTTTCTTACATTGCTCTAAAGAAATACCTGAGACTGGGTAATTTATAAAGAAAAGCAGTTTAATTGGCTCATGGTTCTGCACGTTATACAGAAAGCATGATGCATCTGCTGGGCTTCTGCGGGGGCCTCAGTAAGCTAACAATCATGGCAGAAGGTGAAGGGGGAGCCAGCACTTCACATGGCTGGAAGCAGGAAGAAGAGTGAGAGGTGGGGAGGTGCTATACACTTTTAACAACCAGACTCACAATAACTCACTCACTGTCACAAGAACAGCACCAAGGAGATGGTGCTAAACCATTTAAGAGAAACCGCCCAATGATCCAATTGCCTCCCAACAGGCCCTACCTCTAACAGTGGGACTTACAGTTTGACATGAGATTTGGGTGGGGACACAGATCCAAATGATATCAATGTGTTAAAAGGAAAAGGAGATAGCAGTGGGAAATGGATATTTAACTTCAGTTTATGAGTTTTTATTTTAGAGTTCTAAAATTATGTCTTATACTGCCTATACAAGTGCTAGAATAGTTTCTGTATTAAGTGGTAGATATTAATATCCAAATATCATACTTACCTTCTTTGACCTTGCAGTTTAAGACGGCATTTTAAGAAAGTAAACAAACACATTGATTTTTTTTTTAAAGGAGACATTTTTCAGTAAAGGATATAAGTATGTTAACATGAGAGATATAGAAAAATTACAGATGGACAGACAATCCTACATAGAAACCTAAGGAAGTATTTAACTCAGACACAGAGATTGAGAAGAGTAAAGTGGGTGAAATCTGGGAAAGAATGCTTCCAGTAGAAGAAACAGAATATTGAAGGAACAGAGATTGATGTCAAGAGTTCAGGGAAACAAACCAGAATAAGAATGTTTAGACAAAAGGCTGATGGTAGAAGGAAATTAAGACTGAAAGTTATAGAGAGCACAGGCTTACTCGAAAATTAGTAGACAAAAGAACATCTGTAAGTTCAATCATGAAGGAGTGCCAGAATTAAAGAGAAAATAAGGAAATAATAAAGGGAATCTTTTGATGTGAGGAACCAATTGGGCTACCAACTCAGCCTGCCAGCCTGCCATTCCAGTGACAGTAGGAAATAAATGTTCTGTAAGTTATTTGGAAATTAGAGGACAAAGTAATTGTTTGTTCTATAGGTAGAGAAGCATTTTTGTAAATGATAATACAGCTGTTCTACCGATTTCTCTTAATTTTCAAAATTTTTGAAGGGGTACACATTTTCATGATTTGTTCATTCTGATTTCCAACTCATATTTGTTCATCATTTTCTCTTTACTTTTTAAAAAGTTGAAAGACATTCGTGTCACAAAATTTTCACAGGATAATTTTTCTAGTTGCAACTGTAGATTTATGTGGATATATACAAATCTCTCTAGTGACACATCTAAAGATTAATGTTATGTTCTGTTCCATAGGGAGCAAATATACCACATGAAACATTGCAACTATGAATCCAACTAGACTGTATGGGAAACATATATTGAAAAATAAATTAAAATTATAAGTTCTATGAGAAAACACAAACATTT